>NC_000006.12:37332727-37635757 GCF_000001405.40 Homo sapiens
GGTTTCTCATCTGGAGCTGTTTCTCAGGCATTCTTCCCAACCCTCTTCCTTTTCCCCTTCGGTGTGCCTCAGTGGTCTCCTTCATAGAGTGAGAGGGCTTGAGACCCTCCCTCAACCGGACTAATTAAAGAAAGACACTTGTGTTCCCAAGTGGTGGTTTTATTTTTTTAGTTTTTATGTTTGTATGGGAAATTGTGGATAAAGTGAAAAGAATTGTAAATAAATGGTGTATTTCCTCCTCCATCTGCTGGTTTTTCTCCTGTATGTGTCCATGGAACCTAAAGAGTCTCCTCTTTTTGAGTTTTTCTTGCTGATACTAGTAGGTGTGTGGTCAGGCCTTCTGTGAGGTGAGCAGGGCATCAGCAGAGGATCAACCAGCAAACACTTACCCGACATCCATCTATGAAAGGTACTGTGGAAACTACAAAAATGAGTAACTTGGTAAATGAAACTACTAAAAAGAGTTAACTTGCCAACCACTTTGAGAAGCACTTTACATGGATTATTTCATTCATCTAAAAGAAGTATGTTATCTGATAGAGGGTAGAAAACAGACTAGAATTTCAGTGCTGGATGAAAACTTGGAGATATCTAGTTTAACCCCCTCATTCGCAGAGGAAAATCCAAGCCAAGGCCAAGGAAGACAGCATCAGAGTCAGAACCAGAGACCCGGTGTCCTCCTGGCTTGCCTGTTCAGTGTGTTTCCACCAGAGTAGAAAGAACTAAGATGGCCGCCATGTAGGATTGTCTTTAAGTCTTTTTTCGGTTGTCAGCTGTTGTTTTTTTTTTCTTGGTAACCTTACTGTGAAATATCTCAAGAAAGGTAGCTGATTACATTTCATCTACAAAGGACAGGTTGGAATGGTTTCTCCACCCAGAATTCCTTCCTAGGATTTATTTGAGAGTATTTCTTGGTTTCAGTCATTAGGAACCACATAAAAATTAAATTCAGCTATGTGTAATAAAAACCAAAAATAGGGCGGACGCAGTGGCTCATGCCTGTAATCCCAGAACTTTGGGAGGCCGAGGCAGGTGGATCACAAGGTCAGGAGTTTGAGACCAGCCGAGCCAACATAGTGAAATCCTGTCTCTACTAAAAATACAAAAAAATTAGCCAGGCGTGGTGGTGGGCACCTGTAATCCCAGCTACTCACAAGGCTGAGGCAGGAGAATCACTTGAACCCGGGAAGGTGGAGGTTGCAGTGAGCCGAGTTCACACTATTGCACTCCAGCCTGGGCAACAAGAGCGAGACTCCGTCTCTAAATAAATAAACAAATAAATAAATAACAGTGACTTACACAGGATGAGAATTTACTTCTCCCTCACATAAATGCCCAAAAGTAGGCAACCCAGGGCTAGTAAGATGACTCTGTTTCACAAAGTGCTTAGGTACCTGGACTCCCTCCCTAGGTCTTCATGGTCAGCATGGTAGCCAGCACTCCAGCTATTTTTACACCAACTTTCCAAGCCACAGGATGAATTAAAGAGGTGACAAAGAAGAAAAAGGAAATGTGCCAACAGTGTTGTAAGGAAGGTTCCAGGAAGGTGCCCCATTGTACCTCCTCCTACAACTCACAGCAGAACTTAGTCCATGGTAGGTTGCACCTAGTTGCAGGAGAGGTTGGGAAGATGAGTCCATTTCAGGCAGACATATGCCTGGCTAAAAGGATTCTGGTACTATGGAGGAAGGGGAACACAGACATTAGGATTCAGGTAACAGTCTCTACAAAAAGAACTTATAAAAATAAGTTTACAATAGAGACAGACTTTCCCATAAGCATACAGAAAGGGAATGCGTGTTCAAAATCTAAGTCACTCTTCACAATTAACTTTGTAATTTAACCTTTGTCGTAAAACACGAATACTTTCTACTTGATATTATTTGGACTGAAGCCATTAATTGTTCCTGAGACTAAAAATAACTAACCTGAACTAGTCTTCATTCAAACATTCTGTTTTTCATTTATGCAGGAAGTCAAGCATTTTCTGAGACAGGTTTGTTAGATCATGACTAGAAAATTGATGAAATCTTCCGAACTAATCCTGGCATACTCTAATCTACGGTTTATCCAATATTTCTACAATTTAAATCTCTACAAGGTTCTACTTAAAATAGGCCCTGCCTCTGTTTGTATTGATCTGCAAAGGGATAGTGGCATAGATTCCTCAGTGACTTATTTGCTTCTAGAGGCAAGAGCCTCTTGTTGACAGCATTTGGCTTGCCTTGGACTGGACTTTGCATTTCAAAACAGTTATGTACAACTTTGAGGATTGGAGGCGAAAACTAAGCCCCAGTAACTGAGCCTTTCATACCTCTACCTCTCTCAGGATGTCCAACACTAATTTCCTGGTTGGAGACAGTTTTAGAAGCTGCCATAGATGCCAAGGTGATGATTTTAGATTCATGATGAAAAAGATGAGCTTCCCACAGTATCAGCCTAAAGTACAGTACCACAAGACCAGGGTCTTCTGAGCCTGTGCCAGCTTGCCAGGATAGGTGCCACAGGCCCACAACCATGGCCAACCAAGGCATCTCCCAAGGAAAGGCATCCCCTTGCTTTGGCAAAGGCTGAATTAGAATTCTTGGAAGCAAGGAGAATCCCTGTTCAGTTTGGTTCGGCAGGTGGTGTGGCTTCTGCAGGGTGAGTGTGACAGTCCCTGCCTGAAGTGAGAGCCATTGTGGGGAATCTGGGAGCCAGACCCTGGGCTACTTTTGCTTGTATGGATACTAAGCTTGTCTCAATAGTGACCCCACTAAACCTGCCCCACCCAACCCAGCTATCTGAAAGGAAAGCCCAAACCTCTTCAAACCACTGGTCTCCAAACTTATTTTCCTTCCTTTACTTTTAACCTATCTATGTCTTTATGTTCAATGTGGATTTCTTATTTTATTTTTTATTTTTTTGAGATGGAGTCTTGCTTTGTCACCCAGGCTGGAGTGCAGTGGGTCAATCTCGGCTCACTGCAACTTCTGCCCCCTGGGTTCAAGCGATTCTCCTGCCTCAGCCTCCTGAGTAGCTGGGATTACAGGTGCCCGCCACCACACCGTGCTAATTTTTGTATTTTTAGTAGAGATGGGGTTTCGCCATGTTAACCAGGCTGGTCTCCAACTCCTGACCTCAGGTGATCCACCCACTTCGGCCTCTTAAAGTGCTAGGATTACAGGTACGAGCCACGGTGCCCAGCCTCAATATGGATTTCTTAAAGACAATGTAGTTGGGTCTTGTTCTGCAATCCAACCTGACAATCTCTTGTTTTTAATTGGTACATTCAAGCCATTTGCAATTAATATTATTAATATGGTTGGATTTAGTCTACCATTTTATCTTTTTCTTTTGTTCCCTTTTATGTTTGTTACTTCCCCCCATCCTTTCCTGTCACCTTTTGAATTATTTGAATAACATATTTATTGGCTTTTGGCTATATAAATTTTTTAAGAGATTGCTCCGAAGATTACAATATACATACCTAAAGTTGTTCACAGTCTATTTAGAGTTTATATCTTATCTCTTCAATTAAAATTCAGAAGTCTTAACAACCATTTAGGTCCTTAATCCCTCCTTCCTTTATAATCGTTACATGAATTACATCTATATCCATTGAAAACCTTACCAGATATTATTATCATTTTGTTCTCAACAGTCGTACATATTTGAAGGAACTGAAGAGGAGATTTTACCTGTCATGTTCTTCCTTCAGTCCTTAAATTCCAGGTTTCTTTCTGATATAGTTGTTTCCCTTCAGCCTAAACAACTTTCTTTAGCACTTAGAACAGATCTGCCAACAGTTCTCTTAGTTTTCTTTCATCTGAGAATGCCTTTATTTTGCCTTCATTCCTGAATCTATTTTCTCGTGATATAGATTTTTTTTTTTACTTTCTGACACTTTACCCATGTTGTTCCATCATCTTTTTTTCCATGGCTTCTGATAAGAAATCCACAGTCATGCCTGTAATCGCAGCACTTTGGGAGGCCGAGGCGGGGGGATCACGAGGTCAGGAGTTCAAGACCAGCCTGGCCAATGTGGTGAAAAACCCCGTCTCTATTAAAAACACAAAAATTAGCCGGGCATGGTGGCCCATGCCTGTAGTCCCAGCTACTCAGGAGGCTGAGGCAGGAGAATCACCTGAACCTGGGAAGTGGAGGTTGCAGTCAGCTGAGATTGCACCACTGTACTCCAGCCTGGGTGACAGAGCGAGACTCCGTCTCAAAAAAAACAAGAAATCTACAGTCATTGAATAATTTTCTGTGTTTAATTCATTATTTTTCTCAGGCTTTTTTTAAAAACAAATAACTGGTAAAATGTACATATCAGAAAACTTGCCATCTTAATCATTTTTAAGTGTACAGTAGTGTTAGGCACATTCACATTGCGTGCGATCTCCAAAACTTTCACCCTGCAAAACTGACACTCTATACCCTTTAAACAACAGCTCCCATTCTCTTCTGCCCCCAGGCCCTGGCAACCACCATTCTACTTTCTGTCTTTTTGAATTTGAATTTTCTAGATACCTCACAGAAGTGGAAGCATATAGTATTTGTCTTTTCGTGACCGGCTTCTTTCACTAAGCATAATGTCCTCAAGGTTCATCCACGTTTTAGCATGGATCAGAATTTCCCTCCTTTTTTAAGGTTAAATTTTGATTGTGTGTATATACCACATTTTATTTATCCATTCATCTGTTGACGGGCACTTGTGTTGCTTCCATCTTTTGACTATTGTGAATGATACTGCTATGAACACGGGTGTGCAAACATCTCTTCGAGACCCAGCTTCCAATTATTTGAGTATATACTCAAAAGTGGAATTGCTGATAATTCTATGTTTTAATTTTCTCAGGAACTTCTATATTGTTTCTCAGATTGCTTTTGAGATTTTTTTTTTTTTTTAAGTTTCTGGAGTTTGATTATGTGTCTGAGTGTAAGTTGTTTGTGTTTGTTTTCTGGAGTTTGTTCATTTTTTGCATTCATCCTGTTTGGGGTTCACTAATTTTCTTGAATCTATAATTTTATATCTTTCATCAAATTAGAGCATATTTCTTCAAGTATTTCCTTTTCTGCACCAATCTGTTATTCATCCCCTGGGACTCCAGTGATATGAACATTAGACCCTGAGACTGTTCATTATTTTTCCAATCTTTTTTTCTTTCTGTTCTTCAGAATAGATCATTTCTCTTCATCTATCTTCAAGTTCATTGACTTCCTCTTCTGTGGTCTCCATTCTGCTGTTAAGCCCATCCAGTTAATTTTTATTTCAGATACTGTGTTTTTTGGTTCTAAAATTCCCATTTGGTTCTTTTTATAGTTTCTATTTTTCTGCTGAGAACTTTTATCTTTCCCTTTATTACAAGTGTGTTTACCATTATTTCATCCAGCACACTTACAATAGATGTTTTAAGTCTTTATCTGATAATTCCAACCTCTTGGTCATATTGGTGCTGGCATCTTTTTTATTTTTGCTTTTTTTTATTATTATACTTTAAGTTCTAGGGTACATGTGCACAACGTGCAGGTTTGTTACATAGGTATACATGTGCCATGTTGGTTTGCTGCACCCATTAACTCGTCATTTACATTAGGTATTTCTCCTAATGCTATCCCTCTCCCACTCCCCACCCCACAACAGGCCCCAGGGTGTGATGTTCTCCACCCTGTGTCCAGGTGTTCTCATTATTCAATTCCCACCTATGAGTGAGAACATGTGGTGTTTGGTTTTCTGTCCTTGTGATAGTTTGCTCAGAATGATGGTTTCTAGCTGCATCCATGTCCCTGCAAAGGACATGAATTCATTCTTTTTTATGGCTGCATAGTATTCCATGGTTTATATGTGCCACATTTTCTTAATCCAGTCTATCATTGATGGACATTTGGGTTGGTTCCAAGTCTTTGCTATTGTGAATAGTGCCGCAATAAACATACGTGTGCATGTGTTTTTATAGTAGCATGATGTATAATCCTTTGGATATATACCCAGTAATGGGATCGCTGGGTCAAATGGTATTTCAGTTCTACATCCTTGAGGAATCGCCACACTGTCTTCCACAATGGTTGAACTAGTTTACATTCCCGCCAACAGTGTAAAAGTGTTCCTATTTCTCTACATCCTCTCTGGTGCTGGCATCTTTTGATCATCTTTTCCCATAAAAATTGATAACATTTTCTAGAGCTTTGTGGAGTAATTTTGGATTGCATCCTGGATATTTTGAATAGTATTAATATGGTGTGAGACTCTGAATCTTGTTAAAATTCTTCTACAGCAGGAATCAGCAAACTATGACTGCAGGCCAAATCCAGCCTTCCCCCTGTTTTTATAGGTAAAGTTTTACTGGAACACAGCCTGGCTGATTCATTTACATACTGTGTTGCTTTGGCACTACAATGGCAGGGTTGAGTAGTTGTGATAGAAGACTGTATGGCACAAAGTTTAAAATATTTATTATCTGGCCCTTTGTGGAAAAAGTTTGCTCACCCTGGCTTTAGAAAGCATAGGGCCGGGCGCAGTGGCTCATGCCCGTAATCCCAGCATTTTGGGAGGCCGAGGTGGGCATATCACGAGGTCAGGAGATTGAGAGCATCCTGGCTAACACAGTGAAACCCTGACTCTACTAAAAATACAAAAAAAATTAGCCGGGCGTGGTGGCAGGTGCCTGTAGTCCCAGCTACTCTGGAGATTGAGGCAGGAGAATGGCGTGAACCTGGGAGGTGGAGCTTGCAGTGAGCTGAGATCGTGCCACTGCACTCCAGCCTGGGCGACAGAGCGAGACTCCGTCTAAAAAAAAAACAGAAAGTGTTGACTTTGTTTTTGTTTTGTTTGTTTTAGCAGGCAATCAATCTAATGAGGTTCAAACTGCAAATTCTGTCTCTCCATCTTGGGGACAGATCTAGGAGAGAGAAAATGAAATAGTTTTAATGGGGATTTCACTCTACACTCTTTGGCTCACAGGGATCCTTTTCCTAAGTCTTCTGGTCAAAGAGATGGTGTTTCTCTCAGAGTTTCTGCTGTCTCTGCTACCATGAAGCTCCCCAACTGGACCTATTCTCAGCTCAAAGCTGTGATAGAAAAGAAGAAAAATTGGAGGAAACTCACCCCATACAGATAGTTTCTTCAAGCTTTGATTCCCTTCCATAATTTGGCTGCTTGTTTACTTTTCGGAGTCCTTAGTTACATTTTGTCCAGAATTTTTAGTTGTGATCAGTGGCAGAGACTGCAGTGCCTTACTCCATTTTGTCTGGTACTGGAAGCCTCCCAACTTCTTTCTGACCACGGCCTATGAAAAAACACATTTTACATTGAGACTCAGTACACACACACACACACACACACACACACAATATTTCACAAACAATGCTTACCCTTACTGTGTGTGATGGCCTCTTACGCTATTGTATTCCTTTTCTGTTCTTTGTTTGTTTTTTTAATGGTGCTAAGAGACCAGTGTGATGGCTCATATGAGAGGACTGCTTGAGGCCAGGAGTTTGAGACCAGCCTGGGCAACATAGTGAGACCTCATCTATACAAAAACCTAAATTAGCCCAGCATGGTGGCATGCATCTGTAGTCCTAGCTACTTGGGATGCTGAGGCGAGAGGATCATTGCTTGAGCCCAGAGGTTTGAGGTTACAGTGAGCTATCATCATGCCATTGCACTCCAGCTTGGGTGAGAGAGTGAGACCTTGTCAATAAATAAATAAATAGTGCTAAGACTCATTACTCAGCGTTAACCTAAGTTTGAAAAACACAGCTCTAAACACTGTCACTGAAACAGGAGAGGCAAGGCTGCTACTAGCTGAAATAAGCACATTTAAACAAGTCCTGAATAATATACCACAACTGATGGTACAATAAACTTATGAGTCAAAAAATGTGATGAGAATTGCATTATAACCTTGAATTGTAGAACTCCAGGTTCTCCATGTGACCCGACTCTCTGCTCCCCTTCTTCAACCCTTGACAAAGGTGAACGGAGTTAGGGATCTTTGTGATCTTTTGTAGTCCAAAAATAGCCAACTCAAAGTTGACTCAACTGTAAGTCATCCAAAATCTAAATTTTATATCAGGCGCCTGATACACGTTACTTGCAAAATAAACAGGCTGAAGCCAACTCAGAGGAAAACAAGGTGGTCATTATTGATGTCTGATTCCCACTGCCTTCTGCTGCTGCTGCCCCCACCACCCCCACCTTAGCTCCCCTCCCTTCTCTCCTTCCTCCCCTCTTCCTCCTGAATAAAATCATCTGGGTAATAAATTTTTTTTTTTTTTGAGATGGAGTCTCTGTCTGTCGCCCAGGCTGGAGTGCAATGGCACGATCTCGGCTCACTGCAACCTCTGCCTCCCGAGTTCAAGCGATTCTCCTGCCTCAGCCTCCTGAGTAGCTGGGATTACAGGCACCCACCACCGTGTCCGGCTACTTTTTGTTTAGTAGAGACGGGGTTTTGCTGTTGGCCAGGCTGGTTTCGAACTCCTGACCTCAGGTGATCCACTCACCTCGGCCTCCCAAAGTGCTGGGATTACAGGCGTGAGCCACCAGCCCGGCTGGCAATACATATTTGATCTGGATACTGATCCTTGGCAAGTTAAAGGGTGTGGATGCTTAAACAGTCAGGGCCCCCACCAAAAAGGTGGTTACTAATTTTAAGTACCTCCAAAATATCCACCTTAATTACTGATTAAAGACACCTCCAGGCTGGGCGCGGTGGCTCACACCTGTAATCCCAGCACTTTGGGAGGCCGAGGCGGGTGGATCATGAGGTCAGGAGATCGAGACCATCCTGGCTAACACAGTGAAACACCGTCTCTACTAAAAATACAAAAATTAGCCTGGCGTGGTGGCACGCTCCTGTAATCCCAACTACTCGGGAGGCTGACGCAGGAGAATTGCTTGAACCTGGGAGGTGGAAGTTGCAGTGAGCCAAAATCACGCCACTGCACTCCAGCCTGGGCGACAGAGCAAGACTCCATCTCAAAAAAAAAAAAAAAAAGACACCTCCAGAATATTGTAAATTTGATTACCTATTACAAGTACTTCTGAAATATAATAAACTTGATTGAAGGTATCAGAAATATCTTACAACTCTATACTTGAAACCCCACGTTTACATAAAATATCACTGAACACACAAGCTGACCAAAGCAAGTGGTTACTTTTCCCCTTCTCCTCATCTTCTGGTTTTCTAAAACATTTCCTTTTCCAAGATGAAAGACATCCCTTCCTGATTCCTTCAGCGTGGAGCTTTACATTTTGGGGATGGGTGGAGAAGAGAAGGTGGTAGAATAAAGGAGTAAGAGAAAAGGTAGGATGAATGAGAACGTGGCGCCCTAAGTCCCACCTCCCTACTTCTCCCCACCACACACTCAGGCTGCATCATCCCATCTGAGATTTCATCTCCCGCAGTCACCCTGAATTCCTCCCAGTCTATGGTACCAATCTGAGCACTCACTGCCCACCCAGCCCCAAGATGGCTACACGCAGCAATCTGTTGAAAAGTTGGCCTGTGGTCTCAAGATAGTACTCGGAGAAACACAGGACTTTCCTTGAGATGCTACATCAAGACCCTTTTCTTCTCTGCTCAATCTTTTGAAAACATAATGAAAAAATTCCATCTCACCTTTATTGAAACTCACACAGGGAAACCACACTTCAGTTGGCAGAGCCATGCCCCCAAAGTGGATCAACCCTTGCTTACAGAGGGAACTATTTTTTTAGACATTTAAAAAACCCATCTTGCTTGGACGTGGGTTATTTTTAAAAAGTATAAAATTGATTGAAGAGGTTTCTGCTTTATAATAAAAGAGGAGGAAGTTTTTATTTTTAAGTCTCTTGGATGAAAGAGTGTAGAAAAGGCATGGGGAGATAGTGTTTGTATCTGCAGAAGCCGACGCTCCCTTCTTCCACAACAGTAGCTGACCATTATTGGTACTTACTCTGTACCTTACAAGAATTGACCCATAAAACAATCCTATAAGTTAGGTGCTATACTTAGCATCACCTTCATCTTACAAATGGGGAAACTGAGGCTTGGAGTGGTCAAGAAGCTTGCCCAAGGTCTCATGTAGCAAGTAGCCGAGCTAGGATTGAACAGCAGGGCTCCAGAGTCGATGTCCCTAACTACCATGTTACAGTAGCCTCTAGTTTACCACTGAATTAAAAGCTGGTCTTACACAAAAGCCATGGAGTGAGCAAAAATTCCATCCTTTTACTTCTATTCCAGGGAGATAAAAGCAAAGGAAATGGGAGGGATAATGTCATTATCATCATTTTAATTTGTTAACTTGAGTTCTAAAGTCTGGCAGAATTGATGCTCCTCTTCCCACAATTTAGAATTGTTTCTAGTAAGGACTAATCAACCAGGGCCTGAATTTCCCAGCCTCCCTCAGATCTAGGTGGGGTCATTTGACCAGTTCTCTCCAGTAAAATGTGAGCCAAAGGAATGTGTGTCACTTTGGGGACAAGACAATGAAGAAGCAAGTGTACCTTCCCCATTCTCTCTTCCCTTGTTTTGCTTTCTCGATGCAGAGGACTCCAAGCCCTAGGGAACAGAGAAGCTACAGAAAGAAAGTAGTCTGAGTACTTGAATGACTTAATGGTAGGCTGTCCACTCACTAGGAACACTGAACAAATACGTGAGTAAGAAATAACCTTCTGTTGTGTTAAACCATTGAAACTTGGGGTTTGTATGTTACTGCAGCTAGCATTAACCTAACTAACATATAAAGCACACAACCAATGACTGTCCAAGAGCCCCCAGCATGTCCCTGCACCCTTTCTGTTCTAGTTCCTTACTGCTGCATAACAAACCACATCAAAACTAAGTGTCTTAACCCAACCATCGCATTACGTTCACCAACTCTGTGGGTCAGGGATTCAGGTGGGGTACAACAGAGAGAGCTTGGCTCTCCTCCACAATGTCTGGAGCCTCAGCTGGAAGACACAGAGGACTGGGGATGATTCAGGGTCGGGGCTGATGTCATCTAGGGGCACCTTCATTCCCACAACTGGCCATTGATGCTGGATGTCAGTTGGGACCTCAGTTGGGGTTGTCAGGCAGGACATCTACATGTGGCCTCTTCATGTGATCTCTCCACTTCCTTATGTAGACTAGGTTCCAGCAGTGAGCATCCCAAAAAGACCAGGTGGAAGCTGTATCACCTTTTATGACATAGCATTATTTCTGTTGGAGTCCCATGCCCATCTAGATTCAAGGGAAGGAAATATAAACTCCACCTTGCAATGTGAGGAATGTCAGTGTCACATGGTAAGAGCAAGCAGGATGGGAGATCTTGTAATCATCTTTTAAAAGAGTGATCTGCCACACTTCCTTTTCATAATTCTTTTATTTTTCCCTTCCTTCCTTTTCTTTTTTCTTTTCTTTTTCTTTTTTTGAGATAGGGTTTCACGGTTTCACTGTGTTACCAAGGCTGGAGTGCAGTGGCAGAATCATGGCTCACTGCAGCCTTGACCTTCCAGGCTCAGGTGGTCCTCTCACCTCAGTCTCCCAAGTAGCTGAGACCACAGGTGCACACTATTTTTTTTGTTTTTGAGGTGCATACTTGACTAATTTAAAACCTTTTTTTTGTAGAGATAAGATCTCCCTATGTTGCCCAGGCTGGTCTTGAACTCCTGGGCTCAAGCGATCTTCTCACCATGGCCTCCCAAATTGCTGGGATTGTAGGTGTGAGTCACCGTGCCCGGCTTTTCCATACTTTTCTTGTCCCTTTCCCTTTCTTCTTCTTGCCCTGTGCTTTCTCCCCTTATTGTCATGTTCCTTCCCCACTCCCCAAGCCTCTCCACAGTCAGCTCTAACATTCCTCAGTTCTGTTTAACTGACATTAACTGAGCATATATAATGTGACAGTTGTCAGTTTCACATAAATAACCCCCTACTTACTTTTCCACATCCTGCTGTCTTTTCCCATTTCAGTTTTCACTCTTGAGATGGGTATGAGACAGGGTTTCTCAGCCTCAGCATTGTTGACATTTTGTATGGGATAGCTCTTGTTGTGGGGACGATCTAGTGATTTGTGGGATGTTCAGTAGCATACCCAGCCTCTAGTCATTAGATGCCAGTGGCACCCCTCCCCATATCATGACAACCAAAAATGTCCCCAGACATTGCCTGGAAAGAGCAAAATCACCCCCAGTTAAGAGCCACTGTTAAAAGGGAATATATAGGGGAGGTAGAGTTGATAAAATCTCCAAATCTTAGAAGTCAGTGGTCTCAACGAGATCGGGCATGTTCAGGGTGGTATGGCCATAGACAGAAGTCAGTGGTCTTCAACCTGTTTTGGTCATGCACCCTTAGTAACAAAACAGTGTCTGAGAATACAGCCTAATATGTGAATGTTTGTTTATTCATGTAAAGTCCATACATATCTTCTATGTTGTTCTTTTTTGTAATTATAAAATAATCACAAAGTAGGCATTTTTAAAAGGATGAGATAAAAACCTAATTAGAGGCCAGGTGTGGTAACTTACCCCTGTAATCCCAGCACTTTGGGAGGCCAAGGTAGGAGGATTACTTTATTTATTTAATTTTTTTATTACACTTTAAGTTCTAGGGTACATGTGCACAATGTGCAATTTTGTTACATATATATACATGTGCCGTGTTGGTTTGCTGCAACCGTTAACTCGTCATTTACATTAGGTATATCTCCTAATGCTATCCCTCCCCCCACACCACCCCACGGCAGGCGCCAGTGTGTGATGTTCCCCTTCCTGGGTCCAAGTGTTCTCATTGTTCAATTCCTACCTATGAGTGAGAACATGCGGCGTTTGCTTTTTTGTCCTTGCGATAGTTTGCTGAGAATGATGGTTTCCAGCTTCATCCATGTCCCTACAAAAGACATGAACTCATCCTTTTTTATGGCTGCATAGTATCCCATGGTGTGTATGTGCCACATTTTCTTAATCCAGTCTATCATTGGTGGACATTTGGGTTGGTTCCAAGTCTTTGCTATTGTGAATAGTGCTGCAATAAACATACATGTGCATGTGTCTTTATAGCAGCATGATTTATAATCCACTGGGTATGTACCCAGTAATGGGATGGCTGGGTCAAATGGTATTTCTAGTTCTAGATCCTTGAGGAATCGCCACACTGTCTTCCACAATGGTTGAACTAGTTTACAGTCCCACCAACAGTGTAAAAGTGTTCCGATTTCTCCACATCCTCTCCAGCACCTGTTGTTTCCTGACTTTTTAATGATCACCATTCTAACTCGTGTGAGATGGTATCTCATTGTGGTTTTGATTTGCATTTCTCTGATGGCCAGTGATGATGAGCATTTTTTCATGTGTCTGCTGGCTGCATAAATATCTTCTTTTGAGAAGTGTCTGTTCATATCTTTTGCCCACTTGTTGATGGGATTGTTTGTTTTTTTCTTGTAAATTTGTTTGAGTTCTTTGTAGATTCTGGATATTAGCCCTTTGTCAGATGAGTAGATTGCAAAAATTTTCTCCCATTCTGTAGGCTGCCTGTTCACTCTGATGGTAGTTTCTTTTGCTGTGCAGAAGCTCTTTAGTTTAATTAGATCCCATTTGTCAATTTTGGCTTTTGTTGCCATTGCTTTTGGTGTTTTAGTCATGAAGTCCTTGCCCATGCCTATGTCCCGAATGGTATTGCCTAGGTTTTCTTCTGGGGTTTTTATGGTTTTAGGTCTAACATTTAAGTCTTTAATCCGTCTTAGGCGGTAATTTTTGTATAAGGTGTAAGGAAGGGATCCAGTTTCAGCTTTCTACATATGGCTAGCCAGTTTTCCCAGGACCATTTATTAAATAGGGAATCCTTTCCCTATCTCTTGTTTTTGTCAGGTTTGTCAAAGATCAGATGGTTGCAGATGTGTGGTATTATTTCTGAGGGCTCTGTTCTGTTCCATTGTTCCATTAGTCTATATCTCTGTTTTGGTACCAGTACCATGCTGTTTTGGTTACTGTAGCCTTGTAGTATAGTTTGAAGTCAGGTAACGTGATGCCTCCAGCTTTGTTCTTTTGGCTTAGGATTGTCTTGGTAATGCGGGCTGTTTTTTGGTTCCATATGAACTTTAAAGTAGTTTTTTCCAATTCTGTGAAGAAAGTCATTGGTAGCGGTAGGAGGATTACTTTAACCCAGGAGTTCAGTACCAGCTTGGGCAACACAGTGAGACTCCATCATGAAAAAAAAAAAAGAAAGAAAAGAAAAGATGAGAGAAAGAAAGAAAGAAAGAGGGAGAGAGAGAGAGAAAGAGAGAGAGAAGGAAGGAAGGAAGGAAAACAAAACAAAACAAAAAACCCCCCCGCCAGGCACGGTGGCTCATGCCTGTAATCCTAGCACTTTGGGAGGCCAAGGCGGGCAGATCACCTGAGGTTAGGAGTTCAAGACCGGCCTGGCCAACATGGTGAAACCCCATCTCTACTAGAAATACAAAAATTAGCCAGAAATTGCTTGAACCTGGGAGGCGGAGGTTGCAGTGAGCTGAGATTGTGCCACTACACTCAGGCCTGGGCAACAGAATGAGACTCTGTCTCAAAAAAACAAACAAGCGAACAAAAAAAACCTAATTAGATATCCTGTTATATTCTATCCACAAACAAATGAATCATTTTGTGCACTCCCTGTGGATGGCCATCTCTAGGGCTAGACCATAATGAATGCAACCTCTGGGGCTAGACAGATCTAGGCTTACAGCCCTGGCTTCAGTTTCCTGCACTGCCATTTACTAGTTGAGTTACATTTATTCATTCAATAAAATGTCAGGAATGCAATGGAAAACAAATATAACCTTCAAGAAACTCTTAGTTTTCTCACAGGCAAAATGATGATAACTTGCAGGATGGTAGTGAGGATTAATAAGACGATATACGATAAGCATATAATAGGCACTCAAAAGTGGTGCCTGTGAATTCATGGCAGGGCTATTTGTGACAGCAAAAGACTGGAAAGAGCCCTACTGCATATCAACAAGGGACTGGTTGAATAAACAGTGGTATATCTAGGAAGCAGGATAGGTACTCAAGGAAGTAATCATGTCCTTAGGTTGCAACAACCATGGTGACTGTACAGTCAACACAATAAGCCCCAGCATTCACATTGTAGTCAAGCTCATTCAAGCAAAGCTGTCTCTAGTAGAGAATTTCCCCCATAGAGAGCATGCATATTTTGATTTTACCTGTCCTCAGACTGACCCTTTGCTCATTATAAGAGTAAAAACCACACCCCTGGGTAGAGATTTAAGGTGCTAATGAGACGTGGGGAATGAATAGGCATGCACAGCTACTGCGCATGTGCACCCAGAGGACCACCCAGAGCATGCTTCCTAGTAACACCTCTTCCCACTCCTTTATGAATAATCCATGTTAAGTCTCCCGTAAAGGGAGTCTCCCTAGTGCCAGTCTTGGCTGTCCCGCCTTGAATCCTTTCTCAGGGTGGACTGTCTCTTCTGCATTTAACTTTCAAAATATTCTTTTTCCTTTGCAATAAATTGCTCTATGTTGCATCTCCTACTGTGTGTCTCTTGTTTAAATTCTTTTAAACTAAGAAGACAAGAACTGAGGTCTCACAACAGCCATCAACATCTACACAATAGAGTAATATACAGCTGTCAAGAGGAAGGAGGGACGGGCGTGGTGGTTCACACCAACACTTTGGGAGCCTGAGGGATTTTTTTATTATTATTATTAAATTTTAAAAAGAGAGGCTGGGCGTAGTGGCTCACGCTTGTAATCCTAGCACTTTGGGAGCCCAAGGCAGGCGGATCACAAGGTCAGGAGTTTTGAGACCAGCCTGGCCAACATAGTGAAACCCCGTCTCTACTAAAAATACAAAACTTAGCTGGGCATGGTGGCGCATGCCTGTAATCCCAGCTACTCAGGAGGCTGAGGCAGGAGAATCGCTTGAACCTGGGAGGCAGAGGTTGCAGTGAGCCAAGATCATGCCATTGCACTCCAGCCTGGTGACAGAGTAAGACTCCGTCTCAAAAAAAAAAAAAAAAAAAAAAAGAGAGAGAGAGAAAGAAAGGAGAAATATGTATATATATACTGTTATGGAGTAATCTCCAGGATACTTAGTTAAATAAAACAAGTGAGGTACGGTAGGTGGGAGTGGGACTGAATAGGTGAAGCCCGGAGGATTTTTTTTTTCAGGCGATAAATTATTTTCTCTGATGCTGTAATGGTGGATACATGACACCATGCATCTATCAAAACCCATAGAACTTTGCAGTAAGGGTGAATCTTAATGTATATATTAACCTTAATGTGTACATTAGTCAATTGTTAATGTAAAATGTATACAAATTCTAAGCAATCATTTAGCAGGTCAGAGGATTCCACATAGAATAGACTATGACAAAACAATCTAACTGTATTACAAATGTATGAAACAACCTCTCTGAAGGGGGTTGAGGGAAATGGGTGCTGACCTCAGCCACTTTGGACATGAGTGGAGTCTGTGAGACTGAAGGCAAAAGACCTGCATACAAGTACTGTACTGTAGTGATAAAGTTGTCTCCATAAGGTGTATGGCTTAACAATTCTGAAATCACTATACATGTATACTGGAAATGAAAGATTAAGTCAAGGGATGGCAGATGGTGGGATTCTGGGTTCTCACTTTTGAAGTAGAAGTTTACAGATAAACAAGGGGAGATAGCTAGAATGATTCAGGTGGGAATGGATTAGAGTGGTAAGACATCAGAATGAACTCATGCCTAGCTTACAGATACACACACACACACACACAACACAAATGTGTATATATGCATAAATATTTATAAATATGTGTATATCAAGGGTTAGTATTCACCCATATATTTATTTGCTCTGTCAGCTGAGAAGGCCTAGAAACAATGACATCCCACTAGCAATGACTGCACCTAGTGCCCAGAGTTTCTTGGTTTCTAATACCATTTTCCAATAAAGGAACCAGAGATCCTTGGAGAAATAGCTAATTCTAGGTCTAGGGTATCTTGTGCCAGAAAGTAAGGAAGTACTTAGCAAAACACAACGAGAGTATGTCAAAAGGACACCATAGCCACCTGAAAGAGCTCTCAATGGCCAAAGTAGGAACAATCTGAGAAACAAAATAAAGCAGTATGAGATTATAACCCAAAGTATAAAATAAATATCCATGGGTTCACACTGATATATTTTTCATTTTACTTATTTATTTTTCAGACAGGTCTCACTGTGTCACCCAGGCTAGGGTGCAGTGGCTCACTGCAGCCTTGGCCTCTTGGGCTCAAGCAATCCTCCTGCCTCAGCCTCCCAAGTATCTGGGACCACAGGTGCATGCCACCACACACAGCTAAATTTTTAATTTATTATTTGTAGAGCGGGGGGTCTTGCTATGTTGCCCAGGCCCATCTTGAACTCCTGGGCTCAAGTGATCCATCCATCTTGGCCTCCCAAAGTGCTGTTGATAAATCAACAGGGGAGGAGAGACAAACTCCTGTGCAGAATTCCATACAGTTTCTGTAGAGAACCTGCAGTTAAGGAAATGGAGCATAATTCCTCACTCCTTAAATTTGGCCCAGGAATAGTGACTTCATTCCAAAGAGTACAGTGTGGAAAACGAGAAAAAAAACGAGTAAGTTTAGGCTGGGCGTGGTGGCTTACGCCTGTAATCCCAGCACTTTGGGAGGCCAAGGTGGGCAGATCACCTGAGGTCAGGAGTTCGAGACCAGCCTGGCCAACATAGTGAAACCCTATCCCTACTAAAAATACAAAAATTAGCCAGGCATAATAGCATGCAGCTGTAGTCCCAGCTACTCAGGAGGCTGAGGCAGGGGAATTGCTTGAACCTGGGAGGTGGAGGTTGCAGTGAGCTGAGATTACACCATTACACTCCAGCCTGGGCCAATGAGTGAGACTCCATCTCAAAAAAAAAAAAAAAAAAAAAAAAGGCCTGGCACAGTGGTTCACGCCTGTAATCCCAGCACTTTGGGAGGCCAAGGTGGGCAGATCATCTGAGGTCAGGAGTTCAAGACCAGCCTGGCCAACATGGTGAAACCCCGTCTCTACTAAAAATACAAAATAAGCCGGGCGTGGTGGCTCATGCCTGTAATCCCAGCTACTCGGGAGGTTGAGGCAGGAGAATCGCTTGAACCCAGGAGGCGGAGGTTGCAGTGTGTCGAGATTGAGCCATTGCACTCCAGCCTGGGCAACAAGAGTGAAACTCTGTCTCAAAAAAAAAAGTAAGTTTACAGTGGAGAAACCTGACAAACACTACCTAGATTTCCAAAGCCTAATTTCCTAACCATGGTTGCAATCCCAACCTGGAACGTTTTATCTGTGTGGTACTGTCATATCAAGAAATAAGAAATGCCAGGTGATCGAGATGAACACCAACAATGATAGTTCATGTTGATAACACGTACCCTGGATATGATGCCATGAGAATGACACTTTACCTATGTGGTCTTCCATCCCCAAATCCATAACCCCAGTCTAATCATGAGAAAAACATCAGACAAATCCCAGTTGAGGGACATTCTACAAAATATCTGTCTGGTACTCCTCAAATTGTCGAGGTCATCAAAAACAAGGAAAGTCTGAGAATCTATCACAGCCAAGAGGAGCCTAAGGAGACACACAGACTAAATGTCAGGGTGGCTTCTAGGTGTGCTTGCTGTTCCTGGGGTAGAATGCTAAGGTGGGGTGGGGGCACCAACAGATACCTATGCACAGCTTAGGGAAGCATCTCCATGAGTGCAGCTATGACTTTCACCAAAGTTCCTGGCCCTCTGTGATGTCAGGGCCTGCATTTCTTGATCTGACTGCACAACACAGATAAAATGTTCCAGGTTGGGATTGCACCCATGGTTAGGAAACTAGGCTTTTGAAACAGACTTGAATTGACATCCTACTCTGCCATTTCATTTGTTACTTTGGGAAGATTACCAAAACCTCTCTGTGCCTCTTTTCTCATCATCTCTAACATAGGGATTATAATTGTAACCACTAATAACTGGCTAATTTTTCTTTTTTCTTTCTGTTTGCAAAGGACAAATAAAGTATGTAGGGTGCTTCGCCTAGTACCTGGCACTTAGCACTCAGTAAATGTTAGCTATTTACTATTGTACACTGTGTAATTCATTTAGTGTATGTATTTTCTTTTCTTGTTGTTTTGTTTGTGTATTTGTTTTTGAGACAGAGTGTTGCTCAGTCACCCAGGCTAGAGTACAGTGGTGTGATCTCAGCTCACTGCAACTTCTGCCTCCCAGGCTCAAGGGATCCTCCCACCTCAGCCTCCCTGGTAGCTGGGATTACAGGTGCTCACCACCATGCCCAGATCATTTTTGTATTTTTACTAGAGACAGGGTTTCACCATGTTGGCCAGGCTGGTCTGGAACCCCTGACCTCAGGTGATCCACCTGCCTCGGCCTCCCAAAGTGCTGGGATTACAGGCGTGAGCCGCCACACTTGGCTGTGTGTGTGTTTTTTGTTTTTGTTTTTGTTTTTTTTGTTGTTGTTGTTTTGATGGAGTTTCACTCTTGTTGTCCAGGCTGGAGTGCAATGGCGAGATCTCGGCTCACCGCCACCTCTGCCTCCTGGGTTCAAGCGAGTCTCCTGGCTCAGCCTCCTGAGTGGCTGGGATTACAGGCACACGCCACCACGCTGGGCTAACTTTGTATTTTTAGTAGAGACGGTGTTTCTCCATGTTGGTCAGGCTGGTCTTGAACTCCCAACCTTAGGTGATCCGCCTGCCTCGGCCTCTCAAAAGTGCTGAGATTACAGGCATGAGCCACCATGCCCAGCCCGGCTGGTTTTTTGACAGAATTTTATTTAGGAAAATTGTTTTCCTTCTTTCCCCTTGTGCAAAAAAAAAAAAAAAAGAGAGGAAGAAGGGAGGAAGGAAGGAAGGAAGGAGAGAAAGAAAGAGAGAGAAAGAAGAAAAGAGAAAGAAAAAAGAAAAGAAAGAAAGAGAAGGAAGGAAGGAAAGAAAGAAGAAAGAAATTGTTAACTGGGTGTTGGAAAACTGAAAAGACAAAAGGGGCTCAACCATTGGATGTACTCACTGCAGGCAGCAGCTATCACACTATATGGAAAATCCAAAGGAGAGGCTGAGTTTAAAAACAATTTTTTAATTGGCCGGGCTCGGGGGCTCATGCTTGTAATCTCAGCACTTTGGGAGGCTGAGGCGGTTGGATCACTTGAATCCAGGAGACACGGCGAAACCCGGTATCTACCAAAAAATATAAAAATTAGCCGGGCGTGGTGGCGCGTGCCTGTAATCCCAGCTACTCTGGAGGCTGAGGCAGGAGAATCTCTTGAACCCGGGAGGCGGAGGTTGCAGTGAGCTGAGATCGCACCACTCCAGGCTGCACTCCAGCCTGGGTGACAGGGCGAGACCCTGTCTGTAATCAGTAATAATAATAATAAAATTAACAGCTTTATTGAGTATAATTTACATGCCATAAAATTCACCCACTGGAAGTTTACACTTTCTTCACTTTACAGGGTCTCACTCTGTCGCCCAGGCTGGGATGCAGTGGCGCCATGTCGGCTCACTGCAACCTCTGCCTCCCGGGGTCAGGTGATCCTCCCACCTCAGCCTCCCAAGTAGCCGGACTACAGGTGTGCACCACCACACCTAGCTAATTTTTCTTTTTTTTCTTTTTTCCTTTCTCTCCCTCCCTTCCTCCTTTTTTTTTTTTTTTTTTTGTAGATACGGTGTCTCCCCATGTGGCCAGGTTGGTCACAACTCCTGAACTCAAGTGATCCGCGCGTCTCGACCTCCCAAAGTGCTGGGATTACAGGCGTGAGCCACTGCGTCCGGCCACACTTCCATGACTTTTTAATAAACTTATACAGTTGTACAATTGTCACCACAATCCACTTTTAGAACATTTCTATTACCGCTTTCCTCCAATTTTTTCAAGCCCATCTGCATTCAATACCCGCTCCCACACCTCGCCCCAGGTAACTGTGCTCTTTGTCTTTGTAGATTTGCCTAGTGTAATTTATTTTTTACTTCGGTAATATAAGTAGGTCGTGCAAAATAGAGACTATTTAGCAACAGACTAGGCAGACTTAAATCCGATGGAAAGTTTAAAGTTGTTTAAAAGTGGGCTATAGTTTCACATGACTTTTTTAAAAAGAGGAAAGGTGAGAAGAGGTTCCAGTCTGGGGCGGCTAGGACTGGGGTGATGGTTCTGGAGGCGGCGAGGGAAGGTGTGAGGCGAGGAGACCTCTCGAATCGCGCCCGCCCCGCCCAGGGCCGGATTGGCTCCCAACCCACCCTCTTTGCTCCAGGGCGGCCGCCGTCCTCTTGCGCAGGCGTAGTGCTCCTGCTTCCTGGCCGAGGGCGGGCGAGCGGAGCCTGCTTTCGCAGCGATCGCGAGCGTGTGGCGATTGCTTCTGTCTGTTATTTAGATATGGAAGCTGAGGGGATGCACAGAGGCAGCCAGAACCTAGGTCAGGGTCTCGCTCGGTGCTGACCGCCCCCGGGGTCGAGTAGGCGATGGGGGAGCCCGGCTTCTTCGTCACAGGAGACCGCGCCGGTGGCCGGAGCTGGTGCCTGCGGCGGGTGGGGATGAGCGCCGGGTGGCTGCTGCTGGAAGATGGGTGCGAGGTACGGGGGAAGGGGTCCTGTGGAGCGGAGGGCAGGGGCTGGAGGGAGCGGGGCTCCGGGGAGGGAGGAAGGTGTCTTGCTGGGCTGAATGAATGGCAGAGAGGAGGCGGGCATCAGGAAGAGGAGCGAAGTGTCTGTGGGGGGGGTGGATTCCTGGGGAGAGAAGGGAGAAAGCGGTTCTGGCGCGAGCGGCTGAAGGGTCTGCGGTGGGAGGTGTTTGGGGGAGAAATAGGGGCCGAGTGGGAGAAAGGAAGAAAAGAGAGTTCGGCTCTGGGGAGCCCGGGGGGGCCACAAGGGTTGGGGCGAGGACGGAGGCCCTGACCCGCGGCCTGTGGGGCGAGAAGCGGGCCCCGTCCAGAGAGGCCTGGGTCAGCGGGTAGCTGGGCCGGGGACTGGGAGGAGAGGGACGCGCAGGGAACGTGAGGAGATGCGGGGGTGTCGAGGAGGGGAGGGCGGGGGCTGGCCAGATCCCGTTTAGGGCGCACAGAGCCCCGCGGTGCCAGGTCGGGGAACGGTGGCGGGGGCCGCGAGCTGCCGGGAAGCCGAGGCAGGGCCCGGCGCCTGAACTTTCTCGAGTTTGTTTTGAAAACGATTGCAAATTTTGGGTTTTGTCCCTTAAAGCAATCAAACTTTCACGTAGAAATGTCTTCCTCCTTCCCAACTCTGAGGAACATGGGCGGCTTGGGCTGGGCCACATTTCTCCTGTGAGGCTCGGTACGGCCGAGTGGCACTCCCTGAGGTGGGTCGGGCAGGTATTCAGAGTTCTCTCCAGAGGCTGCCTGTCGTCTTTATTAATGCAGTTGCAAATGAAAAATATTTTAAGGGGAAAGATGAGGTACCGTTCCTGGCACGGTTCAAGATGCACCAGCGTGGTGCATCTTGAAAAGACGAGGGAAGGGAGGAGGGAGTTAGATTGCAATCAGGTTGAGAAGGAGAACTGGGTCAGGGACAAGCTTGTGATGACTGGGAACCATTTGGGTTTTGGAAATAATCTGTATGAAAAGTTCTCTTTGCAGTAAAAGTGGATGGTTGGTCATGATGTAAATTCAAGAAGTATTTTGAGTCTCATGTGTGTTCAGGTAGATTTTTCCTATAAGCCGTACTGCCTCAATTCAGTCTGCCAGGTATTTACTGAGTATTTAACATTGTTTGGTGTACAATGAGGACAAATAAAATTTCTGCGCTCGAAGAGTTTAAGGCTTGAGTGGGGAGAGAGGATTTATACAATGAAGCAGTCATCGTATAAAGAACATCCATATGGGCTGTATGATCAAGTGCTAAGATTTGGATTATTTAGTTCCTTCCCAGAGCAGTAGTTCTTCAAGTCAGAGGAGGAATTCATGTCTAGGCACAAATTTAATTGCTAGATTAGGGAGTGTTATAAAGGGTTACTTGTATGCTGTGGTTTGAGGAACACCAAGAAAACATCTCTGCCTCCAAATACCTCTTCTATCCAGGTATTAGTGCCTAAAAGTCCACATTAAGCATTCATTCTTTTAGCTTGAGCACTGATCTTTCCCTGCCTGGCCCTTTCCAACAGCATATGTTTGTGGGAAGTTTAACAAATTAAAACACGAACACCTGAATAATAACCTGAATAATACACACAAAAATAAATTATTTTTGTGCATAACTATTAGTTAATTTCACATACATTACTTAATCTGATCCCTGCATACACACAACCTCATAAGATAACTCAGTGGGCAAGTGTTATTCCTTTAGATTCAATTGTTGTGGATTAATTTATGACTTCTGAATAGCTTGTCAGTACTGCAGTCTTGGGCAGGTGGGATGGGGAGGACGAATTAAAGCACCTGAAGAAAGGGCAAGAAGACTATAAAGCAGTCTTAGACATATTCTAAACCATTTGATAGTTCTTTATGGGGCCAGTTGCATGGGGAGGGACCCATATAAACTCAGTGGTAAGACTGTGGCTGGCTTCAGGGACCTGTGTGTAGGAGAAGCCTGCCAGGCTTGGCTGCCTGCAAGGTCAGGTCGTAGCATAGCCTGAAAAGAAGTCTGAATCAAAGGCAAGAGAAGAAGTTGTACTTATTGTTATGGTCCCCAAATCATAGCACAAGCTGTTTTGCACAAGATTTTAAAAGATACGCTAATAACATAACAGCAAAGGTAGGTCAGTTCCCTGCCTTTCCAGTTCTTAGTCTCAGATGTTGTGGATAAAATAATAAAACAGGGTTCCTTTCATTTCATTGATGGGAACACTGTAGTAAATTGTCTAATTAAGTGGCTTTAAGCTTGTTAAAGCAATGCATAGAGTTTGGTGGAAAAACAAGTAGAGATTTATTGCAAATTAGCTAGTTCTCAGGTACTATAAAGTATCTAGGCCTTTGGGGAAAACAACAGAACCTTCTCTCCCCTTTTCTTCTCTTGTATTTAGTTTTCATTAAGTTTTCTGCCCCAAGGGAAAAAAGGGAAAGGATGGTTATATTTACTGGTTTGGGGGCTTTTTTGTGGGGTGTTTTGTTTTGAGACAGAGTACTCCTTCTGTCACCCAGGCTGGAGTGCAGTGGTGTGATCACACCTTCACCTCCCTGGTTCAAGTGGTTCTTCTGTCTCAGCCTCCGAAGTAGCTGGGATTACAGATATGCACCACTATGCCCAGTTACTTTTTGTGTTTTCAATAGAGGTGGGGTTTCGCCATGTTGGCCAGGCTGGTCTCGAACTCCTGGCCTCATGTGATCCGCCCGCCTGGGCTTCCCAAAGTGCTGGAATTACAGGTGTGAGCCACCACACCTGGCCAGATTTACTTGTTATTTGAGAAACAGTAGGAATTGTGCCCAGGAGGAAAGAGATAGTCTTAGTGAAGGTGGGCAAAGACAGGATGATCTTTTAGATCAATAATGTGTGTAAGCTCAAAGGCTTGCAAAACTATTGTAAATGAAAACAACCCCTCACATATGGGTCGTCAGTCAGTTCCCACGGGAAATTCAGTGTTATGTTGAGTGGTCCTGAGATTTCCAGGTAACCTCACTGCACTCTTTAACTACAGTATAGGTGAAATATCAGTAGTACCAAGGTAAATTCTAAGACCAGGCAGTGCAGGGAAGGATGTAAAAGAATGATTCCTTTTTCTGGGTTCAGAGTCTGTTGGAGGCAATGTCAGGAAAAGGCACTCTTCTACTGTTTTGGTACTGTTTTCCCCTGGCTACTCACAATGGCAGTCTGGCTGTCTCCCCTCAAGTATTAGCATGTAATATGAGATGCTTCCTCTCTTAGAGATAAAGCTACCTAAATAGAAATTTTACTGAATATGGACGACAGATAAATCCCTAGCCATTCCATTTTTAACAGATATGTGTATTCAGAGGAACTTCTATAATTAATATAATTCTGGCAGAGTGTGAAAGAACTGAAAAACTTTGTGCTCAGTGTTGGTGGAGTGATCACCACAACATTTTAAAGAGAAACAAGTGAGACTGTATGAGTTCCAACTGCTGCTCCATATTTTCCAATGGTAATACAGTCTCTAACTTCTGACCTAAAAACACCCACCCTAAAATCTTGAGGACTCATATGCAAGACCTCTTTATTCTTTCATTCATTCTCAAATACTTAACTGAACACTATGCCAGGTATAGAAACACAGTGGTAAACAAGACAGATAAAGTCCCTGCTTATCTAATTTATATTCTATTACGGGGACAGAGGGGAAAAGTAAAATAAACAAGATAATTTTGGTCTGTGATAAGTACTTCCTAATAACTGAAGAAATATGATGGGAAGCAGACAACCAACTTTAGACAGAGGTAATCAGAGTAGGCTTATGAGTAGCTGGAACATGAAAGATAAGGAGCCTGTGCAAGATCTGAGAGAAGAGTGTTCTTAGCAGAGGGGCTAAGTGAAAAGACCCTCAGGTAGGCTGGCACTTCGGGGAGATGGGCTTAAGGAACAACAACAACAAAAAAGTTTGAGGGGCTGGAGCAGCTAGTGTTGGCACTATGGTATGAGTTAAGACTAAAGAGTAGAAGGGCTCAGGACATTCAGGGTCTTATAGGCCATGGAAGGAAGTTTGAATGATTGGACAGTTTTAAGGAAAGAAGGAAAATGACCTGATTTAAAATTTTTACATTTCTATTCCAGTTACTATTATAAAGCTTATGGGGGCTAGAGTGAGAACAGAAACAGTAGGAGGCCAGGTGGTTTGGACTAAGGCTGTGGCTGCAGAGATAGGAATGAACAGACTTAGGACATATTTGAATTATAGCCCATATAATTTACCAGTGATTTCAATGTGGGGATGAGGGACAGAGATGAATCAAAGATGGCTTCTGGGTTATGGGTTGAGTAGTTGGTTGGATAGTATTGTGAATACTGAGATAAGAGTTTGTGGGGAGGAATAGATTAGGTCAGTGAGTCGTGGTGGTCTTTGAGGGACTGAGGAGGACAGGCATTCTGAAAGATTTTAAAGAGAAGAGAAGAGGGCAGTTTTAGCTAACTTTGGTTTAAAGTTCCCAGTTAAGGTTGTGATATGGGACATTAAAGAGGTCGTTTGTGCACTAAGAAGAATATGCAGGGAGCCGGGCGCGGTGGCTCACACCTGTAATCCCAGCACTGTGGGAGGCTGAGGCAGGCAGATCACTTGAGATCAGGAGTTCGAGACCAGCCTGACCAACATGGTGAAACCCCGTCTCTACTAAAAATACAAAAATTAGTTGGGTGTGGTGGTGCGTGCCTGTAATCCCAGCTACGTGGAAGCTGAGGCAGGAGAATTGCTTGAACCCGGGAGGCAGAGGTTGCAGTGAGCTAAGATCGTGCCACTGCACTCCAGCCTGGGTGATAAAGCAAGACTCTCTCAAAAAAACAAAAAAAAATTAACAAACAAAAAAGAATAAGGGAATTCTGTGATCTGGAACTCAGAAGAATTTCATTTCCTTCCTTCACAGGGTTGTTATGAACTAGACTGGTCCAACAGGAAAGTATGATAGATGTGAACTGGGGCTTCTTTTCAACCTTTTCCGGAAGCTCTCAAGCTGTTCTTGTGGATAAGACAGAGAATATGTACTCCAATGCAAAGACTTTTGGTTGAATTATAACTGGCTGAAGGTATATCCAGATGGTGTGGGTTAATGTTTACTAGGTTTTCCTGAAAACTTTGCCTTTGGCTGCATCCCATTCTGTGTCTTGAACGAAGGTATAGAAGGCATCATCTCATAAATTTGGTGGAAGAGATATTAAGTATGTCTGATCTGATGGCAGATTAAAAATTCAGAAAGGTCTTGACAAATTGGTTTGATAGGCTGAACTAGCAAGATGAAATTTAATAGGAATCAATCTAAGGTCCTGCGCTTGAATCCAAGGTTTTCCATCCAGTCAAGTATAGAGCAGAAGAGACAGGACTTAGGATAGCATTTCTTGGAGGAGGGGGAGACCAAGAAATTTAATCATTCCTAAGTTCGAGGATACACTGGCAGTGTACTAGATCTGCTATGAAAGCTAATGCAATTTATATGCTCCAGTGATAATATCTAGAACTGGGAAAGTAACACTTGCGTTTGACTGTGTAATAGAAATTAAGTTTATTTTTCTTAATATGCCATCCAGGAATAAAGATAAACCAGCAGTCCCTTCACAGACTCATTAGAATGGCAAAGGCTCAAGCCCATCCCCTGGGAGTTAAGTTGAAGTAACTGGGAATACAGAACCAGGAAAAGAGAAAACTCAGTGTTCACTTTATATCTGTGCCATTGAAAGGGGATTGGAGATTTCCCGATGGTGCCCAGGGCAAAGCCAGGGCCAATGGATGGAATTTACAAGGAGAAAAATGCCAAGTCAGAGACATTTTAAAAATTGGAGGGCCTGCCTTATGTAAAGTTACTGACAGTATTTATGCGTTGATGGGATGTGTAGAAAGAATTCCTCTATCTCATAGTCATTGAACCAGATGACCTTTCAAGATCTTGGCAACCCTGAGATACATGGATAACTCTTTTTCAGCTTTCTCTTGTTGTCACAACCGTTTGCCTTTTTCTACTTGGTGGTTCTCAAGACAGCTGAAGAGGAGATAGCTGATGCACTGTTTTGGTTCCACAGGTGTCTGGTTTCTTAAGTCAGGACCTGCATATGCTGCTGGTTGATGAGATTTGTAAAGGACCTCCCTTTTCAGCACAATGACTGATGGTATTTCTTGCATTGTTGTTGTCTCCCAGGTGACTGTAGGACGAGGATTTGGTGTCACATACCAACTGGTATCAAAAATCTGCCCCCTGATGATTTCTCGAAACCACTGTGTTTTGAAGCAGAATCCTGAGGGCCAATGGACAATTATGGACAACAAGGTACAGGAATTCACAGAAGCCTAATGACTTTTATTTGTTTTTAAATTACTTTTTTTTTTTTTTGCATAGGTAATTCATGGTATAAAATTCAAAAGTATAACTTCTTCTTTCCTAGCCATCCAGTTCCCTTTTCCAGAGGCAGCCACTTCCATATGCTGCCAGAGATTCGATTATGCTAAAATAATTTCTCTTGATTTGGGTTAAAGTTTGTTAACTTGAAGAGAATACCTGAATTGGGGTAGTAGGTCCTATTCCAGAAACTAGACTAAGTTACTGGGCAAATAAGCCTGTTTGAGGTGAAGCTCCCAGAGACCCTGGGAATCTGCAGAATCTGCTGACGCTTCTGGAGTACACTTATGGCTCAGTGGACAAGGGGAGGAGGGAGAAACTGATCTGATTGCGCTTAGCTCCTTTCCTTCCTCACTCCTTTCAATCTGAGCAACCTCCCCTGGCCTTTAAAACATGTTTTAAATATTGGTGTTCCGAAGATTTCCTTTGAATAATGGGTTTTTCTCCTTTAAACAAATTTGAAAACCACTAGTTTAGTGGTAAATATATTGAGGGAGGTGCAATAGTATATGAAGCCCAGCAATTAGAAAGTACCTAATGTGCTGGGTGTGGTGGCACATGCCTGTAGTCCCAACTACTGGAGAAGCTGAGGCCAGAGGATTGTTTGAGCCCATGAATTCTGGGTTATAGTGTGCTATGCCATTCTGGTGTCTGCCTTAAGTTCGGCATCAATATGGTGTCCTCCTGGGAGCAGGGGACCACCAGTTTGTCTAAGGAGAGGTGAACTGACCCAGGTTGGAAGGAGGGCAGGTCAAAACTGCTGTGCTCATCAACAAAGGGATTGCACCTGTGAATAGCCACTGCACTCCAGTGTGGCTGACATAGTGAAGCCCTGTCGCTATCAAAAAGAAAAGAAGATACCTAAAGTGCAGATATACAAGCACCGAGGAATGTGATGAAAATACAGACTATGAGGTGAGAGAAATTCTAACATAAACAGTTAATGTTTAGGAAGTATAACATGTCTTTAAGTGCCATTTCATATTGCTTCACTGCCCCAGTTAGGATTTTAAAGGTACCATTAGAAGGGAGGGTATCCCACAGGTCTGCCTGCCATCCTCATATTGCGTGCATAAAACTGCTAGATTTAAGCTGTTGGAAAGTATCTTCCTGCTCTAGAATTAAGTTGAGTTGGCACTGTATTGAAGGAGACAGTACATAAATGCTAAGTAAATCAGTTCAGCACTTTTAGCAAGGCACCATGAGCAGGATAAAAATTGGCACTGAGATTATCTACTTTAACCCCTTATGTAGACAGATGAATCTGAGGCCCAGAGAGATAAACTGTCTTGCCCAAAGCCTTCTCTATAATGAGCCAGGACTTAAGTTTCTCTGCTATGCCCTGTGTCAAGTATCAGTAAAGTATGTAAGCAATTTGCTATACTGGCTTTATGACGTCAAACAATTAATTATGCATATTTAAAATATAGCTGCAAGGTTTTAAAGCCTCTGTAATAGCGTATATCAAAACAGCTTAGGAAAAGATGTTTTCCTCATCAGAGTAGGCTGTATGAGAGTTAGGATTACAATATTATAGAGGTGAGTTCTCTGCTGCTGCTTTTCTTAATTATGTGCAGTGTAGATGTGATCCACTTATGGGATTAGCAGATTTTCATAGGTTGGGAAGCCAACAGCTGATCAACTTCAGTGTTATTTGAATTTCAACCACAGGGATACAGAGGCAGCCTGTGCAAGATCAGATCATGACTGTGCTCCGGGCTCACTCTCCAGTGTTTGCTTTGTACCCTTCCTTCTAGGGTTGCTGTTATCATATGATTCTTCTCAGGTCTCAGTCAGGCAATAGAGAGGAAAGATAGGTTTCTTAACAACCTGTTTAAACTTTTTAGCTGTGATTGTTTGTGAGATAACTGATTTAATTTTAAGAGAAGCTAGGACTGGGGTGTTTTGATGGAACAATTCTTACAAGTAAATCCCCCCTGCCCCCTGCACTTTTCTTTTGACTACAGATGCCCCCTTTCTGGCTTCCTCCTGGCATGATGCCATGGCAGCCCTCTTCTGCTGATAAGAGACCTGAATTTCAGCTGTAGGGTATTATTGCTGTGGTTGTGTTTGAAGTCATTTGCCAAATCTTTTTCAAGAGATAGGTGTTTCTAACAAGTTAAAAACTCAGAGCTGCATTCTCTTATCTGCTGGAATGGCCAGAAAGTGAGAGCTTAAGTATAGATACAAAAATTGCAAGAAATGTTATTTTGGTTTAAAATTGGCTTAAAATATAGAAAAAAACCTTGGAGGACAGCTAAGTCTGCACACAGTATGAGGATGGTTCTAGTTGTGTAGGTTTTGGTCAATTCATAAGCTTTTCAGATGGCCCGTCCTTTGTATTGGTATCCAGCTCTTTCAGAAAATTGGTTGTTTTAAAGTCACAGTATGAAATGCCTTAGAGGTTCAGTCACGTCTTACTTGAGCCTTTCCCATTCTTACCCTCCTCTCCTGTTGCTTTTCACCTGCTGCCTGGTGATTCCTACCTTTGTTCTTCTGCAGACTCTGGCATTTGAAGTCCCTGTTGAGTGTACTCTTACGTGAACAAAGTTTGCTGTTTGGGACAGTTCAGCTTCTGGTCCTCCAGCAACTAGAGCAGTGGTTATCAACCCTGTTTCCAGTTTTTACTCTCACCTGGGGCACTTTTTAAAAATACTGATGGTAGTACAATAAAAGCGTTCATTCGTCAAAAAACACCATTAAGAGAGTAAAAGGCAAACTCAGAGGAAGATGTTTGCTACACATTATAGTCAATGAAGGGTTTATACTGAGGTATCTGCAGAACTCCAATAAGAAAAAGACAGATATGCCCTATTTAAAAATGAGCAAGAGACAAGCACTTCACAAAAGGTTCTATCCAATGAAAAGTTGTTCAACCTCATTAATAATCTGGGGAATTTAAATTAAAACCATAATGGAATACCTCTACACATTCACCAGAGTGGCTAAAATTGAAGACTAGTGATGCCAGGTATTGGTAAGGATATGGAGTGATAGAATGTTCTTACCCTTCTGTTGGGAGTGTAAATTGGTACAATTTGGGAAATTATTTGGCATTATTCATTAAAGTTGAACATACATATAGCTCTTGACACAGTATTTTCACTCCCCGGGAAACAGCCCAAATGTCCATCAACAGTAGAATGGATAAATTGTGGAATAATCTTATATTGAAACACTATACTATAGTGAATATGAATGAACTACTATATCTAATAACATGGATAAACCTCACATAATATTGAGTGAAAGAAGGCTGGGCGCTGTGGCTCACGCCTGTAATCCCAGCACTTTGGGAGGCCGAGGCGGGCGGATCACGAGGTCAGGAGATCGAGACCATCCTGGCTAACATGGTGAAACCCCGTCTCTACTAAAAATATAAAAAATTAGCCAGGCGTGGTGGCGGGTGCCTGTGGTCCCAGCTGCTCTGGAAGCTGAGGCAGGAGAATGGCATGAACCTGGGAGGCGGAGCTTGCAGTGAGCCGAGATCAGGCCATTGCACTCCAGCCTGGGGGACAGAGCGAGACTCTGTCTCAAAAAAAAAAAAAAAAAAAAATTGAGTGAAAGAAGACAGACACAAAAGAATACATATTATATGATGCCATTTATACAATGTTTAAAACCAGGCAAAATTTACATGTGCTGTTAAATCTGGATAGTAGTCACTTTATTGCCAAGGTGGCTACTGACTAGAAGGAGACACACAGGGGTTTCTGGGATGCTGATAATGTGGGGTTTGTTTTGTTTTTGACCTTATGGTAGTTACACTAAGATGTTCATTTTGTGACTGTTCATCGAGTTGGTACATTTATGATTTGTGCACGTTTATGTTTGCATGTTCCGCTTTAGTAAAGACTTTAAAAAATATATTGACGGATACATACTTAATACAATTGCTGAAATAAGACTTGATGATACCAAGTGCTGGCAAGCATGCAGAATAACTGGAACTCCTCAACATTCAAGTGTGAATATAAAATGGTACCTCCACTTTGAAAAACTGGTGGTTTCTAAGAGTCAAATATATACTTGTCCAGTGATCCTATTTCTAGGTATTTACCCAAGATTAATGAAAGCTTATGTTCTCGCAGAAACTTGTATGTGAATGTTTCTAGTGGCTTTATTTTTTTTGTTTTTATATTTTGAGATGGAGTTTCGCTCTTTTTGCCCAGGCTGGAGTGCAATGGCGTGAACCCGGCTCCCCAAACCTCTGCCTCCCGGGTTCAAGTGATTTTCCTGCCTCAGCCTCCCGAGTAGCTGGGATTACAGGCATGCGGCACCACGCCTGGCTAATTTTTGTCTTTTTAGTAGAGGTGGGTTTCACCATGTTGGCCAGGCTGGTCTTGAACTCCTAACCTCAGCTGATCCACCTGCCTCGGCTTCCCAAAGTGTTAGGATTACAGGCGTGAGCCACCACACCTGGCCTGTAGTGGCTTTATTAATATTCACCAAAAACTGGGAAAAAAAACAACTAGGGAATGGATAAACTGTGCTCCACCCCTACTACCTTCAATATTACTCAGCAATAAAATATAACAAACTGCCGATAATGCAACAGTGTGGACGAATCTCAGAGGCGTTACACTAAGTGAAAGAAGCAAGACTCAAAAGTGTAGATAATAAGATTCCATTTGTATTACATTCTGGGAAAGAGAAGAGAACAGATAAGTAGTTGCCTGGGAATGCGGGAAAGGTTGACTACCAAGGGGCACTGTTTCTTGATATAGTTACACAACTATATGTGTTTATAGATAAATGTAACTTTTAAAATACTGATACTTAGTTCCTATCTCAGACCACTTAACTCACTCCGAGGGTGAAACCTAGGCACTGCTCTTTGTTTTAAACCTTCCCAGGTAGTTTTACTGTATAGCCAGGGTTGAGAACCACTGAGCTACGTAAATTATCTAAAGCACTCCAAGAAAACATTGTCTTTTGGTTTGAGTGTCCACTTTCCTCAATAACTGTTTAAAAGCAGCTGGACAGAGATTGAGCATCTAGTGAAGTAATTCCTGTCTAAGTGGATGTGAATTATCCCACTTTTTTCCCATTGGTGGCTAGGACACATCAGGCAGACTTTTCTGGGTATCATTTTCTGCTGCTAGCATTGTTCAAATGGGTAGTTATGAAAACCAACATTAAGAAAGCCTTGAACAGAGCATGATTATTTAAGCCATTGTATTTGAGATCATATCTGGCAGTACTTGATTGTTCTGTACCGCCATGGGATTTTTGTCCTTTTCTAGTCTCCTTATATGAACAGACCTGACTCAGGGCTTGGTTTAAATTATACCACTAGATGTCACCAAGAAGTAATGAATGGGTAAATGTACAAGGATCCAAGGACAAAATGTGATGGGAGAATTTTGAGTTTACCTTCCAGCTTCTAAAAGGGCTCTGAAGGCAATGGGTTAATGTAGAGGATCTAATGGAAGGCTGCAACATATCGTGAAAGTTTGCCCCAGCTTCTGAGGGCAAACTTACTCTCTTTAGCTGTGGACTGTCAGAACTCAGAAGTTCTGAGGGCAAACTTCCTACTCTCTTTAGCTGTGGGCTGTTTCTGTAATCTTATTTATTTATTTTACCTTATCTTAGCTTTGGAGACTTCCTTTAAATTTCTGTACCTTGGCATTAGGTGGCCTTCTGTGTCTTACTACTTTTTCTGAGACCTTTTTCCTGTGTATAATCTAAAATCGACTGTCCTGCTCTAAAATTGTTCTCAGATAGATTGTTCTAGCTCCATCCCTCTCTGTTGTTATTTCTCATATGTTGTTTCAAAATTCAGCAAACCTTATCACTCCCCATAGTTTCTCAGGCTGAATAGAAAGAGTGTGAGGAGGTTTCCTAGATGAACCAGGTTAGGCCCAATGCACAGTGGGTTAAGACTAATATTTCTGTATGTATCTATGCCAGTCTTTCTTTCCGTGTAAACCAAGTAATGGAAGATAAAACTGGAAACAAGGGCCTAATGCCAAACCAGAGCTAAGATCTGATCTCTACTTTCCCTTTACCCTCTGTGCCTTGTGGTCAAGCCCCCTGTCCCTCATATTTGGGTTGACTGGAGATTTTTTTCTAGCTGAAAGTAGGTAGCTGTAGTTGCCAGTGTAAACATAAATCTTGGTCCCAATTCAGAAGTGAGCTTCATCTCTGGCCTATCCCCTGAACTTAAGTCCTTGATACGGGTTAAAATGCTCACCAGTATATTTCAACTCTGAATCTTGCCTTTGTTTCAAGTCTATTTTAGGACCTATCATCTCCATTTAGCATCCCATAGCTATCCCAGCTGCACATGATATTCCTTTGCATTTACAGGCTATGCCATGTAATCCCACATTTGCTCATTTGTGCCCTTGTGTTGTCTTTTCCACCATCAGCTGCTGAAAGCTTTCATGTCCTTTTCACTCAATATATTTACCTTGCGTGACATTGAGCATAGAGTTGAAATGATTGTTGATGAATCAGTTGAACCAAGGCATAGTAATAGTAGTGAACACTTACGTAATACGATGCCCAGGCACTGTCTAAATACTTGCCATATGTTATCTCATTAAATCCACACAGACACCATGAGGGAGAGACTTATTTTCCTCCATTTTATCAGTGCAGTAACTGGGCCATAAAGAGGTCAAGAAACCTGGCCAACATCACCCAGCTGCTAAATGATAGAGCCACATTACAAACCCAGGCAGTCTGACTCCAGGATCTGTGCTCTTAACCTCAATACTATGACTTCATTAAAACCATAAAAGTAAATTTTTATTTTATTTTATTTATTTTGGAGACAGAGTCTCGCTCTGTCACCCAGGCTGGAGTGCAGTGATGCAATCTTGGCTCACGGCATCCTCTGCCGCCTGGGTTCTAGTAATTCTCATGCCTTGGCCTCCCAAGTAGCTGGGATTACAGGCACCCACCACCACACCTGGCTAATTTTTGTATTTTTAGTAGAGAGGTGGTCTCACTGTGTTGGCCAGGGTGGTCTTGAACTCCTGGCCTCAAGTGATCCGCACACCTCGGCCTCTCAAAGTGCTGAGATTACAGATGTAAGCTGCCACTCCCAGACAGTAAATATTTATTAAGCATTTATTCTATGTGAGTCATTGTGCTAAGTGATTTACATGCATTATCTTATTCATTCCTCACTGGAACAGTGTGAGGTAGGTACTGTACCATCCCTGTTCTGCAGACAAAACTGAGGCATGGAGAGGTTAAGTAAATTGCCAAATGCTATGCAGACTATGAACCCACATCTGAGTCCAGAGCTCCAGCTCTTAACCGCTATCCTGTATTGCCCATATACCCCTGTTGATATTAATTGGGTCAGATCCTACCTGCCATTTGACCCCAGTACCAGATATAGTACTCTCTTTTTTTTGGTTTATGTGTGCTTGCTTGCTTACCAGTGCGTTAAGGAACCACATCCAGAGATAGCATTTGAAACTACTTCATGGACCTCACCCTTAGCTACTGCTTTCTTCACTAATAGCATTTTTTCTAGTTTTGGGACATTGCTCCAGTTTAGGTTAATAGGAGCTATCCAATTTCAGTTTCCTTTAATGCTATTCCATGTGTTTGAGTAAATTATCCACCAATAATAAGGTGATTCCTGCCTGTTATATGGCAGTTCTCTGTGGAGGCATGAATGTGAAATATAGGTAAAAAGCCAAAGCACTGCTTGACGAATGCTGTTTCTAAGGATGGTCGTTTATGAATCTTTCTTTTCTATTTGTTATCAAGAGTTTTCCTTCTGAAAAGGCAGAAGATTTTACAGCAGCAGGAGAGAGATTCCTTTAAGAAGACGAAAATCATGAAGCTTATTTCTTCTTTCTTTCACTTTCCCCAGAGTCTAAATGGTGTTTGGCTGAACAGAGCGCGTCTGGAACCTTTAAGGGTCTATTCCATTCATCAGGGAGACTACATCCAACTTGGAGTGCCTCTGGAAAATAAGGAGAATGCGGAGTATGAATATGAAGTTACTGAAGAAGACTGGGAGACAATATATCCTTGTCTTTCCCCAAAGAATGACCAAATGATAGAAAAAAATAAGGAATTGAGAACTAAAAGGAAATTCAGTTTGGATGAATTAGCAGGTCCTGGAGCTGAAGGCCCCTCAAATTTGAAATCCAAAATAAATAAAGTGTCTTGTGAATCTGGTCAGCCAGTGAAATCACAGGGGAAAGGTGAAGTGGCCAGTACACCCTCTGACAATTTGGATCCTAAGTTGACTGCCCTTGAGCCAAGTAAGACCACAGGGGCTCCCATTTACCCTGGCTTCCCCAAAGTCACAGAGGTTCATCATGAGCAGAAAGCCTCAAACTCTTCAGCATCTCAGAGAAGCTTACAGATGTTTAAGGTGACCATGTCCAGGATTCTGAGGCTCAAAATACAGATGCAGGAAAAACATGAAGCCGTTATGAATGTGAAAAAGCAGACCCAAAAGGGGAACTCAAAGAAAGTTGTGCAAATGGAGCAGGAACTTCAGGACTTACAGTCCCAGCTGTGTGCAGAGCAGGCTCAGCAGCAGGCAAGAGTGGAGCAACTAGAGAAGACTTTCCAGGAAGAGGAACAGCATCTTCAGGTACCACACAGAAGGGAAGGGCAAGAGTGGTCTTCAGGGGTGGGGCAGGCACTTCATGAGTCTCTGGCCAGAGTTCTCAGTTTCTGGGCCAGGTACCAAATTCTGAGCACCAAAGACAGGAAATGGAATGGGAACAGTAAACTTTTGAGATAAGGGAAGGGGATTGAGTAGAGGGTTAAGGCTTCAGCATGCTGATGAGATCAGGAGCCAGAGTTAGAGTGCCAAGATAGGGTAAAGTGACCAGCAGAGCCAGCCAGGGCATAACTCATCCCAGGAGGCAAAGCTGAGGCAACTCAGAACCAACATGAATTCAGGGGGAAGTTAGGTGAAGGTCAACATGCCACAAAACCACAGTATAGTCCAATTGAATCAATAGTTGTCTTCAAGACTTGTGTATCTTTGCTCTGTGGCCAAGGCCAAATCACTTAGTCTCAGGGCAGGTACAGGTCAGCTGGTTCCTCTGCCCTGGTACCTGACAGTTTGTTAGCTATAAAGGTTAGTTAACTCTGTAGCTAAGCCAGGAGGTGAGGGGCTAAAAAGGCAGAAAATGTTTTTGTTTCTATTTTGAGCAGCCAGCATGTGATGGGACAGATGCACCATGACTGCATTGTTGGGTTGAATGATAAACCACCTTCCACAGTGCCTATAGTAGGAAGGTAAAATAATGACTGTCTTAGCTGTATAAAGGTAAGACCAAATGTATTTCCATCCCTCAGTCATTTGCTTAGATGACAAGCTCTTGCACAAAGCTTTAGGCTAGAGCAGATCCTGTCCCTGCTCAAAATGTCATTTCCTATCTGGCAGGAACCACATATTTTGCTCCCACCCAGTTGCTCAGATAATATTGAATGTCAAGAATTCCCCATTGTTGACTTAGAACTCAGACGGACCAGTCACAACTAAAGTGAATAAGCTTTTTGTTTGGGTTGCTCAGGGTAAGGAACAGCCAGGGGTAGTGTTGGCTTATTTCTGAGCAATTTATAAATTTCATTCTGATCTCTGCCATCCCCTTGAACTGACAGTATTAGCAAAGGCCATGGATTAAATAGGTCTTTTGAGAGTATACACTGCTTACTTATGTGTACCTTTTTGCTTCCCTTATCCAGCCTAGACTAGTTCTTGAAATTAATAGAGGGTGGTTTATGTCTACGTGTTTAGTATATCACACCTTCACCAGGACAGAACTCTCTGTAAAGGCTAATATGTTCAGGAACAAGTTACTGTTGCTTAATATTTGTGGCTGCTCTGGACATGCCTCAAGGTATAGCTGCAAAATCTTTTTCTGTACCAAAATGTTAAAGGCGAAAGGATTGGTTTAGAGAATTTCTCTGGGTATGAGTTGGTTGTGTATATGATGCTCATAGTGAAGTGTATCTAGTCCCTTGTTTATCAGCTGCATCTCCCTCTGCCCACCAAGCCCTGAGGATTTATCCTATCCCCTACTGCTGGTTTAGAAGCTCATTAAACCCTTGCTCCTTCACACTTTTTTTTTTTTTTTAAGTACTCAAATTGCCTGGTACTAGGGAATTCTAGTGGTTATAAAGATGCTTACCAAATGGTTTTTGCCATTAAGGAATTTATCTTGTTGAGGAGGCAAGATGTTTCCTGCACACGATATAATCAGAGAATAGTTTTCAGTCAATATAGTAAATTAGAGAACAATTTCAAGTTGGCATATTAAATGGGTAGGTAATTCTTAAGGACAGAAGGGCCCAGAAGTTCTTTTGGAAGGTGCTGGACATATAGGTTAATGATCACCTGGAAAGCTTCCACATTGGAGGGGGCTGATGAGGAAATACAGCATAAGCTCAGGCAAGGAGAGAGGAGGAGCAGAGGAGCAGTGTATAAACTGAAGTGGTAAAGACTCAGAATGAGAGACAAGATGGCCAGAGTAGAGGGAAAAGAAGCATGCTAGATGTTGTGAGTGCCAGCACTGGGAATTACATCTGAGTTTAGGTATTTGGGGGCTCAGAAGTTCTCAGTTTACATCCTTTTGGGAATCATGGCGTTAGTCCATGAAGGAGGCTTGGACTGTTAGGCCATAGTATTTCCAGAACAACCCAATTGGTGGCTTAAAGCCGACAGTCCTGAAGTGTGCAGTATTTGAGCAGATAACTGCTCAAATTCTTTACTGCCAACAGCTTGAAGTAAAACAGGAGATTTTCCACCTGCTCCCTCACCCCTGTTGTTTCCAGATGCTCATACTAGCTGGTCTGCTCTGCTTGTTGCTGGATTGTGTTCCTTTTTTTCTTTTCCCTGCAGAGAAACCTTCCATTTTGTTTTGGCTTTGCAGGGTTTGGAGATAGCCCAAGGAGAAAAGGACCTGAAGCAACAGCTGGCCCAGGCTCTGCAGGAGGTAACTTTGCCATAGTACTAAGATTATAGTGGGCTGTGGAGTGGGGAGCAAACAGGCATCACATGACCACTGGCTGCCTCTGCTGCTTAGCCCATACCTCTGTGGCATCCCCAGTCTGTAAACAGAGCAGGTGGCAGCTGCTCACACCATCAGATCAGAGATTTGGAGCCTTACAAACATGCCAGACCTCAGCATGAAAACTTACATCTTTGTCTGAGCAGAAGTTGCTCTGGTGAAGATGGAATGGAGCTTTAGCAGTTAAGAGGCTCTCTGGGGAAGTGGCTCCACTTCTAGAAAGGTGAGGGCAGCAGAGGGAAAATGTGAGGTATGACTTGGCCACCAGGGCCCGTGAAGGCCTCTGTTACCGCAATGTTCCTGAGCTGTAGCCAACCAGAAACAATTGGGGAATGTTCCAGTTAAGCATTTTAGGCCAGGTTGAGAATGTGCAGTTTAACAATCAACAACACATATCAATTTATTGAAAAGGTAAAGCTCAACAGGACTAAAATTCTCCTAAAAGATTGCCTGTAATTTATTTAATTTAACCTGACTACTCTCATTTGATTATTTTTTTGTGTGCTCTTTTGCATCTTTAAAACCTACTATGTCTTCTACCTTTTATGTATTATGATTAGTAGTTTAGTGCCATTTAGTCAGGATGGTTCAAATCTCATTGGAAAGAGTGAGCAAATCACATAGGAATTTGTTCAGGGGAATTTATCCTTTTATCGTAAACCTACTTCCCAACCTTAACAGTGCTAACAGTCATACAGTATTGTAAGCATGACAGGGTGCCTGCCTTGATCTCCTTGAGGGTTGCACAAACAGCTTTGGAAAGAATTAGATGAAAATTAATTCAATCTTTTTAGAATTTTATTTTTTGAGCTTGTTTATTTTCTAGGGTGGGAGAGTAGGCATGTTTCCCATTTGGAACATTATTAAGTTAATATTCAGACATTGTTTTGAAATTGAAAAAGAATGTGGTTCTGCTAGTTGGAAATCCCTGAGGGATCACTGAGTACCCTGCACCCTCTCCTGAGACAGGAAAACACTCTATCATTTTGCATGGGATACTTGGCCATGCATTTATTAGCTTAAAATGTGATACTTTTAGACCGGGCACGGTGGCTCACGCCTGTAATCCCGGCACTTTGGGAGGCCCAGGCAGGCGGATCACCAGAGGTAGGGAGTTCAAGACCAGCCTGACCAACATGGAGAAACCCTGTCTCTACTAAAAATACAAAATTAGCCGGGCGTGGTGGCGCATGCCTGTAATCCCAGCTATTCAGGAGGCTGAGGCAGGAGAATCGCTTGAACCCGGGATGTGGAGGTTGTAGTGAGCTGAGATCGTGCCATTGCTCTCCAGCCTGGGCAACAAGACTCCGTCTCAAAAAAAAGTGATACTTTTAGGTCATGGTTCTATACCATCATGCCTGGGGGACATGCCACTCTCATGCAGTGGTGGTTTTTTGTTCCACCATGCTGATACTTTTGAAAGCTGTTCTTTACCAGACCATTATAAAAACTGTTTTTATAATGGTCTTTTATAACTGATTTCCTGTTTAAATCACATAATACCTTCCTCTCCAATCTCCAAGAAACTACCACATCTTTTTAAACCGAGTGATTCATAAGTTCTCAGGGAATTTGACTATAGTTAGAAATGGGTCCAGACCTTCACTGCCCTAAGCAGTCTGCCAGTCTTTGCTTTGAGTGGAAAAGAAAATAAAAAGATGTGTTTATATACAGCTCAAAAAACTTCTCTGAATGCTTTTCATACCTGTTATTTTCTTATGAACACTGAGGGAGGAGGGGGCACCTATTTTCCCATTTCCTTTTATTTTTATTTTGAGACAGTGTCTCGTTCTGTCACCCAGGCTGGAGTGCAGTGGTGCAATCTCAGCTCACTGCAGCCTCCGCCTCCTGGGCTCAAGTGATCCTCCCACTTCAGCCTCCTGAGTAGCTGGAACCATAGGCGCGCGCCACAATGCCCGACAATTTTTTTGTATTTTTGGTAGAGATGAGGTTTCACCATGTTGCCGAGGCTGGTCTCAAACTCCTGAGCTCAAGCCATCCACCCGGCTCAGCCTCCCAAAGTGCTGGGATTACAGGTATTATGAGCTACCACGCCCGGCCATATTTTCCCATTTTATAGATGAGAAAGTTAAAATACACATATCTAATTAGTGTGTCAAGTTGAAGACCCAGGCCTTTTGACATAACTGCTTTTTTTTGTCAGGAGATCACACATTTTAAAATTTGGTTCTTGAATAATATCTTTTCAAAAATACTTACCTTTACTCCACCTTCTTTTAAAAAGAATTTGAGGTGAGATTCTAAAGTATAAGCTATACTTAAGCATGAGAGAACTCATAAATTATGTTTCATATATGTGGAACCTCTTGACATTCAGCATAGGCATTTAGTCACAATGAATGAGCTGTTAGCTCCTGGGTGTGCCTTCTTCCAGAAAACACTGGCAGGGTTCAGGCAGCATTGTCTGAGCATGTAATATGTGATTTGTAGAACAAATAGGTTAAAAATCTTTTTTATTTCAATAAAAATGACTATCTAATTCTGCTGATTCCCATTTCCTCCTGATTATTTCATAAAAGCTGCTTCCAGTTCTGAATAGCTTTTAATTACTTACTAGTTCTTAAATACTGTTCCCAGAATCACTTGGGTGGCTTTAAAAAAAAAGAAAAAAAGAAAAGCACATTTCTGGGCTCCAAGCCAAACCTATAGAAGCAGACTCTGGGACACAGTGAAAGTTCTTCAGTTGACTTGGATGGCCACCAATGTTGGGTTAGTTTTAGAGGCCCTAGTCCATTTGGTGGCCGCCTTCCCTAACTGCCCTCTCCCCTGAAAAAAGCAGCAGGTAGGTAAGATAGCCCAATGGAATAAAGGTATTATTTTGAAATTGCCAATTTATCGATCCCTGAACCACAAAGTCACTAACTAGAGGGAGAGAACAGGCATGTTTGTGGCTAAAAGGAAGGATGCATTGTAGTTCATCCTGAGTATGTATCTGCTATGTTTTTGCAGCATTGGGCTCTAATGGAAGAGCTAAATCGCAGCAAGAAGGACTTTGAAGCAATCATTCAAGCCAAGAACAAAGAATTAGAGCAGACCAAGGTACTGGAAAGAAGATGGAAGTTTAGAATTTGGTTAGTGCATGCAACTCAGCATTTTCAACAGTGCAAGGGTTGCTAGGGAAAATAAAGAGAGAAATTATGGCTGCTCCTTGCCTCTGGGGAGATAATCTATAAAATTATAGAGGCCTATAGCAGGTTCTGCCTGTCAGACAACATCTATTTCCTTCCCTTGTTCAGAAGCAAAATGCTGGGAATAAGGCACTTGCATCCTGTATTCTAGTCCTTTGTCTATGGTGGGTACTCCTTCAGAGTGTGTCACTGATACAGACTGAGGAATATTGTAGTCAAGAAATAGTTCCTCCTGAACTATGTAATTTGAATTACATAAAGTAAAGTGAATTACTTAATGCAGTTTCTTCCCATGTCAAATCAGGAGAACTCTTGAATTAGGGGTTATAAACTTAAATGCCCACCAGGGCCAGACTGGTAATCAAAGTGAGTGAAGTGGCCTGAATGTAAGAACACAGTAGGGAGCTGTGCGGGCTATGGCTTATTGGATGGGGTACTTGCCCACACCCCCATCCCAGGAGGCAACTCTTCTCTGCTCAGCCAATTGTTGCCATCCAGAAGTGCAGGCCCAGTGTTGTCAGATCTTCTGATTTTTCCACAGCAGATGAAAGTCCAAATGTTTAAGTGAAATATCCCAAATTTTAAATATTGGCAACAACTTCAGCTTTTTGTGTGTGTTTTAATATGAAGGCCAAACTAAACAAGTCTGCAGGGTGGATCCAGTCCACAGGCCACCAATTTGCAACCTCTGACTTGAAATTAATACCTGAGTCTGACTGCATCTGTCATCCCACCCCCTCCATGTACCAACCTAGAACTGAAGGAGGGACTTGTTTTAGCTGGTTTGATTTCCTGTTTAAATCACATAATACCTTCCTCTCCAACCTCCAAGAAACTGCCACATCTTTTTAAACCCAGTGATTCATAAGTTCTCAGGGAATTTGACTATGGTTAGAAATGGGTCCAGACCTTCTTCACTGCCCTAAGCAGTCTGCCAGTCTTTGCTTTGAGTGGAAAAGAAAATAAAACAATTAAAAATGAGCCAGCCACTCAAATATACCTCAAATGGCCTATCCTCTCCCCCTCAGGGGCTCTTAATGCTTTTTGTTTTGGGGGTGAAGTGCTAAAATAAATGTCTGCTTCAAGAGAGCATACGTAGGAGCCTCCTTAAAAAGTGTGTCCACACGCAGTCTGACCTCTTGGGGAAAGCCGGGGAGATGGTACTGCAGGCCTCTGCAGGAGTGGGAAGTGGCAGGTATCATAGAGCATGGAGCCTGAAGGTAATTCAAGAGGCCTGTCTCCAGCCTTCTGCCTCCAGAGGTGTACCTTACTTTACAGAAAAGGCAGCTGCAAAGAACACAGCAACTTTATAACTAATTCAAGTTTCCTGCCTCTGGACTATTCATGCCTCTTTTCTTGTCCAGTGAGTTTTTAATTGTTTGGGATAATCTTATGTAATGTCTGAACTACAGCTTGCTATAAACTACTTAATGTCCCATCTGGTCTTGGGTGGTTGGTGTGGTTAGTATGTCACCTGCATTTTTCTCATTTGATTAATTTTGGGGAAGGAGACAGAATTTGCAATGCAAATACTGAAAAAGTGGTGTTTTAGTCCATTCAGGCTACTACAAAAAAGACCCATAAACTGCGTAGCTTAAAAACAACAGAAATTTATTTCTCACAGTACTGGAGGTTGGGAAATCCAAGATCAAGATGCTGGCATGTTTGGTGTCTGGTGAGGGCTGTCTTCTGATTCGTAGATGGAGTCTTGCCATGTCTGTCCCTATATGGCGGAAGGGGCAAATGAGCTCTCCTTGGGCCCCTTTAAGGCCACTAACCCCATTTATGAGCATGGAGCCCTCATGACCTAGTCACCTCCCAAAGGCCCCACCTCTTAATACCATCACGTTTGAAAATAAGTTTCAACATGGGAATTTGGGAGGAAGCACAAACATTCAGACCATAGCAAGTAGGGAGAGGAAAGAAAGGAGGTTAGTGCTCTGTATTAGAAAACAATTATTGAAAAACAATAAGCCTTAGGGAAAGTGTTCTATTCTTAATGTTGCTGCACCAGAATGAATCACTCATTAAGACTGAATCCTCTTCTAAATAATTGACCCTGCTCCCTGTCCCATTTTGCATTTTTGTTGGTTCTCTGAATGACAGGTAGGATTGTGTGTCTTGCAGGAAGAGAAGGAGAAGATGCAAGCACAGAAGGAAGAAGTTCTTAGCCACATGAATGATGTGCTAGAGAATGAGCTCCAATGTATTATTTGTTCAGAATACTTCATTGAGGTAATTATGAACAGTTGCTCACCCCTTCTTTTTTTTTTTTTTTTTTTTTTTTTTTTGAGACAGAGTCTCACTCTGTCAACCCAGGCTAGAGTGCAGTGCCACAATCTCGGCTCACTGCAACCTCCACTTCCTGGGCTCAAGCAGTTCTTGTGCCTCAGCCTCCCAAGTAGCTGGGTCCCTTACAGGCACATGCCACCATGCCTGTCTAAGCTTTTGTATTTTTAGTAGACATGGGGTTTTGCCATGTTGGCTAGGCTAGTCTCGAACTCCTGACCTCAGGTGATCTGCCCACCTCAGCCTCCCAAAGTGCTGGGATTACAGGTGTGAGTCACCACACCCAGCCGACCCCTTCTTATTCTCCCAACCCTGAATGAAGCCTGGGCTACACAGGCTGCTTCTACTATAGGGGAACATTCTGAAGAGATTTTCTTCCAGGAACTTATAACTATTTGATTTCAAAGTCACCTCTAGAGATGACCACCTCTTATTTGTTTTTATAATCTTCTTTCCCTTCACTGTCCTTTTTTGGCATTTCATCTGTTCTTAAATGTTTATTTGGTATGATTAACATTTTGAGCTGCAATGAAGCCTTTATCTCTTTGTTGTTGAGGAGAAAACAGGGCCAAATTAGATTTTGGAAGTATCAGAATAAAGCTGCTCAATAAAAGCTATTCTTTCTTTACTCTGAATGGGCACTATGCCGAGAATATGCTTATAGTGCAACCTTTTAAACGAGGGGGTAAACGTCATTAAAATGTGGTCACTTTGGGAATTTACGGCCCAAGTTGAATATATTTCAGGGACTCTGAGGCTCCTTATGGAAATGAAACCTCTACCATTTGTTAGCCTATCATATTTTTGCACTGGCTTATTTATTTATTTGACAAATTCTGCTGTTTGTGACCAGTTCACCTTAGACCACAGATGTTAAATTCAAGTTGCTAAATGACAGTGCTATTCAGACTCCTTTAAAAAGAAGGCCAGGTGCAGTGGCTCACACCTGTAATCCCAGCACTTTGGAAGGCCAAGGCAAGAGGATCACCTGAGGTTAGGAGCTCGAGACCAGACTGGCCAACATGGTGAAACACCATCTCTACTAAAACTACAAAAATTAGCCAGACATGGTGGTGTGTGCATGTAGTCCCAGCTAGTCGGAAGGCTGAGGCAGGAGAATCACTTCAATTTGGGAGGCGGAGGCTACAGTGAGTCGAGATCACGCAACTGCACTTCAGCCTGGGTGACAGAGCAAGGCATGAAAAAAAAGAAAAAGAGAAAGAAAAATGTAGGCCGGGTGCAATGGCTCATGCCTATAATCCGAGCACTTTGGGAGGCCAAGGTGGGCGGATCACCTGAGGTCAAGAGTTCAAGATCAGCCTGGTCAACGTGGCAAAACCCCATCTTTACTAAAAATACAAAAATTAGCCAAGCATGGTGGCATGCACCTGTAATCCCAGCTACTCGGGAGGCTGAGGCAGGAGAATTGCTTGAACCCAGGAGGCAGAGCTTGCAGTGAGCTGATATCGCACCACTGCACTCCAGCATGGGTGACAGAGCGAGACTCCGTCTCAAAAAAAAAAAAAAAAAAAAAAAGAAAAACATATACACACAGCTTTCTTTTCTCAGGTGATCTTTAGGGAAGTTGGGTCTGTTAGCCTCTTGAAAAATCTCTCCTGGGCAGAACTGTTTCTTTTCCTCTGGGTCCGTTTGGACTTCAGATCGTAACTTCTCCCATAATTTCTAGTCATCTGATTCTCTACTTTGGAGAAGTTCTATGTTGTTTTGACAGGGCTTATGGACTCTATAAGAGGAAGACAAGGAACGGGGGTTGAAATAAATGATGAGTTAGCCAACCTGGAGCATCTGCAGAGACATATAAGACATAAACAACTTGACCCTGTGTTTTGTTTACAGAATACTGTCTTATCTACTCTACTGGTCACCTCTTAAAATTCGTCTCAGAAATATGTTTTATTTTATTTATTTATTTATTTGTTTATTTTTGAGACAGAGTCTCACTGTGTCACCCAGGCTGGAGTGCAGTGGCGCAATCTCGGCTCACTGCAGCCTCCTCCTCTTGGGTTCATGTGATCCTGCCTCAGCCTCCGGAGTAGCTGGGACTACAGGCACCCGCCACCACACCCAGCTAATTTTTTTGTATTTTTAGTAGAGATGGGATTTCATCATGTTGGCCAGGCTGGTCTCGAACTCCTGACCTCAGGTGATCTGCCTGCCTCGGCCTCCCAAAGTGCTGGGATTACAGTGAGCCTGGCCAGATGCTTCATTTTTATCAGATAGGTTTTCAGTACTGTTTATGAGAGCTTGTCTCATGTAATAAACACAATGTTTCCTAGCTTCTGTGCTCAACTTGGCATTTGAAAAATATGTAATATCTGTGTTATTTTGCACTGTTATCCTAAGAGCAGGAATGAGCATTTTTGAGCCTCAGAAAAAGTTGTATCTTAGGAGATGTACATAAACAAGAGTAACAAAGAAAAAGGTTTGTATTCTTCTGAGTGAAAAGGGCTCAGGCAGAAATTGACCAGAGGGATTACTCAGAGGAGCCCCACAAATACAGGCTTCCTTTTGCTTTCTCTCTTCATTGGCACATTACTTAGATATTCAGGCGTTGTCAACGAACCCACTACATTTTTACTTTTTTAGTTTCTTTTTTTGCCCAGCATTTTTAGTTGCCTTCTATATTATTTTACTTTTTTAGTTTTAGAGATGATGTCTTATATAATTCTGTATACTTAATATTTAGTATGTGTTCCCTTTCATATGTCAATTAGCAAGACATAAATTTGTTTTTCTTTTTAAAAAATTTGTTTTATAAAAGCATCAGATTGGTGGAAAATAATACTTTTTATTGTTTGTTTTTGTTTGTTTGTTTGTTTTTTCCAGACAGTGTCTCACTCTGTCGCCCAGGCTGGAGTGCAGTAACGCCATCATGGCTCACTGCAGCCTCTAGCTCCCAGGCTCTAGTGATCCTCCCACCCCAGCCTCCTGAGTAGCTGGGACCACAGACTGTGCCACCATGCCTGGCTATTTTTTTTTTCCTTTTTTTGTAGAGATAGGGTTTCATCATGTCTCTCAGACTGGTCTCAAATTCCTGGGCTCAAGCAGTCCACCTTCTTCAGCTCCCCAAGTGCTGGGATTACAGGTGTAAGCATTCACGCACTTAATAGTCCTACTCATATCCAATAACATTTTGTTTGCAAGGTGGCCAGCCCACATTGGGAGTGTGGTCTAAGTTGGTGGACTGAAAAAGACAAATCAGCCTGCCTGGAACCTGAGTCTGTGACCTTAACTTTAAGAAAAGAATTGTCTAACATAAAGCTTAAAATTTCCCAACCCAGGCCGGGCTTGGTGGCTCACACTTGTAATCCCAGCACTTTGGGAGGCCGAGGCGGGCAGATCACGAGGTCAGGAGATCGAGACCATCCTGGCTAACACGGTGAAACCCCGTCTCTACTAAAAATACAAAAAAATTAGCCGGGTGTAGTGGCAGGCGCCTGTAGTCCCAGCTACTCGGGAGGCTGAGGCAGGAGAATGGCGTGAACCCAGGAGGCGGAGTCTGCAGTGAGCCGAGATCGCGCCACTGCACTCCAGCCTGGGGGACAGAGTGAGACTCCGTCTCAAAAAAAAAAAAAAAAATTCCCCAACCCTAAAAACGATTTCTGCCTCTGTCACCCTGGCCGGAGTGCAGTGGTGTGATTTTGTCTCACTGCAACCTCCATCTCCTGGGTTCAAGCAATTCTCGTGCCTCAGCCACCCGAGTAGCTGGGATTACAGGTGTGCACCACTGTGACTGGCTAATATTCGTATTTTTAGTAGAGACGAGGTTTTACCATGTTGCCCAGGCTGGTCTCAAACTCCTGACCTCAGGTGACCCACCCACCTTGGCCTTCCGAAGTGCCAGGATTACAGGCATGAGCCATCATGCCCGGCCCAACCCCAAGAATGATTCTGATACTCTTTATAAGCCCTTAAGATGGGATTGTTGTTAATTTTCCATTTGGCCTTTGAAATTCACTCCTGTCCTAACTTTGAGATCACAAGCATCCTGAGAAAGTAAGCATGAAAGTTCTGATATGTGTGTCCACATTCCTACTGTAGGCTGTCACCTTGAACTGTGCCCACAGTTTCTGCTCCTACTGTATCAATGAATGGATGAAGCGGAAGATAGAATGCCCCATTTGTCGGAAGGACATTAAGTCCAAAACGTACTCTTTGGTTCTGGACAATTGCATTAATAAGATGGTAAATAATCTGAGCTCAGAAGTGAAAGAACGACGAATTGTTCTCATTAGGGAACGAAAAGGTGAGTGGGTGTGAGAATTCCTACCCCTCAAGAAAGGACTTATTTACTTCCAAACTTCAACAAATATTTTTGGAAAGAGAAAGAGTCAGATAAACAATTCTTGAACTAGGGAAGAGATGGAATAAATGGGGAGGAGTAAAGGGAGTTAAAGATAATGCAGGAGAGGAAGAGTTGAGATAGAATTAACCGCAACTGTTACTTGAGCAGCAGGGAAGTGGGAGGCTAAGTATGTGTGCCTTGGTTGTGGGGGGATAAAATGAAGATGTGATTTAAAAAAATACACACAGTCAGACGTTTTGCTGTACCAGTCACTAGATGGTGCTGTTGTCAAGACACTTCAGTTGCTGTCCAGGTGTTGAAAAAACCTTGAGTTAAGTATACAGTGAGTTATAAATAGGATAGTAGGGCCAGGAATCTGATGCTGACTTGCAAGCACCTGTGGTTTGAAACTGGCCCTCTGCTGGTCAGCCAGAATGGAGGCAGCAGGCTTGTCACAGAGGCTGAGCAGGACGTGTGTCTGAGCCTCTTATGCCCAAGGAAGACATTCTGACCTGTGGGAGGGCAGAGTAGACTTTGAAAGCTGGTTCTTTGGAACTGAAGTTTTACCACTTTACTAACAGCTGTATGCTACTGGGTTTTGTGCCTAAATTTAAGCCCCCACAGATTTTCACTTCCAAGAGCTACTTGATCTGACAGAATCCCATTGTTCTTCCTTTTCACCTCCCATCACTCCATAAGCATTTACAGGAATACTACACTAGGCATCAGGAGAAAAAGTTAAATAAGACATTATCTCAGCCCTTACGGCACAAACAGTCTGGCGGAGGAGATAGAAAGGCAAGTAGATAGTGTGATGAGTTCCTTATCAGGGTGCTATGAAACTTCAAAGGAAGGGACACACCTGATTTGGCCTGGGGAGGTGCAGGTATGGGAAAAAGCTTCATCAAGGAAATGACATTTGAATGAGCCTTAAAGGTTCCCTAGGAGGTTAGCTTTCTAAGGAGAGGCAGTAGCACAAGCAAAACACAGAGGCATGAGAAGCAGTGACCTGTCCTGCCCCAGTTCCCAGTGTGGCCCACACAAGACATAATATTCACATGATGTCAAGGCTTAGAAAGTATCTACGGAGGCTTTGTGAATTTTTTTTTCTTCCCTCTTTCCCTTTTTGAGAGGAGCAGTGATCTGGGAATCCAGATTTGGCCAAGATCAGCTGAGTCGGGGGACGGGGTTGGGGGGTGGACCTAGGGACACCCATGGGCTTTCTTCGCCCAGTCTACCACCTAAGTTCCTTCCCTGCAATCTAAGCATGGCAAATGGCTTCACAAAACATCAGGGAAAGAAAAGGCTGGGCACGGTGGCTCATGCCTGTAATCCCAGCACTTTGGGAGGCCAAGATGGGCAGATCACGAAGTCAGGAGTTCGAGACCAGCCTGGCCAACATGGTGAAAGCCCGTCTCTACTAAAAATACAAAAATTAGCCGGGCGTGGTGGCGCACACCAGTAGTCGCAGCTACTCAGGAGGCTGAGGCAAGAGAATCGTTTGAACCTGCAGAGGTTGCAGTGAGCCAAGATCGCACCACTGCACTCCAGCCTGGATGACAGAGCGGGACTCTGTCTCAAAAAAAAAAAAAAAAGGAAAGAAGGGCCCTGGGCCCTGTGTCCTAAGTTTACGTCTGACTCCTATTACACAGAGTTAATTCTGCAGAGTAATAACAGATCCCCCTTTTCTCTCCAAAGGCTAAAGAGGGTGTCTCTCACTTTTTTGGTAACACTAGGGGGCTACACAGTAAAATGAGTTAGCTTCCCTGTTACATGCATTGGCTGGGAGCACTTCTGGCACCCATCTTGGTTTCTGTAGTTATCACACTGAATGCAGCTTTGAAGTTTTCTCTAGAGACAGACAGGTTTTCTGAGACCTGATTTAGGGAAAGACATGCCAGAGCTATCAACAGCTTCACTGGGTTTAGAGAAAATTCTCAGTTTAAATACCAACCTTCCTTCCATATTCCAAGGCCAATTGAAAGCTGGTTTAATCCCTGTTGCATGGGAATTTTTAAAAAGGACCAAATTTAGGATCTGGAAACTAGGATTGGCAAGCCTGTAATTGTCAGAGTCCCATCACTGCAGGCCCTGGAGCAGGAATTGCTCTTATAAATTCAGAGGAGACCTGCCTGCCTGTGGCCACAGGGTGTTGCCCATGCAGACATGCCTGTATTCTGATTTCACCAAGAACAGCCTCACTTCTAGGCCTCCTGGGCTGGTTATTGAAGTTTCATATGTTAGTGGGAGGAGTAGAGTCTCATGACTGATTAGCCATTGATCTCTTGTGTGAGACCAGAGGAGAGGAAGAGGATGGGAGTGTTAGGATGCTGGGTCCTGAGTTGGAGATGGATGCTCTGGAGCTAGGACAGATAACAGACATTCAGTAAGTCTTGTATCATGAGTCACTGTGGCTCTCTGGGATATTGACATGAGATTTTTTCTGAATGGAAAAGTTTTTTTGAAATCCCCTATAGAGTATCTCCCTCTGGAGCTGGTGAGGTGAGAGAGCAGTCTTCTGTCAGCTCCTCCCCTCCCGTTTCTTCTGTTCTCATTCGATGTTAGTTGGTTGACAAGAGTGTTAAAACTCTTCTGTTTTGCTTTTCCTAGCGGTTTCTTTGGGTTGTACTCAGAAAAAAAACAAGCAATGTAGAAATAAAATCTCCTTGGTCCTTTAGAACAGTGATTTTCAACCAAGGGGCTTTTTCAAACTACATTCCTTAGCTCCCTTGCTACTATTTTTTTTTTTTTTTTTTTGAGATGGTGTCTTGCTTTGTTGCCCAGGCTGAAAGGCTGAAGTTTAATGGCGCAATTTTGGCTCACTGCAACCTCCCCCTCCCGGGTTTAAGTGATTCTCCTCCCTCAGCCTCCTGGGTAGCTAGGATTACAGGTGCATGCCACCACGCCCAGCTCATGTTTGCATTTTTAGTAGAGACGGGGTTTTACTGTGTTGGCCAGGCTGGTCTCCCAACTCCTGACCTCAGGTGATGTACCCCGCTCCGCCCCCCAAAGTGCTGGGATTACAGGCATGAGCCACTGCGCCTGGCCCCTTGCTGCTGTAATAGTGAATTGTGGCTACTAGTGAGAGTGTGCCATGGCCTTCACGTGTGCTGAGGTGGGGAGAGGCATTTGTGAACTATTGTGTGAATCTGTGACACAAAGACCCCTCCAGAGGTTGGGGGTGTCTGGGGAGATGGATCCAGGTCAGACCACATGGCCTGTATCTCTTGCCAGCTTCTTATAGGCTAAGTAGAGGGTGGACCTAACACAGGGCAGGAGAAACTGGCAAAGCCCAGGCTCTGAAGAGTATCCATCAGCCCACCTGTAAGGCTTTCCCTGATATTGCCCATCCTCCTTTGCTGAAAGACAGCCTTTTAAAGGGATGTTTGAAGGAGTGGCAGCAGTAATCCTCTCTCTTCCAGAGAGAATACTTATTAGCAGGTAGTTGTAACCTACTCAGTCCTGTCCCTGGAGAATCAGGGTCATTTGCAGGAAGTTAGCATTTCTGCCTGCCTTGTATAAGACAGTGTTTGTCTAAGGGAAAATGGATCTTGGCAAGGTCAGGATGAGGCGGGAGTGTCCACATGCTTGTACTCAGATAGTATATAACACTGTATTCTTAAGATTTTTTTTTTTTGAGATGGCGTTTCGCTCTTGTTGCCCAGGCTGGAGTGCAATGGCGCGATCTCGGCTTACCACAACCTCCGCCTCCCGGGTTCAAGCAATTCTTCTGCCTCACCCTCCCAAGTAGCTGGGATTACAAGCATGTGCCATCATGCCCGGCTAATTTTGTATTTTTAGTAGAGATGGGGTTTCTCCATGTTGGTCAGGCTGGTCTTGAACTCCCGACCTCAGGTGATCCGCCCACCTCTGCCTCCCAAAGTGCTGGGATTACAGGCGTGAGCCACCGCGCCTGGCTCTTAAGATTTTTTTACTTTAAACAATGTATGCAGGGCGGGTGCTGTGGCTCACGGCTGTAATCCCAGCACTTTGGGAGGCTGAGGGGGCGTGGATCATGAGGTCAGGAGTTTGAGACCAGCCTGACCAACATGGTGAAACCCCATCTCTACTAAAAATACAAAAATTAGCCGGGCGTGGTGGTGCACACCTGTAATCCCAGCTACTCAGGAGGCTGAGGCAGGAGTATTGCTTGAACCTGGGAGGCTGAGGTTGCAGTGAGCCGAGATCATGCCACTGCACTCCAGCCTGGGCAGAGTGAGACTTCGTCTCAAAAAAACGAAAAAGAAGAAGAAAAGAAAAAGTATGCTTTGCAAAATTGTAATGGGATAGAACAAAATTGTAGTGGGATAGTAACATTATTGTTACTAGAAGCTTTTTAATTTCTCTATCACCACTTCCCTATTCATCTCCCTTCTTTTTTCCTTCTCTTCTTTTGTGTCCTAGTATCCTTCCTTATCATCAAAATGTAGTTTTTCCTCTGTTTAATTTCTTTCCTTTGTCATTTTTTTTTTTTTTTTTGAAAAAGGCTGGTGTGCAGTGGCATGATCACGGCTCACTGTAGCCTTGGCCTTCTGGGCTCAGGTAATCCTCTTACCTCAGCCTCCCAAGTAGCTGGGACCACAGGCATGTGCCACCACACCCAGCTAATTTTTTGTATTTTTTGTAGAGATGGGATTTCACCATGTTGCCCAGGCTGATCTTGAACTCCTGAGCTCGAGCAATCCACCCGCCTCAGCCTCCCAAAGTGCCAGGATTACAGGTGTGAGCCACTGCACCTGGGCTAATTTTTTTCCCCTATCACTCTTATTGGCACCTCAGAATACACAGTTTGAAATGACAAGGGCATCATAGGAACTATTCACCTAGTGAAACTTAGTAAAAGTCTGCTGTGGGATTAATTGGACTGTATGGAGTAGCAACCCAGGAAGACCTAGAACCTTGAATTCTTTATTGTCTCTGTAATCCTTGTGATTTCCGAATGGTCCTTCCATCTGGAGGTCAAAAGGCTGTTCTGTGCATTTGTGCTCTGTGGTAGAGTGTCTTCTCCCTTTCACCAAAAGCTACTACCGCCCTGCAGGCACCCGGAAAAGTTTTCACAGCTTAGGAGAGTGGCCTTCCTAGATGCTATTAATCATCTTTCAGTACACCCTAAATGTATGGAAGATTGAGTTTGAGGGAACCATGCATGCCAGAGTTGAGAGATCCAGGGCTGACTTTGACTGCTGGGCTACAATAGCTTTAAATACACCCTGAGGAGTCCAATGCAGGAGAGTCAGTGACTCCAATGAGCCCTGCACCATGTTGCACTGAAAGTGAAAATCAGTGGTTGCTGGCCATGGTGGGATCCCATCGCTGCTGGAGGCTGCAGCCCAGCTATCAGCCCACCAGCCTAGCTTGTCCATCAGGCTGGGAAAAGGGCCTGGAGATGGAACATGAGCAGTTCTGGCCATCTCTGGTGTTTAGCAGGAGACACTTCAGATTGTTCATTGCTATTTCCCACAGTAAAATTTTCTCCTGCCCTTTTTTGATTTTTAGTGATAACACAGTTATTTTGGCCCTCTAAAAAATGGATCCTCTTTCCCTCCTAACGTGTAATTTTATCATTTTTCATACCTACTTCCAGGAATGTCTATTGTAGGAGACTACCTGTGCAAATATAGAGTAGCGTCATTAACCAAAGCAGCTTTTCTTTGAGTTTCTTGGTTAACCCTAGATGAACACTGAGTATTTTTAGAGCAAGCTCAAATAAGTTGATATTCTATGAACTAATCATAGAGAATGGCTGATTATACCTTATCAGCTGGATATATATTCTGTCCAACTGCCTACTGCTATGGTTCTTAAGAAATCTGATATAACTAGACATGCTCCTTTTCCTGGCTAGGGCTTCTACTTCAGTTACTTTCTGTATCCTGGAGAGTTTGGACTGCTTTTACACTTGTCTCATTAAACTTGAGCCAGAACCAACCCCAAAGAAATATCTCTTACTTGCTTCCTTTCTTCTGGGTCTTTCCTTTTTTTCTGTCACCCAGGCTGAGTGCAGTGGCATGATCTCAGCTCACTGCAAACCTCCGCCTCCTGGGCTCAAGCATCCTCCCATCTCAGCCTCCCTAGTAGCTGGGGCTACAGGCGTGCGCCACCATGCCTGGCTAATTTTTTGTATTTTCTGTAGAGATGGGGTTTCATTATGTTGCCTGGGCTGGTCTTGAACTCCTGGGCTCATAGGATCAGCCCACCTCAGCTTCCCACAGCGCTGGGGTTATAGGCATGCGCCACCACGCCCAGTCCTGGGTCTTTCCTTTTTCTTAGCACCTACTAAATGCTAAGTGCTTGGGGATAAAAGCAAAGAGGGCATGTGCAGTCTCTCCCCTCATGGAACTTTTGCTCTAAGTGCAGGCCCTAGGTTCCTTATAGTAAAGTCCTACAATATGAGAAATAAAGGGTGCTAAGTCAAGGAAAGGCTTCCCTGAGTCAGTGAAGGACATGGAGTGTATTTTAGGTGAAAGGACAAGAAGCAAAAGCAAGGGGTTTTTAGGGGCTGAGAGAAGTACAGAGTGCTAGAGAGAATATTGAGCATTCAGCCTGGAAAAGTTGGCAGGACTGGGTCATGCAGGGTGTTACAGACATGTTGCAGAGTTAGTCTAGGGGCAGGGGGAAACAGAAGATATGAAGTGGAGATCTGACTGTTGATGTTTGTGTTTTTCTGGATAGGTTAGTCTGGCTGTAGTGAAGAGACGACATGGTGCTGGGAACAAGAATAAAGGCAGTAATCATGGCCAGTGATGATGGTGGCTAGGTTAGAGAAGTAGCAGCAGGGATGGCCAGAGTGGATAGATTCAAGAGGTAGTTAAGGAGGTAGAATCCACAGGTCTGTGGGACTGATGTGCTGTGGGGACTGCAAGGGAGCTCAGATCATGTCTAGGTTTCTTTCTATTGGGGCACCTGAGTTGATGATGATGCATTTACTAAAATAGGAGTAGTTGGAGCAGACAAATTTAGTTTTCAACTGGAAAGTTTAAGGCACCTGAGGACATCAATGGAGCTGTTCAGTGGTTATTTGAATGTGTGGATCTGGAGCCTGAAGGACAGGCCAAGTTGAGATTCTAGGTTTGGGGATCATGAGCCATGGAAGTGGATGAACCACTGTTACCGTCTCTGTGGTATTAAGAGCCAAAGGGCAAGTTCTTAGCCATGAGAAACACCAACATTAGGGGATGAGTAGTAGAAGAGGGGCCTGCAGGGCAGACTGATGAATGGCCAAAGAGAGAGATGGAAAAAGAGGGATGTGGGGCAGGGATGTGGGGCAGGCAGAGCTGGCACATGCCTGTCCTCACAGCTACTTAGGAGGCTGAGGTGAGAGGATCACTTGAAGCCAGGAGTTCAAGACCAGCCTGGGCAACATAGTGAGACCCCCATCTCAAAAAAAAAAAAAATTAGGCATGATGGCATATGCCTGTGATCCCACCTACTCAGGAGGCTGAGGCTGGAGCATCCCTTGAACCCAGGAGTTTAAGTCTCCAGTAAGCTGTGACTGTGCCACTGTACTCCAGCCTGGGCAAAAGAGCCAGACCCTATCTCTTTAAAAAAAAAAAAAGACATTACATGGTGTCCTTTGAGCCTTCCTGGCCACACTCTTGTCTAGGGTAGATCCCCCTCATTACATTGCCCTATATTTCTTTGAAAGCATTTACCAGATTGAAATAATATTTGTTAGTGTACTCTTGCCTCTAGATTTCCGAACTCCTTGAGGGCAGGAATTTTATCTTTCTCCTTGTAGTATTTTCAGGGCATTGAAGAGTGTTTGGCACATGGTAGCTCTTCAGTAAATATGTGTTTATGAAGAGTTATAAAGTGAGAAGTCAGCGTTTGAAATGCTGCTGAGACATTAAACAAGATAAGGATGAAAAATTGCCCATTGAGTATGCAGGCATGTGGGATATCGGTGACTTTATCTAGTATAAGTTGTGGGGGATGGTGGAGTCAGAAGTCAGTTTACAGTGATTGGGGAGTGAGTATGAGGTGAGGAAGTACAGAAAGAATAGATAACTTCTTCACAAAATTTGGCTGTGACTAAGATGGGGAGGACCACCACCAAAAGAAGGCTGTATTTGGAGGAGGAAGTAGGGTGAAATGGGGTTTTTGTTGTTTTTTAAAGACGAGATTTGAGCATGTTCCATTGCAGATTGAAAGGAGCCTGTACAGAAGGGCATGCTGGAAAGCCAAGATAGCAGGTAGGGCATGACTCGTTGGAAAGCAGGGGAAGACAGGGAGTACAGAGCTCAGAAAGCAATTAGTCTTTAAGAGGAGAAGTGTGCATTCTTTGTTTTATAGAAAGAAGAGTATCGTGGGGGGGTGGGGCAAGGAAGTTTGCTTGAGGGGTGTCCAGAGAATTTCTTTCTTGTGGCTTCTGTATTCTTCTGTGAGCTAATAGTTGAGGCTGTTAGCTAAGAGGGAGGGAACCCTACTTGGTTCTCTCTCTCCAAGGCTGAGGGCATGCCCAGCCCCAAGGCCCACCACCTCAAAGGCTACCCAGAAGTGGGAGACGAATAACTTCTGTAGTCCTTTCAATCCCCCTAACAAAGCATTCCAGAATTCAGTCTCAGAGAAAGGGGACAATTTGGTTGGTGACTTTATTGTGCCTTTGGCATAGGCCAGGATTCCCACAAGGAAGCGGACTATTGGAAAAGCCTGGAGGCTAGTAAGTAAACAGCCTTTCTTGTCCCCTCCCTCTCTGAACACAGGAAGAATTCCCGCCTCTCCCTGCCTATTCCTGTATATAATTCATTCCTTTCTTTAACATCTTTAACAGATATATTGAGGGCCAGATTTGTGCTAGGCACTGTTCTAGATGCTGAGAATGTAAAAAGTGAAAATCTAAGTTAGATGTAATTAATGCTATGGAGAAAAATCAAGCAAGAAGGGGAGAAGGGGTGATGGTGAAAGCCTTGGCAATTCTTGATAGGGTAATCAAGGAAGGCACCTCTGAGCAGGAACTATTTGAGGGAAGCTCTGAAGGAGGTGGCCATGCTGCCATGTAGGGAAAGAGGGAATGGTAAGGGGGAGCATGCTGGTATGTGGGAGGGGCAGCAAGGAGGCTAGTGCTGGGGAGTGGAGTGAGCGCTGGGGAGTGGGTAGGAGAGGAAGCTTGAGCAAGACGCAGATTTTGTAGGGCCTTGTAGGCCTTTGAAAGGACTTTGACTTTAACTCACTGTGAGAGGAATGAGGAGTGGGCTTTGAGCAGAGAGTGACATGATCTGACTTCTGTTTTCTCAGTTCGCTATGGCTGCTGTGTGAGGAAGAGACAGGGTGGCGAGGCTGGAAGCAGGGAGTCCACGGAAGGGAAATACAGGCTCCTCATTTATTTATTTCTCTTCTTTTTCTCCAAAGCAAAGAGATTGTTCTGAAGACCGTGCTCTAAGGGCATTTGAAAGACTGCCAGGTAGTGCGAGCCTGAGATGGTCTGGAGGATTCTCTCTAGCCGTGACTCCGCTGCTCTGAAGGTCAACTGAGAAGTCTTGTGGGACAGAGACTTGAGTTAGGAAGCCCTCAGTCACTTGCCTTCCACGGTGGCCAGCCCTGCTGCCATCATTGGCTGAAGCACCACCAGGATTCACGGCACCCAACTGCTTCAGGGTACTTCGTAGACTCTGCCTCACTACATGTCGAAAGAGTTATTTGAGTTCTCTTCTGTTTTTTTTTAATTTGTTGTTGTTGTTACTGTTTTGATACCTCGGAAACACCTCCGTTGACAGTTGTTTTGGATAGGTTGGGTGTACCCCATGGCTGCCTCTGAAGGCAGTGTCTATTTTGAGAGGATGGCTTACCTCTTCTTTGTGAAAATACTATCTCATTTCCTGGAAATAAAATGTAAAACCTGTCAGTTGCTCAGCTGGGCTTTGGTGTATTTACCTTCCTTCCCTTCCTGCTCCCAGACAGTCTCACAAGTAAACACCAGCAGCTCATAGATTACAACCAAGAAAGTGACTGTATCAGATGATAGACTTCAAGTGAATGTCAGCCTAAGAGGCCAAGCTGCAGATCGTGGCAACAGATGAGCTCTGTTAACCTCCTGACTGTCGTGTTTCCTTTTTATTACAGAGGTGGGTCACTGTTTACCTTGTTTCAGGGGTGGGAGAAACTCCTTTCCTTCAGCTGGCATTTGAATGTTTCCAAATCTATTTTATCTGACGTCATGAACACACAGGCAATGATTTTATGACAACTTGATGTGCTTTTTTCTTTATTTTTCTTTTACATTAGAAGTTTTCTCTCTTTTCTCCACCTCTCCTTTATTTTTAATTTTAATTTTAATTTTTGAAACAAGATCTGACTCTGTTGCCCAAGCTGGAGTACAGTAGTGCAATCTCAGCTCACTGCAACCTCCACCTCCCAGACTCAAGCCATCCTCCCACCTCAACCTCCCAAGTAGCTGGGACTACAGGCATATGCCATCACACCCAGCTAATTTTTGTTTTTCTGTAGAGACAGGGTTTCACCATGTTGGCCAGGCTGGTCTCAAATTCCTGACCTTAAGTGATCCACCTGCCTAGGCCTCTAAAATGCTGGGATTACAGGCGTGAGCCACCACGCCCAGCCTATACCCCATGTATTTTCATAAAGGGTTGGAAACTATTGATTGCCAACTTTTTAAGGATGGTAGGGATTTTTTCTTTGTTGAATATACTGTGAATTTTGGGATTCTGGAGTCCTTAGTCTTCATTTCCATTCTTCTGCCCATGATTACTGATCAAAATACTGGTAGAGTCATGGAGGAAGTAAGTTAAATGTGGAAAAAATGCTTTAAAAGTACTTACTATAACCACATCATAAGAATTCTGGAAAAATAGAGAACAAAAGGAAAAGATTGTTACCACCTTGATTTAATAACTTCTTGTTTCCCCATACATGTGTTTTGTTTATAGATTGCATGGGTATATGTCAATTTTTATATGTTCTGTGTTTAGTTTACATATTGTAATTCATTTTTAAGAGAGTACAGACATACACTTTTTGAGTAGGCAATATGTTCACATAGTTTGAAATTAAAGGTACAAAATGGCGTAGAATGAAATGCCTCTCACCCTTTCCCCACAGCGACTACTTCCCACTCAGAGGCAACAAGTATTACAGTTGCTTGTATATTCTTCCAGAGATCTCTGTCTATACAAGCAAAAACACATGTGGTCTTTTTCCTTGCTTTGCACAAATGGTAAACTGTACGCTATTCTGAACCTTGCTTTTTTCAGATATATGTTGGCAACAGTTCCATGTCAGTACATAGTTTCCTTTCTTTATTACAGCTGCCTGTTTTTTCATTGTGTATTTGCACCATCATTTACTTTTCTGGCTTACTTTTGATAGAAATCTAGGTTGGTTCAAACCTTTTTACTCTTAAAACAATGCTGCAGTTAACACCCTTGTACATATATCTTTAGAGAGAAGATATTTTAAAAAGAAATACCTTTTTAAAAATTATTTTATTATTTTTTAATAGAGACTATGTTGCCTAGGCTGGTCTTGAAATTCTGGGCTAAAGCAATCCTACCACCTTGGCCTCCCAAAGTGCTGAGATTACAGGCATGAGCCATTGCACCTGGCCAAGAAGAGACATCTTGACTTGAGCCTGAAGACTATGTACAGAGACTGACCTCACAGACTGACCATTCCATCCCACAGCTGCTGGACATAGAGTGATTTGCAGCCCCTCCTTTCAGAGTACCACATCCCTCTCAAGTGTTCCACAACATCTAGGAAAGTGAGCTCTTAAAGACAGACTAAAAAGAGTAATAAATCAATACAACAACATTAAAAGCCAGACTAGCGGAGTTTGAATCTTGGCCCTGCTGTTAGTAACTGTGTGAGCCTTGGGCAAGTTACTCAGCCTCCTTGTGTCTTGGTTTTGGTTTCTTCATCTCTAAGTAATTATATCTGTCATTATTGCCCTGATCACAAACAAAAGCCTGAATGTACTATGTTTAAAAGACAAACCAAAAATTAACCCAAACTTGCATTATTTGTCTGAGCTACAGAATGTTCTTTCCTTGGAGAGATATCTGATATTAAACATCATCTGCATTTTACTTGCCTAGAAAATACACGGTAACTTTTCTGCCTTGCAGCATCAAACTATAGTACAGCTGAGCCCCAGTGCTGTGCAGTCTGACTCTAATTAAAGGCACCTTCTTTACAGCAGGGCTCTGGGGAACTGGAAAAGGGGGTTTGTTTCATTATCTGGTTTTATTAAGCAGATGAATGCAGCCAGCTATATGAAGCACTTTGCAGTGAATGGCAGGTGTCCCATATCTGGTTATGTTAACCTAGAAAGGGCTCACTCTACCTCTAGGCATGTTTCATCCCAACAATCAGACTGTGCCAAAGCAGGGGACTTTGTCCTTTGTGGATTGCATAGCTGGATACCCATCATCTGTTTCTCTGATTGGAAGCTGCTGTTGTACAGAAAGACCTGCATTTCCCCCTTGTCTCCAGTTCTCTCACTACTTTTTCCTCCTCTGTGAGTGACCATCCAGGCAGTCACCATAACTGCTGGAGTGTCTGGGATTGGTAGCTCTCTCCAACTGCCTGCTTGCTCTTTACAGCCTCTCTCTGTGACTGGAATCTCTCCACCTCATCGTATCTAAGGATAACCCAGAAACATGGGGTGTCCTAGGTATGTTTATCTCGACACTGAACCCCCTAGGCTTCTGATGAATCCAGTGATTAGCTAAATTTGACATAGAAAGTAAGAAGGAATGTCTACTTTGTATTGTGGTCCTAATCTAAGATCAGGAGAATCCTGGAATTGTTATCTGTCTCTTGCTCTGAGATACAGACTTGTTCATAGGTGTGGGGCCTGATTGGAACAGGATCTGCCATTGGTCACAATAGGTCAAGGGCTTGTTCTGAACCCTAGTTAGCTTCATTCAGAGAAAGAAACTTCCTACCTGGTCAGCTTTTTCAGCTTCTCCAACAAATGGGAGTTGAGGCAGTAGGAGTGTGGGGTTCTTGGGAAGACGATGGGGCCTTGTATTAAGGAGAAATAATGAACTATCTTCTTGATTCTTCCATTGAGAAAAGCATATGAATCCTAGGAAAGGGCTCAGCCTGTGATAGGCATTCAATAAATACTCCAATGCTGTCATTCCTTTGTCTACAGCATCCCCAAACAATGTACCAGTGATGGGCTACCTGAGCTCATCTAGTCGCCAAGCAGTATCTCCTGCTTGCTGCTGCTTTACTACATTCCAGATGCCCACCTCATCCAATTTCCAGAGCCACTATCTCTGCTGTCCACTTTCCTTCAGGCTCTGTGAATACTTCAACCTGCTGTGATTTGGGGCCGTTTGTACTCTGCATGTATTCAATAAATTCAATTCAGCAATAGTTATCAAATGCCCATTTTCTTACTAGGCACTGCTCTAGGTGTTTGGTATGGCAATGAGCAAAACACAACCATTGTGAGCTGATGTTCTAGAAAGGTGTCAAAAGCGTTTCAAAGGTTTTATGAGATGCTGTGGGAGGGGGTTACGCACTGCTACCTACTGAGGTAGCAATGTTGGGTGTTTCCTCACATTCCTCAACCTCCACGCAGGAGATCCAGCAGGCTACGCTGGCCCATCCCAAGATCCAGAACTGGCGTTTCACATCTCTAGGACCTGGGTAGCCCAAGCCTTTGCAGCCTGCTGCTTTTACCACCACCCACCGGCCCTCAGGATGTAGGGACCAGTTCCTTAGAGATCAAGCTGTCCTGGGCCTCTACCCAGCTCTACCCAGGGGCCTTCAAGGGCATCTCTGTGGCAGGTTTCAGGGCAAGTTTGGCCTTTTAGCATGGAGAATAGGCCCTGAAGCACCACATACCACTGTCCTGTGTAGGCAGGCACCCAGGAGACCTCTGTGGAAGCCTCAGGTACTTCAGCCAAGGTAAGCACAGATGAATGTTTCTGATGCAAATATTGGCACCAAACTTAACCTAGTGGTGGATGGGGCTGGACAAGTTTTCAGGACCATGAGCCTTTGTGAGTTTCAGCCTGGCTATGAGGGTGCTCTCCTGATCTCAATTCCTGCCCGTCTTCCCTGGGCCTCTCCCAGTGCCGCCCTGGCTCTGCAGCTGATGGTGTGCGTCTCTTCCCAACTCTACATTCAGTGAGGTCATGTTGGTAGTTTGAAATCAGCCATGGTGGTAGTATTCACACCATGGAAATTGGCAAACGCTGTAAGTTGGAGCTTTCCCCACCCCTGGATAGGCGGTTAAACACTCACCAGAGCATCACTGGCATCTCCCCACATGGTTGACTCCTGAAGCCTGCTCACCCCAGGTCTTCCCTGTTCTTGTGAGAAAGCCACCATTCAGTCTAAGAATGCTTCTCCTTCCTGGTGCTCTGGAATTGCCCAGCATGGTAGCAGCGTCACTACAGAGGCAGGAGAACGGCTCTTCCAAAAACTTGAGGCCACATTTTGGCACCTTGGGTATCACCAACACCTTTAGAATTCTCAGTTTCTCAACCAAGTTGCTGCTGACCATCAGTACCATAACCACTGGAACCCAGAACTTATCCCAGAGGCCAGGGAGAAGGTAGATGTCATGGCGCCCCCTGTAAATAGCCCCCATTTCCTTCCTCATAGCTGTCAATGTAGATAAGATACACACTTGGTGGAAGGGGTGGAGGCAAGGGATGTCATTGCAACCAGCATAGCCAAAGTCCTCAGCACAGCCAGTCAGTCAGTGTGCTCCATTGTACTTCCTCAAGCCTGCCTTCTACAAGCTTTTTAATTCAATTTTTTTTTAATTTTTTTTTTTTACTTTTTTTGAGACGGAGTCTCGCTCTATCGCCCAGGCTGGAGTGCAGTGACGCGATCTTGGCTCACTGCAACCTCCGCCTCCTGGGTTCAAGCAATTCTTCTGCCTCAGCCTCCTGAGTAGCTGGGACTACAGGCACGTGCCACCACACCTGGCTAATTTTTATATTTTTAGTAGAGACGGGGTTTCACCATATTGGCCAGGCTGGTCTTGAACTCCTGACCTCGTGATCTGCCTGCCTCAGCCTCCCAAAGTGCTGGGATTACAGGCGTGAGCCACCGTGCCCAGCCTCAAGCTTTTTTACTTTAAGAGACAGAGTCTCACTCTGTCACCCAGGCTGGAGTATAGTGGCACCATCATAGCTCACTGCAGCCTCGAACTCCTGAGCTCACGCAATCCTCCCGCCGCAGCTTCCTGAACAGCTAGGACTAAAGACATGTGCCACCACGCCCAGCTAATTTTTAAAATTTTTTGTAGAGACAAGATCTCACTATGTTGCCCAAGCTGGTCTTGAACTCCGGGCCTCAAGTGATCCTCCCACCTCAGTGTCCCAAGTAGCTAGGACTACATGCACATGCCAATACATTCAGCTAATTTTTTAAATATTTTTGTGGAGACAGAATCTTGCTATGCTGCCCAGGCTGGTCTTGAACTCCTGACCTTAAGCAGTCCTCCCGCTTTGACCTCCCATAGTGCTGGGATTAAAGGCATGAACCACCACCTCCAGCCTCCTACAAAAATTCTTTTAACAGAGAAAAAAGGCATTGTGGTTGGGGCACCAGGCATTTCTCCAGGGCTGGAGACAGTGCTGAATGATGTGAACTACATTTCACCCTGAGCCATGTGAGTCTGGATATTAGCCCTTCCTCCCCTGGGACACATGGTTTCTACCCAGGAGGTTCCCACCATGCAAGGCAGCTCTGGCTTCTTCCAGCAAAGGCACAGATTGTCATGGGTAGCGTCTTTCCTGATTTTTGGGAAAATCCCTCCCAAGCATGCTATGACCTGGAAGCTGGCAGCTGCCCTTGACTCAAAGATCATAGCGTGTGGCTTGAGGGTTAACCTGGAGAGCAGGCCGGTTTCCCAGTGAATGGCTCTAGTCATGTAATTTGTTTCTAAGTGTGCAGTCCTCACAAAGCAGCTGTGGCTATCCTCTTCCCATTTGGAAAATCTCCTTACCCTTCTGCCACAGGTCAGGTCCTGAAATTCAAGGGACAGAAAGAGTCTCCCCTACCTCCTCTTCCCATGCCTGAATGTGAAGGGTAGGACTACTCATTTTCTTTCTTTCTATTTTTTTTGAGACGGAGTCTTGCTCTGTTGCCCAGGCTGGAGTGCAGTGGCACGATCTCAGCTCACTGCAAGCTCCGCCTCCTGGGTTCACGCCATTCTCCTGCCTCAGCCTCCCGAGTAGCTGGGACTACAGGCACCCGCCACCACACCCAGCTAATTTTTTGTATTTTTAGTAGAGACAGGGTTTCACGGTGTTAGCCAGGATGGTCTCGATTTCCTGACCTCGTGATCTGCCCGCCTCGGCCTCCCAAAGTGCTGGGATCACAGGCGTGAGCCACCGCGCCCGGCTGGACTACTCACTTTCCCCCGCTCTTCTGGAGTTGCCCAATCCCTTCTAAGGGGAACTTAGCTTCTGAACCCCTGGGGAAGAAGTGCTCACATTCATTCGTTGCACAAATAGTTACCAAATACCTAGCGTGCCAGACACTGTGTTAGCTACTAGGGTTACAACCCTGAAGAAGACAGGCACAATACGTGACCTTCTGGAGCTTGTCCTGTGGAGAACTCACAGAGTAACAAGTGTTTGTAGGCATAGTACTGGGAGCCAAGAAAGCACGGAGAGGGGACAACTAGCCCAGACTGAGGAGCATGGAAGGCTTCCAGGAGCATGTGGCATCTTAGCTAAGATTTGAAGGATGACTAGGGGTCAGCAGAGTAAGAGTGGGGAGAGGATAGGGCTGGGGAGCAGACAAGGAAGTGGGAGGGTGTGGAGGTGAGAGACAGCATGGCCTCTTGAAGTGAAAGGCATTCTGTGTGACTAGATTGTAGAGTTTGGGGAGATAAATAATCATGTTAGCTAGCAGCAGCACAATAACTTTGGTTGAGCAGTTACCAGTACTGTAGATGAGGAACTCTTTTTTTTTTTTTTTTAGTAGAGACAGGGTCTCGCATTTTATAGATGAGAAATGAAGGCAATGAGAGATCAAGATTTATGATTGATTGAATGTGGGGGTGAGGGAGAGCCTGGAGGGAAAGATGACCATGGGTTTCTGCCTTGGACAACAATCTCAGTGATAGTGTTCACTGAAATAACTCAGGGAGAGGAACATGTCTGGGGAAGACACTAGAGATGTTGAGCAAGCATGAGTTCTGTTTTGGGATGTCAAAAAGAAAATTTCGCCCAGTGCGGTGGCTCATGCCTGTAATCCCAGCACTTTGGGAGGCTGAGGTGGGCAGATCACTTAAAGTCAGGAGTTCGAGACCAGCCTGGCCAACATGATGAAGCCCCATCTGTACTAAAAGTACAAAAATTAGCCAGGTGTGGTGGCACATGCCTGTAGTGCCAGCTACTAGGGAGGCTGAGGCAGGATAATCGATTGAACCCGGGAGGTGGAGGTTGCAGTGAGCCGAGGTTGCGCTACTGCACTCCAGCCTGGGTGACAGAATGAGACTCCATCTCAAAAAAAGAGAAAATTTCGTGGAATGTCTACAGACTCCCTATGTATGCTGACTTGTATGCTCCCCTCTGCTATTCACACAAATTTAGATTTTTCCTCATAGTCTTCTGGACATCAACTTTCATAGCCATGGCTGGAAATTATTAAAATTGTCCTAGATTGTGTAGATTTGAGAATTTACTCTTTCACAACGCCCGAAAGCAAATCGTCACATGTTGTTAAGTGTGCCATATGCTATTACACCCACACCCGTTCCAGCATCCACTGAATTGGTTGTCAAGATAAGTATCCACTAACTGGGAGAGCATAAGTGCTGGGGCAGGAGAGCTGTTGCTTCAAGACCTTCCTCTCACAGTTGTAGGAAAATTCACATGTGAAATGTACTGAAGTAACCCTTGTGGTTGACACTGACAGAAAGAAATGCCCCAATAAGTGAATTTATGAAATCACTGCCCATATGAGGACATGAAGGAGCTGCTGCCCTTGGGTGGAGGAGAAGGTGTCAATCATAAGGATTTTGTGGCTTCTCAGCAGAGTTGAGAGTGCAGAGGTGAGAGCTGGCTTGGTGATACAAATGTGAGACTCATGGATGTATAGATGGTCACTGGGGTCCTGAGAGAGGGTGAAATTCCTAAGGAGAGTGGGTGAGGGAAAAATTACCCAAGACAGAACATTGAGGATAACAGACATTCAAGGGAGCAGCTTGCAGAAACTGAAAAAGGGTAGGAGGCAAGAGGTAGGAGATAGAAATGGTGATGTAGCTGAGAGGGCAAATGTGATAAATAACTTTCTGTGTAGACGTGATTGGGCCATGGGGTGTCCAGGCATTTGGTCAAACATCATTCTAGGTACATGAGGGTATTTCTGGATAGGACTAACATTTGAAGCTATACCAAATAAAGCAGATTGCCCTCCCTAATGTGGGTCGGCCCCATCCAATCAGTTGAAGGCCTGAGCAGAATCAAATGGCTGACTCTCTGGCAAGTAAGACAGAATTGCTTCCTGCCGGACTGCCTTGAGCTGGGACATCAGTTTTCTTCCTGCCTTTTGACTTGAACTGAAACATCAGTTCTGTCTGGGTCTCAAGCCTCAGGTCTTTGGACTAGATCTACATACACCGTCAGCTCTCCTGGGTCTCCAGTTTGCTGACTGAAGATCTTCAGATTTGTCAACCTCCAGAACTGTGTGAGCTCATTCCATATAACTGATATTCCTCCCTCCCTCCCTCCTTCCCTTCTCTCTCTCTCTCTCTCCCCCCCTCTTTCCCTCCCTCCCTCCCTCCCTCCCTCCCTCCCTCCCTCCCTCCCTTCCTTCCTTCCTTCCTTCCTTCCTTCCTTCCTTCTTTCCTTCCTTCTCCTGTTGGTTCTGTTTTTCTGGAGAACCCTGACCAATATACCAAAGCAGTGCTTCAAGAAGTAGAGAATTGTCGACTGGGTCGAAGGTTGCTGTTTGGTCAAGTAAGATAAGATATTTAAAAAGTAGCAACAGGTTTAGCAACCAGGAGGCTGTTGGAAGAGCAGTTTTAGTGGCACAGTAGAGGCAAAACAACCATTTGCCCTGCATTAGGGAGTGAGTGAAAAATAAGCACTTATTATATTTCAGGAGGAGAAGAGAAAAAATAGAATAGAGATGGAAAGACAAGTCTGAAAATATGGAAGAGGGAAGTTGAGGAATTTTCTTACTGATGGTTTCTATTTATGCTGCGAAGTTGAAAAGGGATCTTCTGACAAGTGTGAAGGGAGAGAGGTGTCTGGATGGAAGGTTGGAAGAAGGAGGAGATGGTCTAAAATAGCTACTGCAGAGAACAGGGGAGGGCTCACTAGGGAAACAGGATTGCTGGGCTGTGTGGGGGCATGGTGATGAGGGGGCCATGGGTGTCTATGACACCAGTAGGCACTTTTGTGTGGTTTTCCCTGGCAGACCCTACATCTGGAGAAAATGCAGCTGGATGGACCCAGGGTTGGGATTTGCTAATGAGGTACCATGGAGATGAATAGGGGTTAAAGTGATGGAACTTGGATTCAGGGCTGGTTAAGGTGGAAAATGAAAACAGGAGGGAGTTGATAAGTAGAAAGTAGGGAGGTCCAGGGTCTGGGGAAGCTACCTGCAGGGTCAAAGAACAGTGTAAACACACACACACACAGAGTCATCTTTTGGTATCTGTGGGGGATTGATGGTTTCAGGACGCCCCATGGGTTCCAGAATCCACAGATGCTCAAGTCCCTGATATAAAATGACGTACTATTTGTATATGACCTATGCACATCCTTCTGTATGCTTTAAATAATCTCTAGAGTACTTATAATACCTAAACAATCCTACACATCACTTCATTTGTGTGGATTCAACATAGTACTTGACACATGGCATATTCAAGTTTTACTTTTTGGAACTTTGTAGAATTTTTTTTCTGAATATTTTTGGTCCTCACTCAGTTGTATCTATGGATGCAGAACCCATGGATATGGAGGACCAACTGTGTGTGTGTGTGTGTGTGTGGTGTGTGTGTACACATACATATATATGTATATACATGAATATACTTCTCTTGTGGCTATATTTGTCTTACGGATATTAAAAATAAGAACAAATATTAAACAAAATGTCCATAGGAACTCTTCATTTTCAATGATATGTTCTTCTTATACCTCTTAATCTCCCACTCTCTTTTCTCTTTAATTTTCAGCTGCAACAGCAGGAACAAATTATGCATTTGTTGTGGAATTAGGAGGACCAGAGAGAGACCTTGGGGTGTATACAGGAGGATGTCTTTATTATTGAGTGCAATCAGACCCAGCAGACTTAATGTCCAAAGACTGGGCACAGAACAAAGACAGCACTTGACTTTTATACACACTTCACAAAAGGGAGTGGGCAAGCTTACAGTGGCATGAAAGCAGGGATACAGAGGCAGGACAAAGACAGTTAATTAACTTGTAACAGGTTCATAACTTAGGATTGCACATGACCATTGCTGTGCAACCCAGATGTCTGTTATCTAGGTTTTGCTCTAAAGAGCCTTGCACTGGCTTATCTCATAACCTTCACTATGGTGCCCAGGCAGCTGTAGTTCAGGCCTGCTCAGGCTTCTCATGACCTTCATTGTACTCATTAGATAAAACAGAATACTTGAAGTTACTAGTTACAGAGAACAAGAATCTATAAACTCATGCCATAAAACAAAGGAAAATTTGTTTTTCTTCTCCCTATGTTGAGGGAGTGCTGGGAGAGTCTGCAGAGCACGTTAGATAATATTATTAAGACTTTTCCTGGGTCTGGCCTGTGCTTGTTGCCGCCTCTGGGTCAAGTCAGCCTAATACAGAAAAGCTTATTTCTCTTTCAATTTTTTCTTTAATTTCCCACCTCACGTTGTCATGAAATGTTGCAAAAATCTTCTTTGATATCTTCCCCTTTCCTGCAACTATCTCACCTATATTTGTCCTTTTTGCCCCCTAGCACAGCACCTAAACTACATTCTCTTGTATAAATTTAAGGGGCACAAGTGCAATTTTGTTACATGGATACATTGCCTAGTGGTGAAGTCTTGACTTTTAGCATCCATCACCCAAATAATGTATCTTGTACTCATTAGGTAATTTCTCATCATCACCTTCCCCTTTCTGCTCCTTACCCTTCCAAGTCTTAAATGCCTGTCCCTTCACACTCTATGTCCATGTGCACATACTATTTAGCTTCCACTTATAAATGAGAACATGCAATATTTGACTTTCTGCTTCTGAGTTGTTTCACTTAAGATAAGGGCCTCCAGTTCCATCCATGTTGCTATAAAAGACACGATTTTATTTTTTTATGAATAAGTAGTATTCCATTGTGTGTATATACCACATTTTCCTGATCCAATCATCCACTGTTGGACACTTAGGTTGATTCCATATCTTTGCTATTGTAAATAGTGCTGTGATAAACAATGAGTGCAGGGTTTTTTTTGTTTTTTTTTTTTTGTTTTTTTTGAGACGGAGTCTCGTTCTGTCACTGAGGCTGGAGTGCAGTGGCTCACTGCAACCTCTGCCTCCTGAGTTCAAGTGATTCTCATGCGTCAGCCTCCCAAGTAGCTGAGACTACAGGTGCCCACCACCATGCCTGGCTAATTTTTTTGTATTTTCAGTAGAGATGGGGTTTCACCGTGTTGGCCAGGCTGGTCTGGAACTCCTGACCTCAGATGATCTGCCCACCTAGGCCTCCCAAAGTGCTGGGATTACAGGCATGAGCCACTGCGCCTGGCATATCTTCTTGATATAATGATTGCTTTTCCTTTGAGTAGATACCCAGTAGTGGGATTGCTGGATTGAATAGTAGTTCTATTTTTAGTTCTTTGGGAAATCTCTATACTGTGTTCCTTAGAGGTTTTACTGATTTACATTCCCGCCAACAGTGTAAAAGCGTTCTCTTTTCTCTGTATCCTTGTCAATATCTGTTATTTAAAAACTTCTTAATAATGGCCATTCTGACTGATGTAAGATGACATCTCTTGGTTTTAATTTGCATTTCTCTGTCACTAGTGATGTTGAGCATTTTTCCATATGCACGTTGGCCATTTCTCTGTCTTCTTTTGAAAAATGTCTATTATGTCCTTTGCCCAATTTTTAATGGGGTTATTTATGTTTTTGTTGTTGAGTTGTTTGAGTTTATTGTAAATTCTGGATATTAGTCCCCTGTCACATGAATAATTTGGAAATATTTTCTCCCATTCTGCAAGTTGTTCACTCTGTTGATTATTTCTTTTGCTGTGTGATTATTTCTTTTTAGCTTAATTAAGCCTCACTTACCTATTTTTGTTTTTGTTGCTTGTGTTTTTGAGGTCTTAGTCATGAATTCTTTGCCAATGTCCAGAAGAGTTTTCCCTAGGTTTTCTGCTAGTATTTTTATAGTTTCAGGTTTTAAACTTAAGTCTTTAATCCATGTTGAGTTAATTTTTGTATGCTGTGAGAGATGGGACCCAGTTTCATTCTTCCGTATATGGCTATCCAATTTTCCCAGCACCATTTATTGAAAAGTGTGTCCTTTTCCCAGTGTATGTTTTTGTTGACTTTGTCAAATGTCAGTTGGCTGTAGATATGTGGCTTTATTTCTGGGTTTTCTATTTTCTTCCATCGATCTATGTGTCTATTTTTATACTGTTTTTATATCTGTTTTTAAGCTGGTTTGGTTACTATAGTCTTGCAGTATAATTTGAGGTCAGATACCGTGATGCCTTCAACTTTGTTCTTTTTGCTTAGGACTCTTTGACGATTCAGGCTCTTTTTGGTTCCATATGAACTTTAGGATAGTTTTTTCTAATTCTGTGAAAAATCACTTTGGTATTTTGATGGGGATTTCTTTTTTTTTTTGAGATGGAGTCTTGCTCTGTCATCCAGGCTGGACTGTAGTGGCTTGATTTCGGCTCACTGCAAGCTCTGCCTCCCGGGTTCACTACATTCTCCTGCCTCAGCCTCCCGAGTAGCTGGGACTACAGGCGCCCGCCACCATGCCCAGCTAATTTTTTGTATTTTTAGTAGAGACAGGGGTTTCACTGTGTTTGCCAGGATGGTCTCAATCTCCTGACCTCATGATCCACCCGCCTTGGCCTCCCAAAGTGCTGGGATTACAGGCATGAGCCACTGTGCCTGGCCAAGGTGTTCAAAGTTAACTTCACTAGTAATGGTGCAAACTGACATCATGTCCTTCCTGATAGAAGGGACACTATCATTTCAATGTATTATTGCCAAAAGTACATGACTCCAACTTAATCATGAAGAAACTTAGACAAATACAATTGAGAGACTTTCCTTTTATTGTTGTTGTTACAGGGTCTTGCTCTGTCACCCAGGATGGAGTGTAGTGGTGCAATCAAGGTTCACCGCAACATCCGCCTCCCAGGCTCAAGCGACCCTTCCGCCTCATCCCAAGTGCCTGGGATTACAGGCACATGCCACCATGCCTGGGTAATTTTTTATTTTCTTTTGTGGAGATGGAGTCTCGCCATGTTGCCTAGGCTGTTCTCAAACTCAAGCAATCTTCCCACCTCAGCCTCCCAGAGTGTTGGGATTACAGGCATGAACCAATGCACCTGGTGGAGACTTTCGACTAGATAACTTTTTTAAAATGTCAAGATTATGAAAGACGAAGATAAATTTAGGAACTGTTCCAGATTAAAGGGGACTAAAGAGGCATTACATATAATTTGATATATGATCCTGAAATGATCCTTGGGAAAAAAAAATCTTATTTACGGCTGGGTGCAGTGGCTTACACCTGTAATCCCAGCTCTTTGGGAGGCTGAGGCGGGCGGATCACTTGAGGTCAGGAGTTCCAGACCAGCCTGGCCAACATGGTGAAACCCTGTCTATACTAAAAATACAAAATTAGCCAGGCGTGGTGGCAGGCTCCTGTAATCCCAGCTACTCGGGAGGCTGAGGCAGGAGAATCATTTGAACTCAGGAGGCAGAGGTTGCAGTGAGCCAAGCCATGCCACTGTACTCCAGCCTGGGCAACAAGAGTGAAACTCCGTCTCAAAAAAAAAAAAAATTCTTGTTTACTACAAAGGACACCATGGGACAACTGGTGAAATATGAATATAGATTCAAGTGTCATATCAATGTTAACCTCCTGATTTTTATAATTATACTGTAGTTAAGTAACAGACTATCCTTGTTTCTATGACATGAACACTGAAGCATTTAGGGATAATGAGGCATTATGCCTCATTGTAATTTACTTTCAATGGTTCATAAAAACAACATTTACTTATATAAAGAGATAAGTATGTGTGTATATAAAATAATAATACAGAAAACTATGTATACATAAAGAGACATATATGAGAGAACATGACAGAGTAAATGTGGTAAAATGTTAGCAACTGGAGAATCCAAGTCAAAGGTATATGGAAATTCCTTGTATTATTCTTGCAAATTTTCTGTAAGTCTGGAATTATTTCAAAATAAAAAAGTTAAACCAAGTAAATTGGATCAAAGTTTTTATTTTAGCTTGCCTGCCTGCTTGCTCGCACGCTTTCGCTTGCTTGCTTTCCTTCTTTCTTTCTTTCTTTCTTTCTTTCTTTCTTTCTTTCTTTCTTTCTTTCTTTCTTTCTTTCTTTCTTTCCTTCTTTCTTTCTTTCTTTTCTTCCTTTCTTCCTTTCACAGAATCTAACTCTGTTGCCCAGGCTGGAGTGCAGTGGTGCTATCTTGGCTCACTGCAACCTCCGCCTCCTAGGTTCAAATGATCCTCTGGCCTCAGCCTCCCTGGGACCACAGGCGCACGCCACCATGCCTGGCTAATTTTTTTTTTTTTTTTTGAGACGTCTTACTCTGTTGCCCAGGCTGGAGTGCAGTGGCACAATCTCGGCTTACTGCAACCACCACCTCCCGGGTTCAAGTGATTCTCCTCCCTGAGCCTCCCAAGTAGCTGAGATGACAGACGTGTGCCACCATGCCCAGCTAATTTTTGCATTTTTAGTAGAGATGGGGTTTCACTGTGTTGATCAGGCTGGTCTCAAACTCCTGACCTCAGGTGATCCACCCGCCTTGGCCTCCCAAAGTGCTAGGATTACAGGCTTGAGCCACTGCGCCTGGCCCCCGGCTAATTTTTTGAATTTTTGATAGAGACGGGGCTTCACCATGTTGGCCAGGCTGGTCTCAAACTCCTGAGTTCAAGCAATCCGCCCGCCTTGGCCTCCCAAAGTGCTATGATTACAGGCATGAGCCAGCACGCCTGGCCTACTTTGCATATTTTTTACAAACCCAATTTAAAATGAAATGTCACAGAAAATGACAAATGATGAAGATCATATGTTATATTTTTTAACTTCCATTATTGAACGTTATGGGACACAAAAGGCAGAGTGGTGTGTGTGTCTATAACAATTAATGTGAATTAAAGTATGACATCAGAAAAATTGAAAGAGTATATCACATCTGCCCAGCTTGAAAGGGCATCTAAGTAAGACATGTCTCCTGGCAGACATCTCTCAATGTAGCCAGCTCCCTCTTTTTGTTTCTGTATGCATGCTGATGCCATCAAATAAGAATTCTTATTTTGTGAGTCCTTTTGGAAACTACAAAACCTGTTCATTTTGGAAATGGTGAAAGGATTTTTTGCCAAATAAAACTTTGGAACGAAAACTTTCATACTCTGCACAGATGGAGCTCCTGCAATGCTTGATATTTCATCTAGTTTTCCTACTTTAATGAGAAAGCAAACTCTTCACATAGGCATCATCATTATTATTTTCTTTTTACAGAGGCATGTACTGACAAGAAAGATTCTTTCAACAATCCTGAAAAATAAGGTGTGTCAACAGCCATAAACGTCATCAACTTTATCAGAGGTAGGTCTCCGAGTCAAACATGTTAAAAATTTTCCATTAAGATGTGAGAGCAAAATATGAATTGCTTCTCTCCACACAGAGGTTTACTGACCTTCATGAGAATATGCCTTGAAGCACTTTTTCAAACTAAGGACTGAAGTTTTACTTTAACTGAAATAAAACAAGAGCAAAAGAAAAGAAAACCCACTCTTGGGACATTATGAGAAAAGGAATTTTATCAATGTGTTGGCTTACCTGGCAGATACTTGAAACCATATGAATGAGTTGAACCTTCAATTCAATGTTATGAAATCAACACTATAGATGCTACTGAAAAAATTAAAAACATTCTTGGCTAAGTGGTCAATAAGAAAGAAGCTGGAGGATATGCTGTTCTAAGATGGAGTTGTAATACACAATTCTCTGTTGTTTTCTTTGAAAACAGAAATCTGTAAATTTCTTGAACACTTCAGATGTCTTCCAAAGGCTATGTCTATCTTGATGGCTTCTAAGTTGACCCAGAGACCTGCAATCTATTTCTTTCTTACACAAACTGAATCAAAGATGTTAAGATGTTGACCTAACTGAAGATGAATTAATTGATCTTAGGATAAAAAATACAGTTGAAGTTTAACTCAAAAATCCTTGAAAAATTATTGAATTCCTTAAGAAAGGATCATCTTTGCCTTGATTTTTAACAAGGTCCAGAAACTTTAATTCTGTTTGCAACAATAGTTTTTGAATCCACAAATGGGGATTTTTCAACACTTACGACATTTGAAGATTGATTTTATGTGTAACAAAACATTCATTGTCAAACATCATCTTACAATTTAATTTTCTTATTTAAGCTAAGTAACAGCCTTTTCACATATATACTGATATGATTTGGCTCTGTGTCCGTACTCAAATCTCACTTCGAATCGTATAATGATCCCCATAATCCCTATGTGTCAAGGGCCAGACCAGGTAGAAGTAATTGAGTCATAGGAGCAGTTTCCTCTGTGCTGTTCTCATGATAAATGAATGAGTCTCATGAGATCTAATGGTTTTATAAGCATCTGGTGTTTCCCCTGCTTGCACTCACTCTGTTCTGCCGCCCCATGAAGAAGGTATCTGCTTCTCCTTTGCCTTCTGCCATGATTGTAAGTTCCCTAAGGCCTCCACAGCAACGTGGAACTGAGTTGATTAAAGCTCTTTCCTTTATAAATTTTACCATACATACATACACACACATGCACATATATATGTTAAGTGTTTTTATTGTGTTAAATTTTACATACTGTGAAGTCACAGCTTTTTTGTTTTGTTTTGTTTTTTGAGATGGAATCTCACTTTGTCGCCCAGGCTGGAGTACAGTGGCACGATCTTGGCTCACTGCAACCTTTGCCTCCCAGGTTCAAGCAATTCTTCTGTCTCAGCCTCCCAAGTAACTGGGACTACAGGCACACACTGCCACACTCGTCTAATTTTTGTATTTTTAGTAGAGATGAGGTTTCACCATATTGACCAGGCTGGTCTCAAACTTCTAACTTCATGATTCACCTGCCTCAGCCTCCCAAAGTGCTGGGTTTACAGGTGTGAGCCACCACGCCCAGCCAAATTCACAGATCTTAAGTGAACAGTTCCGTAAGTGTTGGCAATGTATGTACCTGGGTAACCACCACATCAATCAAAGTATAAAATATTTCCAGCATCCCACCAAATTCCCTCATACTTCTTTTCAGTAATTCCTCGGTCCCAGAGCCAACTACTCCTCAAGTATCACCATAGATTAGTTCTGACTCTTCTTGAACTTCATATAAATAAAATCATAGCGTGTATACTCTTCTGTGCATGGTTTTTTTTCACAGCATTTTATTTTTGAAGTGATTATGAATAAAACTGCTGTGAACATTCATGTGCAAGCCTTTTTGTGTGCATATGTTTTCATTCTATTGTAAATATCTGGAGGTGAAATTGCTGGGTCATAGAGTAGGTGTATATTTAACTTCATGAGAAACTGCCACACTGATTTCCAAAATAGTTGTGCCATTTTACACTCCCACAGTAATGTGTGAGAGTTACGGTTGCTCCATACCCTGTCAGCATTTGGTTTTGTCTGTATGTTTAATTTTAGCTATTCGAGTGAGTGGGAAGTGGTATTTCATTGTGGTGGTTTTAATTTGCATTTTCTTGATAAATAATAGAATACAATTAAATTGGCTTTTTGGTATACAGTTCTATAAGTTTTAATACACATGTAGAGCTGTGTAACCACCACCACAATCAAGATGTAAAACAGTTTCATCACCCTAAAAAATCCCTCATAGATTCCCCTTTGTTTTGTGGTCAAACTCCCCCCTCCCCATCTCTAACCCCTAGCAACCACTGATGTATTCTTTGTCCTGTAGTTTTGCCTTCTCCAGAAGGTCATGTAGATGGGATCATACAGTATGTAACAATTGGAGCCTGGCTTCTTCCAGTTAGCATTTTAAACTTTTTTCATGCCATTGCTTATGTCAACAGTTTGTTCATTTTTATTACTTGCATAGTATTCCATTGTATAGCTATATACAGTTTATTTATTCTCCTGTTGAACAACATTTGGTTTCCAGATTTTGACAATTATGAAAAGAGCCGCTAAAATCATTTGTTTGTGGTTGTTCTGTGAGCATAAGATTCATTTATCTGTGAGCATAAGATTCTAGTTATTAAATAGTTCAGTGGAACTGCTGGGTCATTTAGTAAGCATGTGTTTAAGTTTTGTTACAAAAAACTGCCAAACTGTTATCCAGACTTCCAGTACGATTTTGTATTCCCACGTAATGTATAAGACTTCCAGTTGTGACTGGGAGCAGTGGCTCACACCTGTAATACCAGCACTTTGGGAGGCCGAGGTGGGTGGATCATCTGAGTTCAGGAGTTCAAGACCAGCCTGACCAACATGGTGAAACCCCATCTCTACTAAAGTACAAAAATTAGCTGGGCATGGTGGCGGGTGCCTGTAATTTCAGCTACTTGCAAGGCTGAGACAGGAGAACCCAGGAAGCAGAGGTTGCAGTGAGCCGAGATCACGCCATTGTACTCCAGCCTGGGCAACAGAGTAAAACTCCATCTCAAAAAAAATTAACGACCGGGCGCGATGGCTCATGCCCGTAATCCCAGTACTTTGGGCGGATCACCTGAGGTCGGGAGTTCCAGACCAGCCTGACCAACATGGAGAAACCCTGTCTCTACTAAAAATACAAAATTAGCTGGGCATGGTGGCACATGTCTGTAATTCTAGCTACTAGGGAGGCAGAGGCAGGAGAATCGCTTGAACCCGGGAGGCGGATGTTGCAGTGAGACGAGATCGCGCCATTGCACTCCAGCCTGGGCAACAAGAACGAAACTCCGTCTAAAAAAAAATAAAATAAAATAAAATAAAATAAAATAAACACTTCCAGTTGCTTTACATCTTCTCCTGCACTTAGTATTGTCAGGTTTTTTTAAAAAAATTGTAATCATTCTAATAAGTGTATAACTAACCATTGTTTTAGCTTTCATTTCCATAATAGCTAATTTCAAGCACTTCTTTGTCATCCACATACTTTCCTTGGTGAACTATCTGTTCAAATCTTTGACCCATTTAAAAAATTGAATTGTTTTCTTATGGTTGAATATTGAGAGTTCTTTGTATATTCTGGATACAAATTCATTGTGGGATAAACAATTTGCAGATATTTTCTCCCACTCTGCAGCTTCTTTTCATTTTCTTAACAGCATCTTTTTCAGAGCAATAGTTTTCCATTTTGATGCAGCCAAATTTATCAATTTTTTTATGAATCATGATTTTTGTGTCATATTTAAGTAGTCTTTGCCTAACCCAAGGTCATTAAGGTTTTCTCCTCAAAGCATTATAGTTTTACGATTTTTGTTTAGATCTATGATCTATTTTGGTTTAATTTTTGTACAGAGTTTCAAACTCTATAAGGATAGAGCTTTTTTTTGCATATGGATATTCAGCTGGTGTTCTAACACCATTTGTTAAAAGGCAACTCTTTCTCCACAACTAAGTCTTTGTATTTTAAAAAATTTTATTTTTTTGTTGAGGTAAAATATTCATGTAAAATTTACCATCTTTGTCAACTTCAAGTGTACAGTCCAGTGGTAATAATTACATTTATATTCTTTTTTTTCTCTTCATCCCTCCTTTCCCTCCCCTTCTTGGCCTCTGGAAACCACCAGTCTACTCTCTATTTTCATGAGATCTACCGCTTTAGCTCCCACATATGGGTGATAACATATTTGTCTTTCTGTGCCTGGCTTATTTCACTTAACATAATAGCCTCCAGTTTCATCCATGTTACTGCAAATGAGAGGCTTTCATTCTTTTTATGGCTGAATAATATCCTACTCCTTTGCACTTTCGTCAAAAAGCAATTAGTTTGATCAGAAATATACCTGTTTTTGGTAAAAAGTTTTTAAAAAGCAATTGGTTTGTATTTTTGTGTGTCTCAAGGCGGGAAAAGCAACTGGCAGTGTTTTTGTGGCCAATTTCTGAACTCTATTCTCTGTCCTACTGATTGTGTTTCTATTACTTTATAGCACCACACTGCCTTGATTACTGTAGCTTTATAGTGAGTCTTAAAATTGGGTAGTATGAATCCTCCAGCTTTATTCTTCTTTTTCAAAATTGTTGCTGGCTATCCATGTTCCTTTGCCTTTCCACATAAATTTTAAAATCCATGTATCTATTTCTACAAAAATTCCTATTGGAATTTTTACTGGAGTTGTATTAAATCAATAGATCATTTAGAGATAATTGACATCTTAACTATATTGAGTTTTTTAATCCATGAATGTTTTATATCTCTCTATATAGGTCTATCTCGATTTGGTTCATTGGCATTTTATATTGTTTAGCAGACATATCCTGCACAAGTTTTGTTAGAATATTTCATTTTCTTTAAGCTATTGTAAATAATTTAAATTTTTGTTTAATTTCCAATTAATTGCAAGCATATAGAAATATGTATTTTATATTATATAAGTATATTTAAAATATAATATATAAATATATAATATATATAACATATAATATACATATATATATTCTTTTTTTTTTTTTTTGGGATGTAGTCTTGCTGTGTCACCCAGGCTGGAGCACAGTGGGGCAATCTTGGCTCACTGTAATCTCTGACTCCTGGGTTCAAGCAATGCTCCTGTCTCACCTTTCTGAGTAGCTGGGATTACAGGTGCACACCACCATGCCCGGCAAATTTTTGTATTTTTAGTAGAGACAGAGTTTCACCATGTTGGCTAGGCTGGCCTCGAACTCCTCACCTCAGGTGAGCCACCTTCCTCAGCCTCCCAAAGTGCTGGGATTACAGGCATGAGCCACTGTGCCTGGCCGCATATAGAAATATTCATCTTTATCTATTGATTTTGGATTCTGCAAACTTCGAAAACTCACTTATTAATTCTAGGAGCTTTTTTGGTAGATTCTTTGTGATTTTTCTGTGAATTCATCATGTAATGTGTTGAAAAGGACACTTTTCTTTTTTCCTTGCCAATTGTATGCCCTTTTCCCCTGCCTTTATTTCACTGTCTAGGACATCCACTAGGATTTGAATAGGATGTTAGCTATATATATATGCACACCAATATGAATATACACATATATCCTTCATTATCAGGTTATAACAGTTCCCTTTTATTACTAATTTTTAATAATTAGTGGCTGTTTAATTTTGTTAAATGCTTTTTCAGCAGCAATTAATATGAAGTTTTGATACTTAAGTATGTTAATGTGATAGATTATATTGGTTGATCTTTGAATATTTAAACAGTCTTGCAAGTGGGCCATGGTGTATAATTCTTTTTATATATTGCTGGATTTGATTTGTTAGTATTTTGTTTAGGATATTTGTTTTTTTATTCATGAAGGATATTGGTCTGTGATTTTCTTTCACTCTACTGTCTTTATCTGCTTGTTGTATCAGGGTGATGCTGAGCCTCAAAAGATATGGTGGAAAATATTTCTTTTTGTTTTGTTTTGTTTTGTTTTGTTTTGTTTGAGGTGAAGTCTTACTCTGTTGCCCAGGCTGGAGTGCAGTGGCGCGATCTTGGCTCACCGCAACTTCCACCTCCCAGGTTCAAGCAATTCTCCTGCCTCAGCCTCCCAAATAGCTGGGACTACAGGCGCGCGCCAACATGCCTGGCTAATTTTTGTATTTTTAGCAGAGATGGGGTTACACTATGTTGGCCAGGCTGGCCTCGAACTCTTGACCTCATGATCTGCCCACCTTGGCCTCCCAAAGTGCTGTAATTATAGGCGTGAGCCACTGTGCCTGGCCAAATTTTTCCTCTTCTTTTTTTTTTTTTTTTTTGAGACGGAGTCTTGCTCTGTCGCCCAGGCTGGAGTGCAGTGGCGCGATCTGGGCTCACTGCAAGCTCCACCTCCCGGGTTCATGCCATTCTCCTGCCTCAGCCTCCCGAGTAGCTGGGACTACAGGCACCTGCCACTACGCCCGGCTAATTTTTTGTATTTTTAGTAGAAACGGGGTTTCACCGGGTTAGCCAAGATGGTCTCGATCTCCTGACCTCATGATCCACTGGCCTCGGCCTCCCAAAGTGCTGGGATTACAGGCGTGAGCCACTGTGCCTGGCCAAATTGTTCCTTCTTAATCTATTTTCTAGAAGAGATTCTGTAGACTTGGTATCATTTCTTCTTTATATGTTTGGTGGACTCCACCAGCAAAGCTATCTGGACCTCAATTTTTGAAGATGGTATTTAAAATAATGAATTCAATTTCTTTAATAGATATAGGATTGTTCAGGTAATCTATTTCTTCTTGGATGAGTTTCAGTAGTTTGCAATTTTTAAGAAGTTGGCCCTTATCAATGGGTCCACTTATGTGTGTAAAGACGTTTACAGTATTTCTCATTAATTTTCTTTTCTTTTCTTTTCTTTTTTTTGAGATGGAGTTTCACTCTTGTTGCCCAGGCTGGAGTGCAATGGCGTGGTCTCGGCTCACCGCAACCTCTGCCTCCTGGGTTCAAGCGATTCTCCTGCCTCAGCCTCCCGAGTAGCTGGGATTACTGGCATGCACCACCACACCCAGCTAATTTTGTATTTTTAGTAGAGATGGGGTTTCTCCATATTGGTCAGGCTGGTCTTGAATTCCCAACCTCAGGTGATCTGCCCACCTCAGCCTCCCAAAGTGCTGGGATTACAAGTGTGAGTTACCGTGCCCGGCCAAACTTTCTAATGACTGTAGTGTCTGTAGAGATATCCCCTCTTTCATTCCTGCTATGGGTAATATGTATCCTCTTTTATTTTCCTCTGTCAGTCTGACAAGAAGTTTATTAATCTTATTAATCTTTTCAAATAACCGGATTTTTGGTTTCTTTATTTTTCCCTCATTTTACTGTTTTGAATTTTATTAATTTATCTTTATATTTTTATTATTTTCTTCCTCTCATTGCTTTGGGTTTATTAGCTCTTGTTTTTCTAATTTCTAGAGGTAGACACTTTGATTGTTGAATTGGGACCTTTCTTCTTTTCTTAAGTTTTTTTTTTGAGATGGAGTCTTGCTCTGTCACCCAGGCTGGAGTGCAGTGGCATGATCTTGGCTCACTGCAACCTCTGCCTCCCAGATTCAAGCAGTTCTCCTGCCTCAGCCTCCCCAGTAGCTGGCATGCACCACCACACCCAGCTAATTTTTGTATTTTTAGTAGAGATGGGATTTCGCCATGCTGGCCAGGCTGGTCTCAAACTCCTGATCTCAGGTGATCTGCCTGCCTCAGCCTCCCAAAGTGCTGGGATTACAGGCATGAGCCACCACGCCTGGCTCTTCTTTTCTTAAATACAATTAAATACTATAAAATTTCCCTCTAAGCATTATTTAGCTGCATCCTGCAAATGTTGATATGTTGTATTTTTATTTTCATTTTCTTCAAAGCATTTTCTTTCTTTTTTCTTTTTTTAAGATGGAGTCTCACTCTGTTGCCCAGGCTGGAGTAGTGGTGTGATCTCAGCTCACTGCAACCTCCGCCTCCCAGGTTCAAGCGATTTTCCTGCCTCAGCCTCCTGAGTAGCTGCGATTACAGGTGCATGCCACCATGCCCGGCTAAGTTTTGTATTTTTAGTAGAGATGGGGTTTCACCATGCTGGCCAGGCTGGTCTTGAACTCCTGACCTTAGGTGATCTGCCCGCCTCAGCCTCCCAAAGTGCTGGGATTATAGGCTTGAGCCACTGAGCCCAGCCTAGTTTTCTTTTGATCAGTGTTTGCATGTTGTATCATTTAATATCCTTCTATCTACCTATACCCATATATATATAATATATAATATAAATAAATAGTATATATGTGTGTATATATGTACATATGTGTATATATGTGTGTGTGTGTGTATATATATATATATATATATATATATATATATATATATATATAGTCTGTTTGTTTTTTGAGACAGAGTTTCTTTCTGTCTCCTAAGCTGGAGAGCAGTGGCATGATCTTGGCTCACTGCAATCTCTATCTTCAGGGTTCAAGTAATTCTCATGCCTCAGCCTCCCAGATAGCTGGGACTACAGGCACGTGTCACCATGCTTGGCTAATTTTTTTGTATTTTTAGTAGAGACAGGTTTTCGCCACGTTGCCCAGGCTGGTCTCAAACTCCTGAGCTCAATCTGCCTGCCTTGGCCTCCCAAAGTGGTAGGATTACAGGAGTGAGCCACCAGACCCAGTTTATACCCTTATATTTAAAGTGAGTTTCTTGTACACAGCATGTAATTGGTTCTTGATTTTTAAAAAGTTCTTCTATAATATCTGTCTTTTAATTTTTTTTTTAGATTATTGACATTTAATGCAACTATTGATATGTTTGGACTTAGGTCTACGATTTTATTATTTGTTTTCTGTTTTTTTTTTGTTTTTTGTACTTCTGTTTTCCCTTTCTTGCCTTCTTTTGGATTATTTGAAAATTTTAAATACTCAATTTTAATTGTTTTAGTGAATTTTGACTATTTTTGGTATTTGTTTTTTTTTTATTTTTAAAAGAAGAAAAAAATCCATCTTCTCAAGTTGCTTCTCACTTGATTTTCTGCTCAGGAGGAAAGGATGAAAATGGAAGAGAATATGAAACAGAGAACTCTGAGTATAATTTCTTTCCAGTTCCTATTCCCAAAATAGATTTGAGGCTGCTAGTTGACAACATACGATGGTTTAATGGACAATTTTTTGACTTTACAGTGGGTTTATTGGGGTATTAAATGCATTTTTGACTTATGATATTTTAAACTTACGATGAGTCTATTGGGGTCTAACCCCATATTGAGTTGAACATCTGCTTTTGTGTGTGTGTGTGTGTGTGTGTGTGTGTGTGTGTGTGTGTGTGTATTCAATTTACTGATTTACTGTCTGGTATTCTTTCATTTTAGCATGAAGGACTCTTTTCCATATTTTTTGTAAGGAAGGTCTGCTAACAGCAGATTCTCTTTTTTGTTTTTGTTTATCTGGAAATGTCTTCATTTCTCTTTCACTTTTTTTTGTTTTTTGTTTTTGTTTTTGAGATGGAGTTTCACTCTTGTTGCCCAGGCTGGAGTGCAATGGCATGATCTTGGCTCACTGCAACCTCTGCCTCAAAGGTTCAAGCGATTCTCCTGCCCTAACCTCCTAAGTAGCTGGGACTACAGGCATGAGCCAACACACCTGGCTAATTTTTGTATTTTTAGTAGAGATGGAGTTTCACTATATTGTCCAGGCTGGTCTTGAACTCCTGATCTTGTGATCCGCCCCCCTTGGCCTCCCAAAGTGCTGGGATTATAGGCATGAGCCACAGCGCCCGGCCTCTATTTCATGTTTGCAAGATAGTTTTCCTGGGTATGGAATTCTTGGCTGAACCTGGGCATAGTGGCGTATGCCTGTAATCCCAGCTACTTGGGAGGCTCAGGTGGGAGGATCACTTGAACCCAGGAGGTGAAGGCCAGCCTGAGCAACATAGTGAGACACCATCTCTTTAAAAATAGGTAGTTGTGACTGGGCACAGTGGCTCACACCTGTAATCCCAGCACTTTGGGAGGCTGAGGCAGGAGGATCATGAGGTCAAGAGATCGAGACCATCCTTGCCAACATGGTGAAACCCCGTCTCTACTAAAAATACAAAAATTAGCCAGGTGTAGTGGCACGTGCATGTAATCCCAGCTACATGGGAGGCTGCAGCAGGAGAATCACTTGAACCCGAGAGGTGGAGGTTGCAGTAAGCCGAGATCGCGCCACTGCACTCCAGCCTGACAACAGAGCGACACTCCATCTCAAAAAAAAAAAGGTAGTTGTTTGAAAGTATTAATAAGCTAAACAAATTTAGTGAGAGTGATAAAAAAAATTATTGGTTGCGAGTCTTTTTCTTTCAACATTTTGAATATGCCTTCTGGCCTCCATGGTTTCTAATGAGAAATCAGCTGTTAATCTTATTGAGGATCCATTATATGTGATGAGTTGCTTCTTTTGCTGCTTTCAAGATTCTCTCATTGTTTTTTTTGACACTTTGACTATGATATATAGTGTGCATCTGTGAGTTTATCCTACTTGGAGGTTATTGAGCTTTTTGGTTGTGCAGATTAATGCTTCTCAGTAAATTTGGGAAGTTTTTGGCCCTTATTTCTTCAAATATTATTTCTGCTCCTCTCTCTATCCTCTATGTCTGAGGCTCCCATTATGTGTTTGTTGGTACACTTGCTGGTGTCCCATAGGTGTCTGAGGCTTTGTTCATTTTTATTCATCACTATTGTTTTTTTCTGTGCCTTAGTCTGGGTAATCTCATTTGACTTCAAGTTTTATGATTCTTTCTTTTGACAATTCAACTCTGCTGTTGAGTGCTGTCTTAGTCAGCCAGGGCTGTCCTAACAAAATACCATAGACTGGGTGGCTTAAACAAAAGAAATGTATTTTCTCACAATTCTGCAGCCAGCATGGTCAGGTTCTGGTGGGAGTTTTCTTCCTGGCTTACAGATGGCCATCTTCTCTCTGTGGGCCATGGCCTTCCTTCATTGTGTGCACCTGGAGGAAGAGGGGGACGGAGGAATGGGAAGGGGAGAGGGAGATAGTGAGTGATCTTCCTCTTCTCATAAGATGACCAATTCTATCAAATTAGGAGCCCATCCTTAGGACCTCATTTAACTTTAAATACATCCTAAAACCCCATCTCCAAATACAGTCATGATATAGGTTAGGGCTTCGACATATAAATTTTTGGAGAAGACAATTAAGTCTTATTTGGTTCTTTTTTAAAAAGTAATTTTTATCTCTTTATTTTCTCTATTTGGTGGGACATTGTCCTCATCCTTTCTTTTTAATTCTTTAGACATAGTTTCCTTTAATTCTTTTAACATATGATAATAGCTGACTTAAAGTCTTTGTCTAATATGTCCAGTGTTTGTGCTTCTTCAGGTACACTTTCTATTAACTGCTTTTCCGCCCATCTGTGGGCCATACTTCACCATTTCTTTGTGTGTCTCTTAATTTTTTGTTGAAAACCAAACATTTAAAATAACATGGCACCTGTGGAAATCAGATCACCCAGGTTTGTTTTGTTGCTGGTTTTTTTTTTTTTTTTTTTTTTCGGTCACTTTCCTGGACTAATTCTGCAGTCTGTGTACTTTTTCATGTTTGTCTACTGAATCTCTACTTGGTAAGCTTAGTGGTTGCCTAACGACTGGACAGATTTCCATAAATTCCATGAACCAATAAATCTCCCAGCCTTTTTGAAGGTCTCTCAGTGTGTGTTGGTGTATGGCTTCAATGCTCTGGCAGGCAGTATACAACCGTGTCTTAACCTTCACTTTATGCTTTTATTGTATAGAGCCTCAAAGTCAAAGGTGAGAGATTAGGGCCTTCTCAGATCTCTCCCGGGCATTTGTGTAGCCCTGCACATGCATGTGGCCTTCTAGCTCTCGTGGAATATTCAGGGCTTTTCTGAGCCTTCTATGGACATCTCATTCCCCAGGTTTTTCTTTTTAATATTTTTGTTAGCACCAATTTGTAATACTGCCTCAGGCAGCTGCACTGTGAAACAATTGCTGCTAATTATTTTCGACAATGCTCTGCAGACAGGACTGTTTGCACAGAGTGAGCCCTGAGTTAGGTAAAATAAGACAAGCTCTAAGAATAGAGCTTCTCAGAGAGTTTCCAGACAGGTGGAATACTGACAAATTCTCTGGGGGTGGGGCTTTTGGGAAGTTAAAGCCCGTTTTTGTCCTCTCTAGTGGTGGCTACATTGCTGGTTTTCACAGCTATCATAGTTGCAAGGCTGTTGTTTTTCAAGGTGAGCATGGAGCTGCCAAAAAGGATTGGAACTACAAGTTGAAATATCACAAAGCTCTGTATTACCGAGATTAAGCCATTATTGTTGAATAAACACTCTTCAAATTTTGCAAGTCTTTGATATTTTCCAGAGTTCTGAAAAAGTTGATTTTGGGCCGGGCGCAGTGGCTCGCGCCTGTAATCCCAGCACTTTGGGAGGCCGAGGTGGGCAGATCACCTGAGGTCGGGAGTTCAAGACCAGCTTGACCAACATGGAGAAACCCCGTCTCTAATAAAAATACAAAATTAGCTGGGCGTGGTGGCACTTGCCTGTAATCCTAGCTACTCGGGAGGCTGAGGCAGGAGAATCGCTTGAACCCAGGAGGCGGAGTTTGCAGTGAGCCGATTGCGCCATTGTACTCTAGCCTGGGCAACAAGAGCAAAACTCCATCTCAAAAAAAAAAAAAAAAAAAAGTTGATTTTGACAGTTTTTTTTTTTCACAGATATTATTGCTTGAGGCTAGATTTTTTTTTCTATTTTTTTATTGCTGTAAAATACACATAACAGGGCCAGATATGGTGGCTCACGCCTGTGATCTCAGCACTTCGAGAGGCCAAGGCAGGAATATTTCCTTTTTTTTTTTTTGAGATGGAATCTCACTCTGTCACCCAGGCTGGAGTGCAATGGCATGGTCTCAGCTCACTGCAACCTCTGCCTCTCAGGTTCAAGCGATTCTCGCGCCTCAGCCTCCTGAGTAGCTGGGGCTACAGGCGCCTGCCACCACACCCAGCTAATTTTTGTATTTTTAGTAGAGACGGGGTTTCACTATGTTGGCCAGGCTAGTCTCAAACTCCTGACCTTGTGATCCGCTCACCTTGGCCTCCCAAAGTGCTGGGATTACAGGCGTGAGCCACCATGCCCGGCCCCAAGGCAGGAATATTTCTTGAACCTACCAAGTTAAGGCTGCAGTGAGCCATGATTGTGTCACTGCACTCCAGCCTGGGCAACAGAGTGAGATCCTGTCTCTTAAAAAACAAAATAAACAAAGCAAAACAAAAATCACATCATGAAACTTTCCTCTTAACGATTTTTAAGTGTACAGTTCAATGTTATGAAATATATTCATAATGTTGGGTAGACATCACCACCATCCATCTCCACAACTCTTTTCTTTCTTCTTCTTCTTCTTCTTTTTTTTTTTTTTTTTTTTTGAGACAGAGTCTTGCTCTGTCGCCCAGGCTGGAGTGCAGTGGCGCGATCTCGGCTCACTGCAAGCTCCGCCTCCCGGGTTTACGCCATTGTCCTGCCTCAGCCTCCCGAGCAGCTGGGACTACGGGCGTCCGCCACCACGCCCGGCTAATGTTTTGTATTTTTAGTAGAGACGGGGTTTCACCGTGTTAGCCAGGATGGTCTCGATCTCCTGACCTCGTGATCCGCCTGCCTCGGCCTCCCAAAGTGCTGGGATTACAGGCGTGAGCCACCGCGCCCGGCCGGGATTTGTCAATTTTTTAAAAGAAATATCTTTTGACTTCATTGATTTTCTCTATAGTTTTTCTTTTTCTTTTTTCTTTCTTTCTTTCTTTCTTTTTTTTTTTTTTGAGACAGAGTCTTGCTCCGTTGCCCAGGTGACAGTGCAGTGGCACGATCCCGGCTCACTGCAACCTCTGCCTCCCGGGTTCAAGTGATGGTCTTGCCTCAGCCTCCCAAGTAGCTGGGATTACAGGCGGGCACCAACATGACCGGCCTATTTTCTCTATTGTTTTTCTAGTCTGTATTTTCCTTATCTCCCTTATCTCTGCTCTAATCTTATTATTTTCTCCCTTAGACCAGCTTTGGGTTTAGTTTGTTCTTTTTCCCCTAGCTTCTTTCTCTCTTTTTTTTCTTTTTCTTTCTTTCTTTCTTTTTTTTTTTTAAGAGACGGAATTTCACTCTTGTCCCCCAGGCTGGAGCGCAATGGCAGGACCTCGGCTCACTGCAACCTCCGCCTCCCAGTTTCAAGCAATTCTCCTGCCTCAGCCTCCTGAGTAGCTGGAATTACAGGCACATGCCACCACACCCAGCTGATTTTTGTATTTTAGTAGAGACAGGGTTTCACCATGTTGGCCAGCCTGGTCTCAAACTCCTGACCTCAAGTGGTCGGCCTGCCTCGGCCTCCCAAAATGCTAGGATTACAGGCGTGAGCCACGGTGCCGGCCCCTAGGTTCTTAAGCTGTAAAGTTAGGTTGCTGATTTTAAATCTTTCTTACTGTTTTAATATAAGCATGTGTAGCTATAAATTTCTCCCTTAGCACTGCTTTTGCTGCATCTCATAAGTTTTGGTGTATTGTGTTTTTAATTTTCATTTACTTCTAAGTATTAGTTGTTTAAGAGTATGTTGTTTAATATCCACAAATTTGTGAAATTTCCAGTTTTACTTCTGTTATTGATTTCTGACTCCATCCCACTGTGATTGGAGAAGATACTTTGTGTGATCCCTATCTTTTAAAATCTATTGGTACTTAATTTGTGGCCTAACATATGGTCTATCCTGGAGAATGTTTCATGTGTATTTGAGAAAAATGTGCAGTATGTCATTGTTGAGTACAGTGTTCTGTACATGTCTATTTGACCTGATTGGTTTACTATACTGTTTAATTCCTGCATTTTCTTACCTTTTATCTGGTTGTTCTATCCATCATTGCATGGGCGGGTATTGAGACCTCCAACTATAGTTGTAGAACTGCCTATTTCTCCCTTCAATTCTGTCAGTTTTTGCATTTTATATATATATATATATGTATATACATATATATATGTGTGTGTATATATATATATTTTTTTTTTTAATTTTTTATTTTTTTGAGTTGGAGGCTTGCTCTGTCTCCCAGGCTGGAGTGCAGTGGTGCAATCTTGGTTCATTGCAACCTCTGCCTTCTGGGTTCAATGGGTTCAAGTGATTCTCCTGCTTCAGCCTCCTGAGTAACTGGGACTACAGGCACATGCCACCACACCCAGCTATTGTATTTTTAGTAGAGATGGGGTTTCACCATGTTGGCCAGTCTGGTGTCGAACTCCTGACCTCAGGTGATCCACCCATCTCGGCCTCCCAAAGTGCTGGGATTATAGGCGTGAGCCACCGCGCCTGGCCTGCATCGTATATTTTGATGACCTGTCATTAGGTGTGTAAATGTTTGTTATTGTTATATCTTCTTGCTGTATTGAACCTTTAATATGTAATATCATTCTTTGTCTCTTACAACCCTTTTTGATTTAAAATCTATTTTGTCTGATATTAGTCTAGCCACTCTACTCTCTTTTGATTACTATTTGCATGGAATATATTTTTCCATCTTTTCGCTTTCAATCTATTTGTGTTTTTGGATCTAAAACGGGTGGCTTGTAGACAGCATATAAAGGATCATGCGGATTTTTTTTTTCATTCTGCCAATCTTCGTCTTTTGATTGGGAAATTTAATTTATTTACACTTAAAGTAATTATTGATAAGGAGGGACTTACTTCTCTCATTTTGTTATATGTTTTCTTTTTTATTCAATTCAATTAATTAATTTTTTTTTTGAGACAGAGTCTTGCTCTGTCATGCAGGCTGGAGTGCAGTGGCATGATCTGGGCTCACTGCAACTTCCACCTCCTGGGTTCAAGCAATCCTCCCACCTCAGCCTCCTGAGTAGCTGGGACCACAGGCACGTGACACCATGCCTGGCTAATTTTTGTATTTTTTTTTTTCTAATTTTTGTATTTTTAGTAGAGTTTCGCCATGTTGGCCAAGCTGGTCTCAAACTTCTGATCTTAAGTGATCCACTCGCTTTAGCCTCCCAAAATGTCGGGATTACAGGTGTGAGCCACCATGCCCAGCCCATTATGTCACATGTTTTTGTATGCCTTATAGCTTTTCTGTCCCTCATTTCTTGCATTACTGTCCTTTTTGTATTTTGGGGGAGTAAAATGTTTAAATTCCTTTCTCATTTCTTTCTGTGTATATTCTCTAGCTATTTTCTTCGTGGTTACCATTAGGATTACATTTAACATGATAATCTTGTGTTAGTACTCTAACACAGGATTGAATTTACAGCAGCTTAACTTCAATAACATACAAAAACTCTGCTTCATTACATACAACACTGTGTTCACCTCTTTTCGTTGTAGATGTCACAAAATTACATATCTTTATACATTGTGTGCCCCTAAACATAAACTAATGAAGTGGCCTCCTTGTCTGGGGTAAATACCTGGGTGGGGTTCGTCATCTCACGCTGAGAAGATTAACAACACTGTCACGCACTCATGATGTGGGTTAAGGAGTGGAAAGTTTAATAGGCAGGAGAAAGGAGAGAGGAGAGCAGGTCTGTCTTTTGTGAGAGAGAGGTGTCCAAAAGGGAAAAGGTGGCCTGCGGCAGAATGCAGCAGATTTTTATAGGCAGGCTTGAGGAGGCAGTGTCTGATTTACATAGGGCTCACAGATTGGTTCAACCAGGTGTGACATTTACATAGCATGTGGGGAAGGCTGGTTGCCCCACCCTAATCTTATTATGTAAATGGACTTTCCACTTGGACAGTGCCATCTTGTCTGCTCCTTACTGTACACGTTGCTGGCAAAGAGAAGAGAAGACGACCCACCATTTTGATCATGCCTAGTCACAGGTAGCCTTTTTTTTATTGGCACAACTGCCGGCATTCACCCGTGCAAGCTTCTAGCTTGGTTTTCTATGTCTGCAGCTCGATTTTACAGGCTGCTCTTTGTTAGAAAAGAAAATGATTTGGGGGCTGCTTTTCATTAAAAGGAAAACCTTACTGAGGACTCCCGTACCCTCACTATCTGCCTAAGTACCTTTTTCTTTCTTTTTTTTTTTTTGAGATGGAGTCTCCCTTTGTCGCCCAGGCTGGAGTGCAGTGGTGGGATCTCAGCTCACTGCAAGCTGCGCCTCCTGGGTTCATGACATTCTCCTGCCTCAGCCTCCCGAGTAGGTGGGACTACAGGCGCCCGCCACCTCGCCTGGTTAATTTTTTTTTTTTGTATTTTTAGTAGAGACGGGTTTCGCCGTGTTAGCCAGGATGGTCTGGATCTCCTGACCTCGTGATCCGCCCACCTCGGCCTCCCAAAGTGCTGGGATTACAGGTGTGAGCCACCGCGCCCGGCCTAGTACCTTTGTCTTAATTCCTGTATCACTAATATTTTAAAAATACATTAGTCTCCTAAATTATACAGAAAACAAAATACAGAGTTGCAAACCAAAGTTAAAATAATACTGGGTTTTACGCTAATAATTGTTTTTTTTAATGTAGCCATCTCTCACATCATATAAAAAATAAAAAGTGGCATTACAAACCTTAGTTGCAATAATGCTAGCTTTTATAATTGTCCATGTATTTACCTTTACTGTTATCTTTATTTTTTTCATATGGCATCAAGTTATTTTCTGGTGTCCTTTTATTTCACCCTGTGGGACTTCCTTGAGCATTTCTTGAAGGGCAGATTCAGTGGTAACAAACTCTCTCAGCTTTTGTTTATCTGGGAATGTCTTAATTTTTCCCTCACTTTTTTTTTTTTTTTTTTTTTGAGATGGAGTTTTGCTCTTGTCGCCCAGGCTGGAGTGCAGTGGCGCAATCTCAGCTCACTGCAACCTCTGCCTCCCAGGTTCAAGCAATTCTCCTGCCTCAGCCTCCAGAGTAGCTGGGATTACAGGCACCCACCACCCAGCTAATTTTTGTATTTTTAGTAGAGATGGGATTTCACCATGTTGGCCAGGCTGGTCTCGAACTCCTGACTTCATGATCCGCCCGCCTTGGCCTCCCAAAGTGCTGGGAAATTTTTCCCTCACTTTTGAGGGACAGTTTTTCTGGATATAGAATTCTTGATTGATTTTTTTTTTCTTTTAGCAATAAATTCTTTCTTTTTTTTTTTCCCCGAGACAAAGTCTTGCTCTGTCACCCAGGCTGGAGTGCAGTGGTGCGATCTCAGTCCACTGTAACCTCCACCTCCCGAGTTCAAACAATTCTCGTGCCTCAGCCTCCTGAGTAGCTGGGATTACAGGCACGTGCCACGCCTGGCTAATTTTTTTGTATTTTTAGTAGAGACGGGGTTGTACCATGTTGGCCAGGCTGGTCTTGAACTCCTGACTTTGTGATCCACCTTGGGCTCCCAAAGTGCTGGGATTACAGGCATGAGCCACCACGTTTTAGCAATATATTCTTGAATATATTGGCCCACTGCTTTCTGGCCTCCAGAGTTTTTGATGAAAACTCTGCTGTTAATTTATTGGTGGTCATTTGTATGTGAAGATTGCTTCTTTCTTGCTGCTTTCAAGATTCTCTCTTTGTCTTTCTAAAGTTGATTGTAATGTGTCTTGATATGCATATCTTTGAGTTCATTTTATTTGGAGTTTGTTAAGCTTCTTGAATCTTTATATTCATCAAATTTGAATCTTTATATTCATCAATTTTGGGAAGCTTTCAGTCATTATTTCTTCAAATATTCTCTCTGCCCCTCTGACACTCCCACAATGCATATGTTGGTCTGCTCCGTGGTGTCCCAGAGGCCCCTTAGACTCTGTTTGTTTTGTTGTCTTTTTTATTTTTGTTCCTTAGACTCAATAATTAACATTGTCCTATCTTCAGGTTCACTACTTTTTTCTTCTAGCTGCTCAAATCCAACTTTGAATACTTCTAGTGAGTATATTTTATTTTGATTATTGTACTTTTCAGCTCCAGAATTTTTTCTTGTTTCTTTTTAGGGTTTTCATCTCTTTGTTGATATTTCCAATTTGTTTATACATTGTTTTCTTCACTTTCTCCACATCTTCCTTTAGTTCTTTGAGCATCTTAAGACTTTTTTTTAAGTCTTTGTCTAGTAGATCTGCCATCACGTCTTTTTCAGGGACATTTTCTGTTGATTTATTTTTTCTTTTGAATGTGACACACTTTTCTGTTTCTTTGTATGCCTTATGAATTTTTGTTGGAAATTGGACATATGCATCTAAGATGGTAACTCCAGAAAGCCAATTCTTCACCTTCCCCAGGACTTGCTGTTTTTTGTATTTGTTTTTATTTTTCAATTTTTATTTTTTGAGTAGTGCAGGTTGTCTCTGTGCCAAGGATGAGCCTGAGGTATAGAGTTAAGGTCTCCTCAGGTCTTTTTTTTTTTCTGAGATGCAGTCTCACTCTGTCACCCAGGCTGGAGTGCAGTAACGCAATCTTGGCTCACTGCAACCTCTGTCTCCCAGGTTCAAGCTATCCTCCCACCTCAGCTTCCCAAGTAGCTGGGATTACAAGCATGCACCACCACACGTGGCCAATTTTCCTCAGATCTTTTTTAAAACTTTCCCTGGGCAGGCTCAGTCACTTTCTAATTTGCTCCATATACGTAGTCATTTTTTAATGTCCTAGTCTTTAATGTCTGGCTCCCAAAAGGAGAAAAAGCAAAAATGAAAGGAGGGAATAAAAAGGTCACCAGCCCTTTAAATCTCCAGGAGTCACTTCAACCAGAGGGCAAGAGGCTTGAAACAAATGGGGAAAGTTGCAACAAAAATGGCTTTCCCTGCTTTGTTTATACCTCTGTGATAAGAAGCGGGAATGAGAGATCAGGGCATGGATCCCCCATAATCAGAGGACAAAGTCCTCTTTGCCTACCCTGGCTCCCACAAGCTGTTTGTAAGCTGCTGCAGGAACATGTGCACCGCTGTCTGCCATATGGCTGAGTGGTGGTGGATGAGTAACTGCTGCTGTGCTAAGAGCTGAAATGAACTAAAATTAACCACAATTTACCATCCTTGCCTTCTTCTGGATGTTGCAGCCCTTATTAGACTCCGGAGTCCCATAATAGTTACATCAGACGGATTCCGCCAGCACAATTTTTGTCTAGGTGAGAAGCCATATTCCCGGTGCTTCCTACTCTGCCATCTTCCCAGAATCCTCTCCACCCAATTTTGACAATTTTGCTAGTATTCTCATTATTTTTATGGAAGATTATATTTCAGAGGTCCTTACTTCACCTTTCCAAAAAGGACAATTCCAGCATAACTTTCACAGTGTATTTAGAATTAATATTTTACCACTTTCAGTGGACTGTAGAAAGCTTCCTGCCTTATAGATCCCTTCACCCTTCCCCATTTATGTAGTAGTTATCATATGTGTTACATTTACACACACTGGCAACTTTATCAGACAATGTTATATGTTTTGCTTTTAATCATCAGGTATATTTGTAAGAGCTTAAAAGGAGAAAAATAGCCTATTATATATCTACCTAGCTATTTACCACTTTTATTGCTTTTCCTTCATTCCTGACATTTCCAGTTTTACTCTGCTATCATTTCTTTTCAGGCTGAATAACTTCCTTTAGGCTTTATTTTACAAAGTGTGGCTGGTGATGAATTCTCTTAGTTTTTCTTCATCTGAGAATCTCTTTAGTTTGCTTTCATTCTTGAAGGATATTTCTACTGGATATAGAATTCCACGTTGACTGTTCTTTTCTTTCTGGACTTGAAATGTTTCGTGTCACTACTTTTTTGGCCTCCATGGTTTCTGATGTAAGATCCATAGTCATTCTAATTGTTTTTCCCCTAAATGTGATACATAGTTTTGTCAACCTAAGCAACAGAGACAGAGAGAGAGAGAGAGAGAGAGAGAGAGAGAGAGAGAGAGAGAGAGAGAGAGAAACTCTCTAAAAAAGACGCTGTGTTTATTCAGGAATAAGCATTGCAATGGGAGTACAGCTGCCACAGTAAATAATGTGTGTATTCAGACAGGTAAAGGAAGACCAAAAATTTTTTAGGAAAAATGAGGAGGATTACATAAATGTTTTGAGACAATTATCCTTCACTACAAGGATCCTTAATAACAAGGGTGGTGTCATTGCAAGTTTGGACAGGCAGTTAGGCAGATGGTCCTTGCAGAAGTATGTTGTGTTGTTGTTGTTAGGTTGTGACGACTTTTGTGGAAGATTGTGATTTTTGCAGAGCCTTTTGTGATAGTTGTTGTTATCAGGCATTTATGCATGAGAACCCTCCCTTCGTGGGTTCCCTGGCTCTGTTTGTCAGAGTTTTGTTTTTTTGTTTTGTTTTGTTTTTTTGAGATGGAGTCTCACTCTGTCACCCAGACTGGAGTGCAGTGGTGTGATCTCTGCTTACTCCAACCTCCACCTCCCGGATTCAAGCGATTCTCCTGCCTCAGCCTCCTGAGTAGCTGGGATTACAGATGTGTGCCACTGCGCCTGGCTAATTTTTGTATTTTTAGTAGAGACGGCGTTTCACCATGTTGGCCAGGCATGTCTTGAGCTCCCAACCTCAGGTAATCCACCTGCCTTGGCCTCCCAAAGTGCTGGGATTACAGGCATGAGCCACTGTGCCTGGCCTGTCAGAGTTTTAAACATGAGTGACTCCATTTTGATTTTGACAACTTTCTCTGGCTGTTTTTAACATAGTTTATTTGGCTTTAGTTTCCAGCAGTTTGGTTATGATGCATTTGGAAGTGGATTTCTTTGGGCATTTACTGTTTGGGAAATTCTGAGCTTTTTGAGTCTGTAAATTCATGCCTTTTGCCATTGTTTGGAAGTGTTTAACCATTATTTCTTCAAATATTTTTTAGCGCCAAATATTTTTTTCTACCTCCTTTTCTTTGTAGGGACTCTGATGACATAAGTATTGGATCGTCTGGTATTGTTCCCTGGGTCCCTGAGGCTGTATTCACTTTTTTTTCCCATTTGTTTTTCACGTTTGATACTTTTCATTGATCTATCTTCAAGTTTAGTGGCTTCCTCCACCCCCATCATCATCATTCTGCTATTGAACCTATCTAGTGAAATTTTTGTTTTTGTTACTGTACTTTTTAATTCTAAAATTTCCATTCGGTTCTTTCTGCAGAGACTCACTATCTTTCTATTCATTTTTTAAGAGTCTTACTCCTGTGTTTTAGGTTATGGTTATAATGGCTATTCTTTAAATTATGGTAAAAAACACAACATAAAATTTACCATCTTAACCATTTTTAAGTGTTGTTGAAAGAAAAACTTTACATAAATAAAGTTTAGCAGAGATTATTTGAGAAAAGAATCAATTCATGAATTGGGAAGCCTCCCAAACCAGTAAAGTTTCAGAGAGCTTTACCTACCAATGGAGGCATGCAGTATTTATAGATAGAAAAAGGAAGTGACATACAAAAATAATCTGATTGGTTACAGTTTGGCATTTGCCTTATTTGGACATGTTTTGGCAGTTTGCATCCCCATGACTGACTGAAAGTTTACCTGCTATGATTAGCCCAGACTCAGATACTTGTTACAAGAATATACTCTCGGGAGGCCAAGGCAGGTGGATCACGAAGTCAGGAGTTCAAGACCAGCCTGGCCAATATGGTAAAACCCAGTCTCTACTAAAAATACATAAATTAGCCAGGCGTGGTGGCATGTGCCTATAGTCCCAGCTACTTGGGAGGCTGAGGCAGGAGAATTGCTTGAACCCGGGAGGTGGAGGTTGCAGTGAGCTGAGATTGTGCCACTGCACTCCAGCCTGGATGACAGATCAAGACTCTGTCTCAAAAAATAATAAAAAAAAAAAAAGAATATACTCTCAAGTTAGGTTACAGTTTGTTTACATATTATTAGATTATGTTATGTATGGAGGCAGATTTAAGCCAAATGTAATTTAACAGTGTACAGTTCAGCAGTGTTAACTATATTCGCATTGTTGTGCAAAATATGTGCATTTTCGGTTGCCTTTTAGTACAAGTTGGGAGAAAACGAAGGGGAAAAAAATTGGGAAACTCACTCTTGATTTGACAGTTCTTTGACTTCTGGTTTCCTTTCTCCATATTCCTGCCATTTACTTTATACTTTACCATTTACTTTTCAGAATCCTCAGATAGTTGTTCCATGCATTCTGTCTAAGGTTTTAAATTACATTCAGTGGGAGAAACAGAATGAAATGTGCTGTTTCCATTTTGACAGGAATTGGAAATTTCTGTTTTTCTTTTTATTCTTGGGTATTTTATATATATATGTGTGTGTGTGTATATATATATATAAGAGATAAGTCATTTGTCAGATATATGTATTGTGAATCTTTTCCTCTCATTCTGTGGTTTGATTATTCAATGTCTTAATGGTGTCTTTTGTTGAGTAGAAGCCTTTTATTTTGATGAACTCCATTTTATCATTATTTTTCTTTCGATTAATGCTCCCTGGGTCCCATGTAAAAAAAAATCTTTGTCTACCCTAAGTCTGCAAAAATATTTTCCTGTGTTTTCTGTTAAAAGCTTTATCATTTTAGATTTTATGCTTAGGTCTATGATGTATCTTAATTTGCATTTGGCATAAAGTAAGAATCAAAGTGGGCCGAGCACGTTGGCTCACGCCTGTAATCCCAGTCCTTTGGGAGGCTGAGGTGGGCGGATCACGAGGTCAGGAGATCAAGACCATCCTGGCTAACACGGTGAAACCCCATCTCTATTAAAAATACAAAAAATTAGCCGGGCGTGGTGGCGGGCGCCTGTAGTCCCAGCTACTCGGCAGGCTGAGGCAGGAGAATGGCGTGAACCTGGAGGTGGTGCTTGCAGTGAGCGGAGATTGTGCCACTGCACTCCAGCCTGGGTGACAGAGCAAGACTCCGTCTCAAAAAAAAAAAAAAAAAAAAAAAGATTCAAAGTTCGTGTTTCCCTATATATTTATCTGTTTTTTCCAGCACTATTCATTGGGTATACTCATATACATTAAAAAATAAAATTTAACTTTAACTTGACTATATTTTGAATGCATTCTCTCATTATTTAATGCTTTACATAAAAATTAAATCATTAAATTTGCTAAATATGTTAACTTTTTCAATATAACTCATTTCCTATACCTTATTTTATACCCTTCAAATTATTATTTTGAGAATGGGTCCATAAGCTCTACAAGATTACCAAAAGTGTTCATGTCATAATGCATGCTAAGAAGCCTCAGTGAGGTGGAAAGAAGGACACTAAACTTTAGAACATAGAGAACTAGGTAAATACCTGTTTGCTGCTTCCTAGCTCTGTAATCTTGAACATATCACTCAACCTTCATTCATATTCCACACTTCCACAGATTCAGTAAATATCTATTGAGCACTGACCACCAGCCTCTGTTAAATCTTGTGAATTTAATACAGACAGACAATCTTTCCTGTACAGAGTTTACAGCTGAGTCGGGGAGGCAGATGAGTCCACAGGCCATTATACAACACCGTGGTAAGTGCTTTGATAGTGGAAGGACAGAGTGCTTTAGGAGCTCAGAGGTGGGTCTCCCAACCTAGATTTGTGACATCAGGAAATATTTCGAGATAGGGACACTAAAGTGACTCCTGAGGGATAAATGGACATTAGCCCAGCAAAGAGGAGAAGCATGATCCAGGCAGGGGGCTGAACTCTTAAGAGACATGGCATGTTTTGTTTTGTTGTGTTCTGTTTTTGAGATGGAGTCTGGCTCTGTCGCCCAGGCTGGAGTGCAGTGGTGCAATCTCTGCTCACTGCAACCTCTGCTTCCCAGGTTCAAGCGATTTTCCTGACTTACCCTACTGAGTAGCTGGGACTATAGGTGCGCACCACCACACCCAGCTACTTTTTTTGTATCTTCAGTAGAGACGGGATTTCACCATGTTGGCCAGGCTGGTCTCGAACTCCTGACCTCAGGTGATCCATCCGCCTCAGCCTCCCCACGTGCTGGGATTACAGGTGTGAGCCACCGCGCCCGGCGGAGACACGGCATATTTGATAAACTGAGAAGAGTCAGCATGGGGAGAACTAAGGGATAGCAGTACAAGGCATACCTGAAGAAGGGGTCATGCTGGAGGGTCTCAGAGGCCATTTTAAGGACATTAGCTTTATTCTAAGAGCAATGGGACATCATTGATGGATTTTAATCATTGTTGGGTTGTGACAGGATCAGGTTTAATTAATCAATTTTAAATTCCCTTCTTTTCACAGGTGTTGAAAATTATAAAAATCACTTTGGTTTTGTGAAGAACGCATTAGAGGGATCACAACTGGAGACAGTCACGGGAGTTTGGAGTTACTGGAGAAATTCTGCCGAGAGGGGGTAAGTGCATGAATTGTGGCAATGGGGATGGGGGTGAATGGATGGATTTGAAAGACAATTAGGAGGTAAGCGCAATTAAGTGTATGAGAAACTTTGGGGTATGAAGAAGAGGGAGATTCCTCAGATTTCTAGCTGGACCAACAGGATGGATGGCAGCGCCCTTCACCAGGAAAAAAGTGAGCTGATGGAAGAACATAAGGTGAAATTTGAATTCATGGGGTTTGAGGTGACTGAGTGAGGATGTCCAACAGACGTTTGGCCATATTGGCCTGAAAATCAGAAGAGAGGTTTGAGATGGAGAGCCAACTGTGCCCATATGGTAAGATGCTACAGGCGGCATTCCTTCTGTCCTCCCGTCCTTCGTTCAAAATCTGTTGAGATGTCCCATAGGCTGGATGTTGGGGATACAGCAGGGAACAAGAACACTGCGTTCGCTCAACCAGTTTACCATCTACCTCTCTGAACTTGTTCTTAGTCTGTAAAATGAAGATAATGATAAGATTAAGTAAGATGAGGTCGTGTGAGGGCACCTAGCACTTACAATTTTTGTATTGGTTTCTCTTCCTCAGAGCCAAAGGAGGAGATAGTTACTTTTGCTTTTGCAGCCTTTTCCGGGCGGCTTTTCCGCGCAGGCGCCCCTGGACCTCCCAGGTTGAGAGGTGGAGCGGGCCAAACCTCAGCTGCCTTTCCCGGGGCCGGGACCCGGCCGGGGGAGGACCGAGGCGCGGCGCTGTCCGTGACGTCATCAGGCTGCGCTGCCCGCAGTACTGGACCCGAGCGCGACGGTGCGGCTGGCGGACCCGGGCTGGCTTGTGGGGAAACGAAACTGAGGGAGGAGGCGGCGGCTCTGGCAGCGGCGGCGACAGTGTCGGCCTGACCCCCCCTCCGCTCCCCGGCAGCTCGCTCTCTCCCCTCAGCGTGAGTGCCGACGCGCGGCCCGGGGGGAGCAAGCGGGCGGGCGCGCGGGCTCAGCATCCTTCTCCCCTCCACCGCCGCCTGGGCCCCCCGCCCGCGGTTATGGGTCTCCTCGCCTTCTGGCCCCTTATGTCTTCCCTCCTCCTCCCACCCCCAACGCCGGCTCCCTGGAGCCCGAGCTGCCGCTGACACACGTCTCTGCGCACACATTCACACGCTCATGTTATCTTCAAATGAAGGGACTGGCCGGGAGACATGGGAGCTTATCTCTTCTCTCTGTGATTAGGGGTGGCAGTGCCAAACCGAGGCCCAGGGAGAGAAGACTGCAGAGGGGATTTGAACCCCTTCTGTGCGGAAGCAGCAGGTAGAACCAGGCCGCTTGCCTTCCGCTTAGAAGTTCCCTGCCAGAGCATTCTGCTGGCATGTGTGGGTCACTTGAGCAGGGCACTGGTTAGCTGTGTGGCCTTCACCTCTGTGGCCGCAGTCTTTTCCCGTGGAAGATGATAGGGTTGGATGAGATGATTTGGAAGGCCCAAATCTAAGGTGATGTGGTTTGGGGAGGAGCATCCGCCTCTCCTGCCTTTCACACAGCTGTTCAACAGTCCGCTTTGAGTTTGCTGTACTTCCAGTCTCCCCCCGAGTCACTTAAGAATTAAAAGCTTTTAGCGCTTGCAATGGCTAGAAGCAAGCTCTGTGATGAGCCTTCCTTTATCTCACCCTGGGGGCCTTTTGGGGGTATTTAAGACTACGGCTTAAAGTGAAATGTGGCTTAGCTTGGTCTTGCTTTCTGTTTGCTCAGTGTCTCCGGTTCTTCCCTGGGACAGCCCCTGCCTGTATCTAGTAAGAGGCTGCTTTCTCAGGAAGGTGGCGGTTGTGCATTGGGTTGATTGGCTCTTCCTTGAGTTGGAGAGAACTGAAACATGTGATCCAGGGTTTTACGAGGTTGGGAGCATCAGTGACACTTTTGGGTTTCAATACTTTCTTGCTGTACCTCGCCTTCCCTAAGGATTGTTTCCCAGCTTGTCGCCCACCCTGTATTGAGTCCTCTTTTCTGAGTTCTCTACAGCCAATCAGTTGTGTGTAAGCCACACTGTATTCACTACTTCTCTTGCTTGCTCTTTAACTTGATAATTCGTTAAGATTTCAGGGTTTCATAATCACTTCATTCCATCTTATTTTTTTCTCGTGCTTATCTCTCATGTACCTAACCATGGGGATGGATGATTGATGGTGGCATGGTGCCTGTTTCTTTCTTTTTTGTTTTTTTGAGACGGAGTCTTGCTCTGTCGCCCAGGGTGGAGTGCAGTGGTGTGATCTCGGCTCACTGCAACCTCCGCCTCAGCAATTCAAGCGGTTCTCCTGAGTAGCTGGGACTACAGGCATGTGCCACCACCCGGCTAATTTTTGTGTTTTTTTTACTAGAGATGGGGTTTCACCATGTTGGCCAGGCTGGTCTTGAACTCCTGACCTCAGGTGATCCGCCCACCTCTTTCTCCCAAAGTGCTGGGATTACAGGCGTGAGCCACCGCGCCCAGCTGGTTTCCACTCTTTTTTGTGGAGGTGGATTTCTGTCCTTAAAATTGTTGTTTTCGTAACTGAGTTCTGTGGTATAGCTACCTCCAGTCCCAATAACTTTCCCGCTCTTGTGTTTCCTCGGTCTTAAGTCATTTCACTGCTTCCATTCCCTACTCTGCTTAAAAACTTTCCCAATTCTTTCATGTTTTCAAACATTATGAAGTAAACCAAAACCAGTATTTTTATGATATTATGTAATTTCTTAATTGTTTTGGTAAAATAATGCTGATGAAACAGTCATTCTGGGATGGTCCCTTCACCTTGGGAATATTGGTTAATATTTATTCGGTTTTATAGTTCATTTTCAGTGTACATTGTCATGCATGGCCAATATTGCATCAAAAGTGTAGAATAACTACAGGTACCAAGGCTTTATCCCCCAGTGGCTTGTGGAGTTGATCCATGACTTTCTGTTATCTGACACCAGTGGCCCAGGGCTCTCTCAGTCTGTGAGCACCACATTTTCCAGTAAAACAGCTATTATTGAAAACCAACACTTGTCTAGCATCCTTCCTAGACCTCATTCTGAGGAAGAGGCTATTCAAGTGCTGGCACTGGAAGATGTGTAGAATTGCCAAATCTCATCCCATTGATGATTTACACTTTGGAATCCCTGCTGTGATCCCAGTGGCTGTGACCCAAGGGCAGCTGACTGACTGGATTTATGGTTACAGTTAACGATGAAGAGGAGAACTGACCCAGAATGCACTGCCCCCATCAAGAAACAGAAAAAAAGAGTTGCAGAGCTTGCCCTGAGCCTCAGCTCCACGTCCGATGATGAACCTCCCTCCTCTGTCAGTCATGGAGCAAAAGGTACGTGTGCTTGTGTGGTCTGAGGCCACTGGCCATCTGGTTATTTGAACACACAGTGTCTAATCTAGGTGGAGCAGACTATAGTCCACTGCCCCTTGGTCCCTTGAGGAAAATTAGGAATACTCTACAGAGAGATGTTGGCTATAGACTCTTTTCCCTTCTGCCATTCTCCTACTAAGAGTGGGGAAACTTGTTTTAAATAAAAAATGGTAATTTTTCCAGAAGTTGCTTTCTGTTGGTTGTCCTTCAGTAGGTGGCACTCTTGCTGCCTTAAACCAGTTAGAAGTAGTGGTGAGCATTGAGTGCTGTGTGCCCTTAATAGCTGTTAATTATCCTGGGGCTCTTTTGTAAGGGAGGGCCTCTTTGCTGCGGCCGTCGAGCCTAATTTTCACTTTTTTTGCATGCATACCGTTTTCTCAATTCCTTCAGCGGTTGTGGTCAGAAGTATCCAACTACTGGAGCATTGCTGCGTTCACTGTTTGCATTAAGCGTCGAAGATTTCACTAATCTGGTTGAAACTAGCATTTTGCTTTGCCTGTCTTTTAGGGTTATTCACAGTTTCCATAGATGCTTTCTGAGGAATGGTAAAATGTCTGGGAGCTTGCCTCAAATACCTCAAGGTAAATTTGCATTTACCTTGACTTGCCAGCTGTATTAGTTTCTTAGGGCTACTGTAACAAATTACTACAAACTGGGTGACCCAAAACAACAGACATTTATTCTCTCACAGCTCTGGAGGCTAGTAGTCCAAAATCAAAGTGTTGGTGGGGCCATGTTCCCTCAAAGGCTCTTGGGAAGACCTTCCTTACCACTTCTAGCTTCTGCTGGCTGCTAGCATTCCTTGGTGTTCCTTGGCTTGTGGTAGCATAACTCCAATCTCTGCCTCTACCTTTCCTCTGTGTGTGTCTGTATCCAAATTTCCCTCTTCTTATAAGGACATCGGTCATTGGATAGGGCCCACTGTAATCTAGTATTACATTTGATGTAATCTGGAAAGACCCTATTTCCAAATTAGGTCACATTTACAGGCTTTGGGGAGGATACCATATTCAACCCAGCACACCAGCAGGCTTGCATATTGGATCCTCTGTTGGATCACTGGGAAACTGGAATGAAATTTCATAACAGATTGGTGACTGAAAGGGTGTGAAGCACCCTTTGAAGGTAGTAGGAAATACAGTTTATTCACAAGTGATAAGCTTATTGAAGGGCAGTTACTCATCAGCTGCTACTGAGAAGCTGGTCCAGAGAGAAGCTTGACAGGTGGTACAGCGAATGGAGCATCGGTGTCGCTGTAGTCCAGGCTAGATAAGAGAGTCAGTTGCAGCTTTGTATGTGGAGGTGTTCACGCCTTTAAAGCAAGCTTGTCCAACCTGTGGCCCAGGATTGCTTTGAATGGGACCCAACATAAATTTGTAAACTTTCTTAAAACATTATGAGATTTTTGGGGGATTTTTTTTTTTTTTTTAAAGCTCATCAGCTGGCCAGGCGCGGTGGCTCACAGTTGTAATCCCGGCACTTTGGGAGGCTAAGGTGGGCGGATCACGAGGTCAGGAGATCGAGACCATCCTGGCTAACACAGTGAAACCCCATCTCTACTAAAAAACAGAAAAAAGTAGCCGGGCGTGGTGGCAGGCGCCTGTACTCCCAGCTACTCGGGAGGCTGAGGCAGGAGAATGGCGTGAACCCGGGAGGCAGAGCTTGCAGTGAGCCGAGATTGTGCCACTGCACTACACGGAGCAAGAGTCCGTCTCAAAAAAAAAAAAAAAAAGCTCATCAGCTGTTGTTAGTGTATTTTATGTGTGGCCCAAGACAATTCTTCCAGTGTGGCCCAAGGACGCCAAAAGATTGGACACCTCTGCTTCAAAGTCACAGTAGATTCCAGGGTAGGTAGGAATTGAAGTTCCTGAGTAAGAAGGCAAAAACTTACTGCACGCGATGGTTCTGGAGATTCTTGAGGAAAGGGAATTTTACCTCTCACCTGGAATTTGAGCAGCTTGGTGAAGATAGAATCTCCTTGGGTAGGGGTATTGGGAGAGATGGCTTGTAAGGGAAAAAGAGAGAGTATGTCTGGGGAACAAGTGATATCTGGTTCTAAGTGGATCTTGGGGGACATTTGCTCTCAAGTAACATCTCTTTGAAGTAAGGAAAGGACAAGTCCCAGGTAAAAGAAGGTAAGTGTATAAGGGTAAGGATCCTTCAAGGAAACCGTTCTGATTTAAATTTCAAGCTTTTGTGACTGAATTGAGATTACTCTTCCCCCTTCTCTGGAAGTGGTACTATATGACTCAGTCAGGATTGACTATTGCTGTTGTGTGTGTAGAATGGAAATCCAGGCTGGGCATGGCGGCTTATGCCTGTAATTCTAATACTTTCGGAGGTCAAGGTGGGCGGATTGCTTGAGCCCAGGAGTTTGAGACCAGCCTGGGGAACATGGTGAAAACCCACCTCTGCAAAAAATACAGATATTAGCTGGGCATGGTGGCATGCACCTGTAGACCCAGCTACTCGGGAGACTGAGGTGGGAGGATCACTTGAGCCTAGGAGGTAGAGGTTGCACTGAGCCAAGATTATGCCACTGCACTCCAGCCTGGGCATCAGAACAAGACCCTATCTCAAAAAGAAAAAAAAAAGAATGGAAATCCAGAGGTGTCCAGTTCCTTGTATGTGTCTGGCAAGAGGCCACTTCGTCCTTTCATTTGCAGAAAATGAGATGGGAGGCAGAGGCAAACCAACATTTCTAGATTTCCCTAGGTTAATTTATTTTAGGAAGGGGCAGCTCTGCATTGACACAGAAACTGAGGGCAGTATCTTTATCAGCAAGACTGCTCCCTGTGCCTTCTTTCCCACCATGCCTAGCCTGGAGCAAAAGCTCAGTAAATAGTTACTGAATAGAACTGATAAAAGGCAACAATAGTATCTTTTCCAAGAAGCTTAAAATGCGTCACAGTTTTCATTTTGCCTGTCTCCTCCAGTCTGCAGAAGATCATTTCATTAAGTACTTAGCATTTATATCACCTATGTTCTGTATCTAATTCTCTTAGGTGTCCCCCGGACAGTATACCCTGGTGGTTTGCTGTCTACATATCCCCTGAAATGTATATGCAGCTTTCCTATTCAAATCATTCTATTAAAGCAGAGGTGTTTCCATTTACTGCAGCCACTTCTACCTGAACATAATGTTCAGGTAGATGATTGAAAAATGCTCTTTAGGGAGGACAATTAGAAAAACAAAACAGTAGTTACTATTTCTGTCTGTGTGGACCTTATTTTTTCCTCCTCTGCTAAATCAATGTAATGACTCATTATTAGATCTATTTAGTTTAATCAGTGTGTTTATTTTACATTATTCACATGGTAGCTGCATTGCCAGGTCAAAGACTGACATCTGGCCAGAGTAAAGAAGAAAAGGGATGTTGTTGTCATGGCCACTGTTGCATCGTGATCTTTTGAGTATTTTCAAAGGAGTTTGAAGGTATTTTCAAGTGTAAATACATTCTTACAAATTTGCTGTCAAATAACTTTTTGAAGTAAGGAGAGGCAGATGAGGTCATTTTGTTCTCTTTGGTTGTTTTTCACGGGAAAACTATGGTCTAGACCCTAAGAAAATTCCTTCTCTCCTTAGCTGTGCATCTGGTGTAGGCTCCTAGCCCTGCTGCAGCCAGTTGCTTTGGAAGTTGCCAGGCTCCTTCACCAGTATCACATTAAAGGCGCCTTCCTCTCCACCAGGTTTAATTCTTTCCTAAATAGGCTATTTGCCCTGAAACACCATCGCTTTCCTGTCAGCCCAGATTCATGACCTTAATCAAAAGCTTCCTTTATCGGTATCTGTTTAAATTGCTCTAACAAGTTACCATTTGTCTGGCATGAAGGAGAAATTGAGTCTTTAAGTAGGAATGAGTTTATTTCACCACAGTCGTTAAGCAGGATGTGATGTTTATTAAAATTCATAATTTATTTTTCTGTATCTGTGTGCTGCCCACCTTGGCCATTAGCGGTTGGAGCTGCCCCTCTTTGTTGTCACTGTCATTTTTTAAACATAGTATATGTATTCTTTTTCTTTTTTTAGTGACAGGGTTTCACTATGTTGCCCACACTGGCCATGAACTCTTGAGCTCAGGTGATCTTCCTACCTCAGCCTCCCAAGTAGCTGGGACTACAGGCACATGCCACTGTGCCCAGCTTGTCACTGCCAATTTTAATCTTGGCATGTTTGTCCCATTGCTGTATTGCCATGTGAAAAATTTTGCCAACAGCCAGGAGACCTCTGTTTCCTCTGTAAAGTTGAATCTTTCTTCCTTGTAATGACTTAATAGTGATTTCTATCAAGTGGAGAAGAAATCTTAAAACCGTACATACTGTTTTGGGCTCTCTGGTAGGTTTTAGGAGGGGAGCTCCCCAGGAGGTAAATGGGAATGCCATCCAGCTTTGGCAAATTCTTATTGAAACTAATGAGTTTAATAGACTGACCTTATTACTCCTATTTACAACCTCATTACAAAATTATCTGCTCAATGTTTGCTAAATTCTTTATCGGTCTTGAGAAGCTAAGCCTCCTGTTTAGTTCCTGCTGCAGCCGTGACAATTGTCTCCCTTTCATATGAAAAGAGTAGCCTCAAAGGCCCCTGAGTAAGAATAAGTAGTGGCTGTGGCAGTCTGTGGACATCAGGAATAATCTAGGGAACTTTGGCTTAAAGCATGTCAAGCTAAGAAGTGGTCTCCTATACCACGTGAATAAAAGAAAAAAATAAGACTTATTTGCTTATCTAGCACACTTCTTGATCTTACAAGGAATTGCCTAGTAGGGTGATATTTTACTCCCATTAACCTCACTCTTAGAACCTGGAAAGGATAATGTACATTAGGTAACACCTTGGGAGGAAGAGTAGGAGGGAAAAATCTTTGTGCCAAAGTCTGGTACTGGAATTTTACACCAGAGTCACCACTGATTTGCTTAGTGAGCCTTCCACTCAAATTTGGTTCTCCCTGTCATTTTTGCCCAGAGATATTCTGAAGACAGAAGGAAACAAAAGATCTCTCTTTGAGATCTTAGGGTGGCAGGAACCCTGTGTGCCCAGGAATGTTATTTGTACTATCTCCGTGCTCATTGTTGGGCCCTCAGGCAAATCTAACAGCCTGGCAACTCTTTAGAGCTGGAGCAAGGGCATACCCTCCTTTGAGAAGGATACCGGGTTTTCAGACTTTTTCATAGGTAGACCTATGAATGTCCAGATTGCTGGTGAAAGGAGTAGCAACTGATTTAGCATTGTAGCTTGTGATTAGTCAGGGCCCTGGATCCCTGGGCTGCCCAAGAGGAACTTTAGGGCTCTGCTTAGGGAGCTGCCCACATTCCTGGTACCACCTGTTTCTGTATTAAGTAGTACAGGTTGAAGGCATGAAAGCAACTGAGTGAAGAGAATCCATACCTTTGGAAGTGCAGTTCTTTAGCATGTGGGCACTCTGTTGCAGAGTGCATCTCTCTCCTCTGCATGGGAGAATAGATGAGAGGCCCTAGAACGGTCTTGAGCCATTTAGAAGGCCTTTCCCCTCAGATTTGCTGCTCTTGGAAGATTTCTCTGGAAAGGAACCAACCTCTTCCCAAGGCTTGGAGTGTTAATCTATTTATTTATAGCTTTTTTTACCCTAATTTTCTTTTTCTTTTTTTTTTTGAGACAGAGTTTAGCTCTTGTTGCCCAGGCTGGAGTGCAATGGCTCGATCTCGGCTCACCGCAATCTCCACCTCCTGGGTTCAAGTGAATCTCCTACCTCAGCCTCCCGAGTAGCTGAGATTATAGGCATGTGCCACCACGCCTGGCTAATTTTGTATTTTTAGTAGAGACAGGGTTTCTCCATTTGGGTCAGGCTGGTCTTGAACTCCTGACCTCAGGTGATCCGCCCGCCTCGCCTCCCAAATGTTGGGATTACAGGTGTGAGCTACCGTGCCTGGACCTTGATTTTCAAACTAATACATTCTTGTGTCTCACAAATGCAGAAAATGCAGGAAAATGCAAAACAAAAGAAATATCAGTTCACCTCTCAGTTTCCATGGTTACTCATTCTTAGTGGTCTGGGTTTTCTGAGTGGCACTCTCTGGCACTCTGTGACGTTTGCCAGATTGGTTCATGTAAGCAAGTCAACTCGATTAAGAGAATTGGACAGCCACCATAAAGGGAAGGGCAGATTTTGTGCCTCTCATACAGGGACATTCTCAACCAAAATTTATCCTTGCTAACTTATTAGAAGCCAGAATTTTGGTTTTAAGTTTATTCTTTCACACATGTTCACCTGTCTTTTCTTTCTTTTGTAAAATGTTGTATCCTTGAAAATGCATATTAACCTTATCTATTAGATTTTTAAGCTCTCTAAGGGTTGTTACTTTTGCACAGTACCCCATTATATGTAGCATGATCTTTTATAGAATAGGTGCTGAACCAGTATAGTAGTCTGATCTTTTAAACGGTATCAGTGTTCTGAACTATGACAGATGTCCTAATTCAACCTACTGGTGGGGAAGCTAAATCATAGCCCAGGAGGGCTCCGTTCTCTGTTAAGATATAGAGATCCCATTCTCATCCTTAAACTTCTGAGGCCTGAACAGCTTGCACTATTTGTAAGAGGAAATGTCTCAAGGAGTCATATACTCTGTAGGTCCTTAGGAAAGTGATACTTGGCTGACACATCTTTACATTTACTACAGTAATCATTTAATTAATTTCTATTAAATGGAAAGCCTCAGTCCAGGTGTTGGGTACAGACTGTGACATAGTTCCTGCTCTCCAGGAGTGACCCTGTCCAATGGGGACAGCAAGTGGCAAACAATAACTGGCTCTAAGGCAATGTGATGAGTGCTGTGCCAATGACACTGGTGTTACTGGAGCACAGTGGAAGGGATAATCAGTTAGGCCTGGAGTGCTGGGGAAAGCTTTGTTCTTCTTGAATGTCAACCCTTAGCAGGTTTTGGTTCTGGTAGGGAAATGGATGGATCACTTAAGATTGGCTTCAGAATTATAATGTATTCTTCAAGTTAGAAATACCTGAATAGTGACCACCTCGGGTCTATTAAAAAATGTTTTACACACTGCCGTCTGTGACTTTCCTTCAGTACTTCTCACAAGCAGCCAAGTTTTGAATCAACACCCTTTCTGAGTGGTGTCCCTTCTTCTTCAAAGGAATTATGCCACATTGCTAAGTCAATATTTTCATATTTATTTTAAATTTTAATAGATAATATATTCACATGGTTCATAAGTCAAAAAATATAAAAAGATAGCCAGTGTAAACTTTCGTGGTATAAAAATGTAAATCAAGTTTCACTTTTGCTTTCACTAGTTCCAAGTAATTGTTTTGGTATTCTGTCTCCAAATGCTAACCCCTGAATGTGTGAATAATCACTTTTATTGGTCTTCTTGTATATCGTTCCTTCCAAAAGCTCTTTTTGCAATTATAAGAAATAAAAATGTTAGCCTTATAATGGAATCGTTGAAAATGGAATCAGGCATCAGTGTTTGGATATTGATGTTCTAATAATAACCACCAGCAGCAGAAATAACAATCATATCTTCAGTAAATACACTTTATATTTGACAATGTACTTTCTTTTTTTTTTTTTGAGATGGAGTCTCACTCTTTTTGCCCAGACTGGCATGCAGTGGCGCAATTTCGGCTCACTGCAACTTCTGCCTCCCGGGTTCAAGCAATTCTCCTGCCTCAGCCTCCCAAGTAGCTTGGATTACAGGCACGCACTACCACACCCAGCTAATTTTTGTATTTTTATTAGAGATAGGGTTTCACCATGTTGGCCAGGCTGATCTTGAACTCCTGACCTCAAGTGATCCGCCCACCTCAGCGTCCTCCTGGAGTACTGGGATTACGCGTGAGCCACCATGCCCAGCCAACAATGCATTTTCAAATACGTTATTTCATTTAATCTTTAAACAATCCTGTGAGGCAGGTATTACTATCTCAGTTTTATAGTGGAGGAAATTGAAAGGGTGGGGAAGGAAAACTGTTATTTTTGAGCTCCCATTGTGTCAAGTCCATTAGGAACTTTCAGTAGTGACTTGCCCAAGATTACCTAGCTAGTAAGAGGTAGAAAATAGATTTGACCTTGGGTCATTTAATGAACTTTATATGTGCATTGTGTATACTGAACAGTAGTTGAATAAATGAAACTTGGATGTCTGGAGGCTATTTTGTGCCATAAACCTACCTAAACATTTTCCTTTTTCTTTTTCAGCATCTACTACAAGCCTTAGTGGGTCTGATAGTGAGACCGAGGGGAAACAACACAGCTCTGACTCTTTTGACGATGCATTCAAAGCAGACTCTCTTGTGGAAGGAACTTCTTCTCGCTATTCCATGTATAATAGCGTCTCCCAGAAGCTTATGGTATGTCAGCGCTTGGGTTGGGTTTCTCAAGCCCCACCAGCAGAGTGAAAGAAGGGCAATTTGTATTTGTATGAAAAGAAGAAAAGTTTGGCCATAGGTTTTTCCTTTGCTTTTCAGCTACTGAAATTTAGCAGAGTGTGACCCACTTCTTGATAGAAGTATCTATCACATTTGTATCATCTATAGGCAGCAACTGCTTAGGCCTGTTTCTGCTGTTCTATCTGGACTGGATCACCTTTTCATATCCATAGTAATGAATTCTTATTACTAACATGTGTGACTATACTTCCCTAAACATGGATGTCTGTCAGTGGGTAAAGAAGCTTCATGCTGTGAATTTTTGCTCTAGTGAGTGGTGTCAAAAGAAACGACTAAAATCCTGTTCACTCCCAGATGCCTAAAATAAATGGAAGTATTCCATTTATTCTTTTTCTGAAAGAAGGCCCAATTATCTTTCCTAACTTTTATACCTAATTGATGTATCACAAGAAGAATGGTGACTAGGAAGACCTGCTCATATTCCTTAGTGTATGTGCAAACATTAGAGAGATCCAAGTTTACCTTCTGTCTTGCTTTAGAAATATTATAGTTGGGCCAGGCGCAGTGGCTCACGTCTGTAATCCCAGCACTTTGGGAGGCTGAGGCAGGTGGCTCACTTGAGGTCAGGAGTTCAAGACCAGCCTGGCCAACATGGTGAAACCCCGTCTCTACTAAAAATACAAAAAATTATCCAGGCATGGTGGCAGGTGCCTGTAATCCCAGCTCCTCAGGAGGCTGAGTCAGGAGAATCGCTTGAACCTGAGAGGTGGAGCTTGCAGTGAGCTGAGATCACGCCACTGCACTCCAGCCTAATTAACAAAGTGAGACTCTGTCTCAAAAAATAAAAAAAAAGAAAGAAATATTATAGTTGACCCCTCCATTTTCTCTTAGATTCATTTAAGAATGAGAATTGTCACTGCTAAAGCCATAGGTCAGGATTCTAGTTTGCAGGCTATAAGATTTGGGGAAGTTAAAGATGGGAAGGCTTGTGACTCAGTCAGCCTGTTTGACCTGGGAGAAGTATTTGTGGCTACCATAGGAATTCCATCCAGCTCTTTAGCTGGTAATACCCCTTTCAGAGGGAATATAGACCCTCCAGGGAAATTTAGATCTTCTTAGGATTGCAGTTTTTTTTGTATTAGGCAGGAGTCTGTGGGGTTTGGGATTCAAGTCTCTAATCTTTGGGTATATACCTGGGCCCAGTAACTCTAAAGTTTAGTGAGAACTTACAGATAGTTGTGGCATTTAAAAAACTGTTTCTGTCCCAGAGTATTATAGTCCTCCCATACCTCACCTTTTTTTTTTTTTTTTTTTTTTGAGATGGAGTCTTGCTCTGTCGCCCAGGCTGGAGTGCAGTGGTGTGATCTCGGCTCACTGCAAGCTTCACCTCCTGGGTTCATGCCATTGTCCTGCCTCAGCCTCCTGAGTAGCTGGGACTACAGGTGCCTGCCACCATGCCTGGCTAATTTTTTTGTATTTTTGGTAGAGACAGGGTTTGTTTCACCGTGTTAGCCAGGATGGTCTCTATCTCCTGACCTCGTGATCCGCCCTTCTCGGCCTCCCAAAGTGCTGGGATTACAGACTTGAGCCACCGCGCCCGGTCCCATACCTCACTTTTACATGAGGCAAGTTTTTAATCTCTTAAGTGGGCTCCTGCCAAGCCACTTATCCTTGCCTAGTAAGGCTGTTTGACTGGATAAGGGTAAGGTAGAAGTTACAGCTTGAAGCGGTTCCATTTTAAATTATGTTCTCTTTATCAAGTCTACTCTAGGTCTGCTTCTCACTTAATCAGACAAATTAGCAAATGTCCAATGAGAGATTCATGAAGTACTCTGGGTGCTTTTAATTAGGCTATGAGGTCCCTTCTCATTTATCCAATTTCTGGTTGCCCTAGACTTTAACCTCCAGAACAGCCAGCCACTGGGCCCACAGTTATACTGCAGTTATTTATTTATGCTTCTTTTCTTCATTAGGCTAAGACAAACTTTAGACTTTAATCATCTATTTTTCTTAGGATTTAGCACACTGTTTGGCATGTGATGGGGCTAAATAAATGTCTGTTGAACCTAATTAATTGTGCTCCACTACTTCTCTTTTTCAGGCCAAGATGGGCTTCAGGGAAGGTGAAGGATTGGGTAAATACAGCCAGGGTCGGAAGGACATCGTTGAGGCTTCCAGTCAGAAAGGTCGAAGAGGCTTGGGTCTGACACTCCGGGGCTTTGACCAGGAGCTGAACGTGGACTGGCGAGATGAGCCAGAGGTAAGTGTTAAAGTGAGGAGGAGATGGAAAAGCCACTTGTGTTTTTGGATGCATGGCTTTAAGAAGCCATATCAACAAACTAGAAATCTCCAGAGGCAGTATGAGCAAAGTGGAATTAGTTTTTTACGTGGAAAGTACTGGGGATATCCAGAATGGAAAACAGAAGGCTGGGGGAGATATGGTGGGATGTGGATTTCCTGTTGCATTATAGGACTGTCTAAGACCAACGGGTAGAAGATGCTTGAAAGGCAGAGTTTGGCTCCATAAAAACTTTAATAAATAGTTACAGCTCTCCACTAGTGGACTAGGATACCTTGTGAGGCAGTGTGCTCTCTGCTGAAAGTGTTCAGGCAGGCCAAGGGAGCACCCACTCTCTCACTGTGTGAGTAACTGGAGTAGGTGCCTTCTAAGAAGATCCTTGTACTTCCCCAGGTTTGTGCCATCCAGGTTCTAAATAGGTGCTTTTTTATGCCACATTGCTTTTCTACTGTGGGTTTAGTCTGCTTACTAGGGTACCAGTTTGTTTTCACCCTGAAGACCAAAGGAAACTCTCATTATCCCTTTTCATGGCACAGACAATGTGAGATTTTATTTTATTCATTTATTTATGTCCTATCTTATTCCGTAAAGGATCTGTAGTGGGTACAATAAAAACACCTAAAAATAACATTGAGATATTACCATTACAGAGTTGAAACTAGAGAAAATGGAACTCAAACATCTAGCTTTCTGCATAGTTGCTGTAGTTCAGCTTCAGATGTGGCTCTGAACTCTGGAAAATTGATATTTTATTTGTCTCCCTAATGTTCCAGTTCAGGAAAGAAGTCCCGTGAATCTGCATGTGATAAAAGCCTAATAAGTCTTCTGAGTAAGATTCTGACGAGTGAGGGGCTCATGGGTTCTGGGGCCGGTCTCGCTGTTGCCTTGTAGTTGTGGGCGTTGAGACCAGCAGACTGGCAATGCGGAACAGGGTAGATACCTGCTGCTGGTTGCTGGTTGTGGGCTTTCATCTCAGAAGTACCTGATGGTTTCTATGTCTTCATTCGTGTTAAAACAAGAGTCCACATCCTTTCAGTGGGGCAGAAGTTGAACTAACTTCACTAAACTCAAAATCTGAAATCACCCTATAGGCCGGGCATGGTGGCTTACGCCTATAATCCCAGCACTTTGGGAGGCCGAGGCGGGTGGATCACCTGAGGTCAGGAGTTCAAGACCAGCCTGACCAACATGACGAAACCCCATCTCTGCTAAAAATACAAAAACTAGCCAGGTGTGGGACTCACACCTGTAATTCCAGCTGCTAGAGAGGCTAAGGCAGGAGAATCACTTGAACCTGGGAAGCAGAGGTTGCAGTGAGCAGAGATCGTGCCACTGCACTCTAGCCTTCCAGCCTGGGCAACAGACTGAGACTTTGTCTCAAAAAAAAAAAAAAGCCCTATAAGTAAGTAAACGTTTGTAAGTAAAAGTTAGGTCAAGTGGGGCCAGGCATGGTGGCTCACGCCTGTAACCCCAGCACTTTGGGAGGCCAAGGCAGGTGGATCTCAAGGTCAGGAGATCAAGACCATCTTGGCTAACACGGTGAAATCCCGTCTCTACTAAAAAATACAAAAAATTAGCCGGGCATGGTGGCGGGCACCTGTAGTCCCAGCTACTCGGGAGGCTGAGGCAGGAGAATGGCATGAACCTGGGAGGCGGAGCTTGCAGTGAGCTGAGATTGCGCCCCTGCACTCCAGCCTGGGCAACAGTGAGAGATTCCGTCTCAAAAAAAAAAAAAAAAAAAAGAGGTCAAGTGTCAGTTGGCAGCCACTTCTTTACAGTAGGTGAGTCTGGGTGTCCAGGGGTGGATATCCAATCATGGGGTTACCACGGATAAATGCTCAGTGGCTACTGCAGCCTAGGAATGTGGAGGACAGAGTATGACCCTCTGGATAAAGTCCACTCTGTAGGTAGTTATAATAATCAGACTTCCATAGGGACATTGAGTCTGCTTTTTCTTTCCAAGTTTATATGAGCTTCTTGTTCTCTAGAGTTTATAATTTATAACCAACTCTATCACCTTTATGCTTAAACATGATAGATTTGACCAGGAGAAGAAGCCATGATTCACTGCCAGATTCATGGACAAAAGGCTTCAGTAATTTTTCTTTTCAACTTTGTCTCTGTTGATGCTGGTTGGCTTGCCCTCAAGACCTTGCATTGTGATACCATTTTATGCCTTTCAGAGCATGTAATATTACTTTTAATCACATTGCTTCAATTTGCAATGGTGAATCTCTTCTCCACACTTGCTTGGGAGCCAATATGTGAAGCTGCCATGCAGGTTAGCCACCTGTTTAGGTTTTATAATCCATGTTTCTCTATCCTGGTGGCACTTAGCGCTGCCTGCACAGTAGAATCATCTGGGGACTTCTGAAAACTTATCCCCAGGCCTCACTTCAGACCAGCAGAATCTTATATTCTGGAGATGGGTCTCAGGCATCAGTACTATTTTTTATTTTTTATTTTATTTGAGACAAGGTCTTGCGCTGTTGCCCAGGCTGGAATGCAGTGGCACAAACACAGTTAACTGCAACTTTGAAATCCTGGGCGCAAGATATCCTCTCACCTCAGCCTTCTGAGTATCTACAACTACAGGCCTGTGCCACCATGCCTGGCTAATTTTTTAGACTTTTTTTTAGTAGAGACAGAGTCTTGCTGTGTTGCCCAGACTGGTCTTAAACTCCTGGCCTCAAGCAGTCCTTCTACCTTGGCCTCCCAAAGCATTGGAATTACAGGTGTGAGCTACTGGGCCCAGCTCCAGGCATCAGTACTATTTTATGTTTTGTTATGTTATGTTATGTTATGTTATGTTATGTTATGTTATGTTATTTTGTTTTCAAGACGGAGTTTTGTTCTGTCACCCAGGCTGGAGTGCAGTGGCGCAATCTCGGCTCACTGCAACCTCTACCTTCCGGATTCAAGGGATTCTCCCGCCTCAGCCTCCCAAGTAGCTGGGTTTACAGATGTGCACTGCCATGCCCAGCTAATTTTTGTATTTTTAGTAGAGACGGGGTTTCACCATGTTGGCCAGGCTGGTCTTGAACGCCTGACCTCAAGTGATCTGCCCACCTCAGCCTCCCAAAGTGCTGGGATTACAGGCGTGAGCCACCACACCCAGCTGCATCAGTACTCTTTAGAAGCACTGCAGATGATCCTAATGCACCGTTTTGGCCTGATAGGAAAGTAATTGAAAAATTAAGAGGAAGCACCCATTAGAGATGTCAGTTTTTGTTCTCCCTTAGAATGAATGGGCTAGGAATCCTGTTTACCAGTTTCTGGATTGTTTTTTGAGTAACACTTTGAAAGGAATCAGGAGATGAGACTCATTGCCATTAAGTCTTTCTGATATACTTATCTTGTCATAGACCTACATTGTATGCGATAACTGCCTGTTTACTTCTGTGTCTCCACTGCTCTGATTGCAAACCCCTTTTGCCAAGGGCCATGTCTTATTTAACTCTGCATTCTGAGTGCTTAACACATAGTAGGTATTCATTAAATAATAATGGAACAAATGAAAGAAACCTTAGGTTTGAGAAGTTTCTAAGGATTCTAACCAGAATTGGAGCTGGCTTTAGAAGTTAAACTTTAGAATTCTGGCTCTCACGTCTCATGTCTGACCACTGCATTTGGCTTCAGCAACCTGCACCCTTCTCGGTCTGTCTCAGTCCCTTTTGATTGTTTTGGGGAAGTCCTGATGAGTTGGGGTTTAGCTTTGAGGGTGTGTCATATCTGTCTTACTAGCCTCTCTTTTGTTTGCAGCCCAGTGCTTGTGAGCAGGTGTCATGGTTTCCAGAATGTACCACTGAAATTCCTGACACTCAGGAAATGAGCGATTGGATGGTGGTGGGAAAGGTAGGCTTTCAGGAAAACGTACCCTGACTTCTTGGCATTCTCTTGACTTTTCACTTGCTCGAGTCTGGTATTTACATACACTTGCAGTTTAAGAAAAATGTGAATCTGACCATTCATGTTGGTAGGAATAAAACTGTGTCAAGAGGGAGTGTCATGAGCTTTACAAGTATGCCCCTTGGAGATATGACAGGGTTTTTTCTTTTCTCTAAGTTATTTAAATTGTAAGGCAGATAAAATGTATAACCTCTGTCTTCTTCATGGATGCCTTTTGAAGTGGCTTATCATACATATCTGTGTATTCTGATCACTGCTAGATGAAAAGACATTGTCCCTGCCCTCAGAAAGTAATGAGGGAATTGTTACAGAGGGAATTTGTTTAATCTTCTTCTGGAAAATTGTGAGAATAAAGTAGATGGCTACCAAATCAATATGGTCTAGAGGGCAGTTCTCAAAGTGTATGTGCTCCCGGGGATCTCTAAGACCCCTTCAGGGGGTCCACAAGGGCAAAGCTATTTTCATAATGATATTGAAAAGTTATTTGCACTTTTCACCCTCATTCTCTCACAAGTGTTCAGTGGAGTTTTCCAGAGGCTATGATGTGATATTACAACAGATTGAATGAAAAAGCAAAGAGGAAAATCTGGCCTTCTGTTAAGACAGATGCTGAAGAAATTTGCAAAAATGGAAAACAGTACCACTCTCCTCACTCATTTTTTTTTTGGAAATGTTATTTTTCTGAAAATATATTTCTGAAAAATATTTATGTTAACATTAGCCTTTTAAACTGAATTTAAAAATATTTTTAAAATCTGTTTTGATTTTTAATAATATAATTATTTGAATTCTAGATAATAGATTACCTGTCTATTATCTATCCCGCATAAACAAAAATTCTTCAGGATCCTCAATAATTTTTATGAGTGTAAAACCTGAGACCAAAGAGATTGAGTTTTACTGGTTTAGAGGTGGCTTCACTCATTTTGGGGTTGCACTTGATATCCCTGTGAGACCCCTTAGCGTCCCTGTTTTCTGAAATGCTACCAGGTCAGTGCCTGGTATCATGTATTTCTACTCATCACAGAGAGGCTTCCTGGTGGAAGGACAAGCTTTTGTCATTTGAGGCATTCCCCATCCTTCTGCCTCCATGCTCCAGGGTTAGACAGCTTGAATGTCTCCTTCCTGTTTGGTGTTCCCAGCCTCAGCATTCATGAGTCTTGTGTCCATATGGTGCTCTACTCAGAGCTCCTGGGGTGGGGGTGAGGGGGTGCTTCATCTCACAGCCATCTGGAGAATAGCCAGAGGGATTTAGGATTTTCTCTTTCCCACCCTTCAGGGATTGATGTTTCTTGGCAGAGAACCAAGTCCCTTCTTGCTCTACTTACTTGGAACCCTAATTTCTTCATTCATCCCCGACAATTGCAGTCACACGTGGTCATTACTTACTGCTTTTTTCTCCCTGTAGAGAAAGATGATTATTGAAGATGAAACAGAGTTTTGTGGGGAAGAGCTGCTTCACAGTGTGTTGCAGTGTAAGGTAAGGTCTTGTGGCTAGAACCAGATAATGAAAACCTTGTGGGAGGTGATTTGCTGGACTTTTCCATTTCTCCTTTGAGTGGGTTGTGGGAAGCTAAAGTTAAGATTTTTGCTGGAGATCAGATGCATAGCTTGGTTCATATCTGCAAATTGTCTTTTTCCTGGGTGACTGTTCTGCCCTGTGGGTGTTGTGCTGTCCCTGTGGTCAGCAGCCAAGAAAGGATCTGCCTAATCTCAGTGGGTCTGTTCATTGTAATCCTGAGAGGGCCTGGTGTAGTAAAAGGTTTGGAGTCATTCCTTAGCATCAGATAGACCAGGATTCAAATCCAAGATCTGCAACTCTTTGCTGTGTGACCTTGGCCCGGTGGTTTTACTCTCTCTGAGTTTGAGTTTCCTCATCTATAAAATGAGGAGAAAATACTCTTTTCTCAGGGTTGTTGTGAGAGCTAAATGAAATAGTGGGTGTGAAGTACCTGGGTAAATGTTAGCCTCCCCTTGACACTTTTTGTCTTAATTGAGAATCACATTGTGTGTGGGCAGAATGAGCCAGGGAAACTCTGAGGAGGAAATGGGTTGGTGAAAAAGGCAGGCCTCAGAGTAGCCTCACAGATTTTATTTTTTGGCAGGCATAGGGTTGGGAATATCCATAAGGTGACTGGAGCTCAGGTAATGTGAGGATTTCTTTATCTAGAGAGGAAATTGGTCAGGGGAGTTTGAGAGAAGGGATTGCTACTGTGTGGTAGGTGCCATCAGAAAACCCTAGTCTTGTTTATTTGTTTCTCCTCTCTCTAAGTGAGGTCTAGTCAGGTAAGCCTTCATACCAGAACTTTGATCCCTTGGAGAGTAGCTGCTGGTATGGGATGGAGAAACAGATTTACTATGAGGATTAGCAATGCCCAGAGGTGGCTCTGTGTGTAGCAGCGGGTGCCGTTTTTTAAACACTTGCCATGTGCCAGGCACCTGTTTACATTTTTTTTTTTTAACCAATTTACCGGCAAGGTAGTTGAGAGAGTTATTGAGCAGCCTGTGTAGGGTCACACAGTGAGACATTTCAGAGCTGAGATGCCACAGGAATCTTGTTCCTTGGAGGGCTGTGAGTTGGGCACTGCAGGGTCTTAAGGTCCCTTTCCTATCCTGGAATTCACCTTGAGGTTCTGATTCTCTGGGCAGAGCGTGTTTGATGTCTTGGATGGGGAAGAGATGCGGCGAGCTCGGACTCGGGCCAATCCCTATGAGATGATCCGAGGAGTCTTCTTTCTAAACAGGTTTGCTGACATTTCCCTCCCCTCCCCTGATGCTCCCTGCTCTACCTTTTCAATTGAGCCTAGTACATCTAGTACTTTTCTGTCTTGCTTTATTGCAGGGCAGCAATGAAGATGGCTAACATGGATTTTGTATTTGATCGCATGTTCACAAATCCGCGGGACTCTTATGGGGTGAGAACAAGATTCTGCTTCTGAATTCATGGTGCTAAGAGGGCTTAAGTTTCAGTGGCTCAGCCATTGCCATTTGTTCAATGCTAGGAGAGTATTCTGACTGTGTGATGGAGATACTTTGCTTTGAGCTCCTCAGATAGGGTCCCACAGTGCTTCTGTGGTCCCAGGAGTGAAGCAGTTGTCTTCAGGGCTTCAGTCCTGGAATCCGAGCCACTAACCCTACAGAAGGTAGAGTGGAAGGGTGAATACTGTTTTTATATAGCAAGCTTATTTTCCAAATTGAAACTTGGTGACATCACCTGATTTGGGTGCTGTTTCTGGTAATGAGAGGGGAATATGGTTTGAGTGTTGGATGAAATGTGGGCATTTCAGTGGGCATTTTCATTGATCTATTTAAAATCAGTGTTGTATCTGAAAATCTAGCCTGTGTTGTTGGAATGTGGTGAGGAGGGACATGACATAGCATTTATGAAGCAGGATGGATTACTTAAGTTTATACCTTCTTTGGGCCTCAGCTCCCTCATTCTGAAATGAGCCGTACTAACCTGCCAGAGGGCTAGGGTAGAACCAAAAGGCTCTTAAGATTTGTCCCAGCACTAAGACTGTAATTTTAGACTGGGCCACTTTCCTTCTCTGCCTCTCTGAACAAGCTTTGCGTGGGATCATAATTATAAGGCTTTGGCCCTTTTCAAGAAGTGGTAAAGCAAAGTGAGTTTCTACTCTGCTGCATCTCATTTCTCTGAACATAGACTCGCCATAGTGATAGAGAAAGAAAAAAAGGAAATTTCATTCTAGAATTCCCTTCAGGGTTTCAAAGCATTTTTACCCGGTCCTAGAAAGTTACTTTTCTTTGACAGTGATAGGGCCAGGAGCCAGCTATCCCCAAACCTGTTTCTGCTTCACTCACCCTCATTCCACTAGACCCCCTGATTATCCACTGGCTAAAGAAACTTGTTTTCCAAGTTCTTTAATGTTTCAGCTCCACCTACCTAACTGCTTCCTCCTTGCTGGCAAAACTGGCATGTAGCCCCTCCAGCCATTACTCATTTTTCACTCCCAGGTCTCCCTTCCCATTCTCCAGTACCAGCAGGCAGCACAAAAGGGCTCTTGGAATTAGCATCTTGAGAAAATTAGGTTGATATAATGTTGATTTAATTTTCTGAGCTCCAAATGATTTCCTTTAAACCCCTGCCTGGCAGAGGAGCTCTGTCAAGCTGATGGGAAGTCACAGTGTCTTTTTTGGCTTTTGTATACAAATGCCTCCAGCAGCTGGTATCTGGTTATTGCCTTTTGCTGTCATGAAAATGAAGTAGGCACCAGGGTTGTACCATTCAGGTTGAGGGTAGAGGTGTTAGTTACATAGGAAAAGGCAGCCGTGTTTGTAATGCTTCAGGCAGCTTCTTGACCTGAATTGATTGTTAGTGGCCACGGAGAATTGCCCTTTCAGAGATGTTTCTCTATGCTTCACTATAAAAAAAGTGATTTCTCTCGAGCCCCTGGTGTTTTATTTTCTCTTTTCATTTCCGTTTTCCCCTGAGGACCAGAGTTACAGCCAAGCCCCACAGGCTTGGTGTGGTTTTCAGGCCAGCAGAGACACTAGAGCAGTCCCCAGCAGAAGAGGGAGTGGCTGAAGGCCCAGGCACACACCCATGTTTGCTAGGGTCATAATGGCTCTTGGATCAGGCAAATTATAGACTAAGAGCAGGAGAATTTGAAGCTTGGAATGTGAAGATGTTAAGAGGTGATGACAAGTGATGGAGAGAGCAGACTGAAGTTTTTTTTTTTTTTCGAGACGGAGTTTCGCTGTTGTTGCCCAGGCTGGAGTGCGATGGCGCGATCTCAGCTCACCTCAACCTCCGCCTCTCGGGTTCACGTGATTCTCCTGCCTCAGCCTCCCAAGTACTGGGATTACAGGCATGTGCCACCATGTCTGGCTAATTTTGTATTTTTAGTGGAGACGGGGTTTCTCCACGTCAGGCTGGTATTAAACTCCCGACCTAAGGTGATCCGCCTGCCTTGGCCTCCCAAAGTGTTGGGATTGCACGCGTGAGCTACCGCGCCCAGCCAACTCTGAAGTTTTTAAGTAGGTCTGTGGTGCTGCAGGTTATGGTAAAGGAGAAAGGGGGCAAGGGGAGGAAAATAAAGAAGCTATAAGCAAGAACTGGAAGAGACAAAGGACGGAGGGAAATTTAGATCCTTGGAGTATATGGAAGCATATTATAAACTGTTACATTATGTCAGGGGTTCGAGTGCCTGGGAATGTTGTTGAGACAAGAATACATTGTCTGTGAAGCATTGCAGAAGACAACTGAAGGTAGATCTCTAAGTTTCAGTCCTAGCTGAGGAAATTAGACATCATTTGTCTAATTTCCATTGAGTGTGCAGTGCTGCTGTACTCGCCACTGGAAAGAGAAAAACATGGAAAAGGATAAGAGTTTTGACTCTGAGGAAGTTGATCTGATTGAGTACAATATCATCTTGCATTAATTGTTTAATACTTTACAGTTTGTAAAGCTCTTCAATATAGGATACTTTATTTAGTCCTACAACGGCCTGGAGAAATACCTGTATCAGTCCCAATTTATAACTGAGCAAGCTCAAGCTTAATGACTTAAATTGTGTGCTTGTCCTTAACTGCACAGTCAGTAAGTAGCAGAGCTAAGAACGCCAGCTGTCCTTCCTGTGAAAAGACTTCCTGGCCATGACCTATAAGGGCCATACATCTTGAAATCACAGAACGAGGTCATATTCATGCCCCCTTTGCAGGGGTGAGGTGTTCGCATCGATCATTCCGCATCCTTCTCCCAGTCTTCCTTTGGACCAGTGGTTCACTTAGAGGGCACGGCCAGTGGCAAGGAACCTTGCTTTTCCCTCTTTGCAGTATGTGTAGGGCTAAAACTTGTGACCCCTGCCACATTACCACCATGCTGACTCGAAGATGCTACATAATGTTCTTGGCAAATACCATTAGGTCTTTTTTGTGTGCAAATGAATATAATCCAAAAAGATGAATAATCGATGGCTCAGGAACAAAGAATGCTGGGGCGGCTTAGTAAGGAAGTGGGGAAAGAACGATTAAGACCCAGCATGCCTGGAGTGGGCTTGTCACGGGATGATGACATTTATTTTTAGCTAAAGTCACTTTCTCCAGAGACTTTTTCACTATTTTGATAAAGCCAGATAGCTATCATCAGAAGAAAGGCCCACCTCACCTAGAAGTGATTGGGTTGTAAACATTAGTATGTCTATTTCTTTCTTGGGACTGTTTCCCCTAAAGCTTTCTGATCGTTATCTAGCAGCTGCAGAACTCTAGACCAGCACTCAGCCATGCCGAACCTGTAGAGAGGGAAGACTGAGGTCCCTAAGCCCCTTCTGGCTTGAGTGTTCATCATGGTCTGAGGCCAACTATAGTCTTTTGCAGTTACTCACTTGTAGAACTCAACCTTTTGTTGTTGTCACCAGTGCAAATGGTTCATCCTGTCTGCTGTGGAGGGTGGGTAGAATTTCACTGTCTAGGGCTCAGGTGTGGGTAAGAGCATACCTAGCATTTGTGTAAGAGAAGTATAAACATACAATATGGTCCAGTACTGGGTTCAGCATAAATGTGAGGTTAAGAGATAAAGCTAGGCTGGGCATGGTGACTTACACTTGTAATTCCAACACTGTGGGAGGCTGAAGTGGGAGGATTGCTTCAGTCCAGGAGTTTGAGGCCAGCCTGGGCAATACACCAAGATCCTGTCTCTAAAAAAAAAAAAAAATTTGTTGAGCGTGGTGGTGTGTGTCAGGGGTCCCAGCTACTCAGGAGGTTGAAGAAAGAGGATTGCCTGAGCTCAGGAGTTCAAGGTTTCAGTAAGCTATTATTGTACCACTGTACTCCAGCATGGGCTGAGTGAGACCTCGTTGCCAAAAAAAAAAAAAACAAAAAAACCTGGGGAGAGAGAGCGAAAGCTACTCAAGGGGCCACAAATGTAATTATGCCAAAATTCAAATGATGATTAGTCAGTCCTGAGTTGGCTGGGTGCTCCGAGCGTTGCCTGGAAGCTGCTGTTGCTGCACAACAGTATTTCCTTCCCTCTCTGTCTTGTCAGCTTCTGACTGTGCCCTGCCCCAACCCCACACCCAGCGCTGGGCAGGAGAAGAAAAAAGGGAGTGCAAAAAGGAGAGAGACCAAATGCAGTGTGGTGTCTTGGATTGGATCCCAAACAGAAAAAGAACATTAGTGAAAATCTAAATGAAGTCTAGAGTTTAGTTAATAGTAAGGTACAAATGTTGGTTTCTTAGTTTTGCCAAACATACCATGGTGTAAGGTGTTAACAAAATTGGAAACTGGGTGAGGGGTACTATCTTGGCAACTTTTCTGTAAATCAAAAATTATTCCAAAATAAAAAGTTATTTGGGATTTTTTAAAAGGTGGTTGGGAGAGCCAAGGAGGAAGGGGAGAAAGGAAGACAGAGGCTATGATGGGAAAAGGAAGGTTCCTGTGGCTGGGAGAGGGTGTTAGAGCCCCCCAGCCTTTGGTTGGACAGGAAGACCTGAGTCTAGTGGCTAGGCCAACTGGACCCTGATTTAGCTTTGTTGCAGACTGGCTGTGAACAGATTACTTTGTGACTTTGTATCTTGGTGCCTCTTTTTCCCTATCTGTATATGTGGGGCATATTCTGTTCAGTAGGACTCTTGAAAGGCAGGATATGGTGAGGAAAACACTCTGAGAGATAAAAAATGTAGTCAGATACCCATAAATGTTTTTTGTTGTTTTTGTTGAGACAGGGTCTCGGTCTGTCGCCCAGGCTCAAGTGCAGTGGCGCGATCTCAGCTCACTGCAACCTCTGCCTCCCGGGTTCAAGCAATTCTCATGCCTCAGCCTCCCGAGTAGCTGGGTTTACAGGTGTGCGCCACCACACCTGGCTAATTTTTTGTATTTTTAGTAGAGACAGGGTTTTACCACGTTGGCCAGGCTGGTCTCAAACCCCTGACCTCAGGCTATCTGCCTCTCTGGCCTCCCAAAGTGCTGGGATTACAGGCTTGAGCCACCGCGCCTGGCTCCATGAAGATGTTTTTATGAGGAGTCTGAGCTAGGCCTGGTGATGTGATAGGCATTGTGGGTATTTTGAGGGTGGGTGAGGCAACACTAAAGGGTGTTAATCACCAGAAGATACATTTCCTGGGTGCTGTAGCTCTGGTGGGAGCTCTGGATTGTACTTGCCGAAAGGCTTATTTTACTCTCCCTGCATTCTCCTTCCTGTTGCCCATTGAGCTGTCTTGTTTTCCTTCCTCTCCTGTCCTCCACTTGCCTTTGCAGAAGCCACTGGTGAAGGACCGGGAAGCTGAGCTTCTGTACTTTGCTGATGTCTGCGCAGGCCCAGGTGGCTTCTCAGAGTATGTGCTGTGGAGGAAGAAGTGGCATGCAAAGGGCTTTGGAATGACTTTGAAGGGCCCTAATGACTTCAAGCTGGAGGACTTCTACTCTGCTTCCAGTGAACTCTTCGAACCCTACTATGGTAGGGACATTGAGGAGGGTACTAGGAGGTATGAGGGACAGCCCCTCTATGGGGACTTCAGGTCAGAAGCAGTTGTTATCCACATGCCATATTTTCTTTCCTAGGTCTCTTACCCTGGGCTTCACAGTTCATGTCAGAATCTTGGTTCCCTCTGGACTATCCCTTTTTACCCTGGGCCTGCAGAATACAGGTCAAACACTCCCTCAGCAGATTCTCATCAAGGCCCTATTAATTCCTCCTTTCAGGAACACTCTGCTTTTGTGGTGGCAGGAGATAATGAAACTGCCTGATCTCTGGCTGAGAACTGGCAGGGTTTTTAACAAATATAAACCCAATGCCCATCTCTCGCCCTCTGTGCCAGGTGCAGAATGCACTGGGTTGCAGACAGCTCAGCAACCCACAGCAGTCCCTCTGTTCTATGTTGATTGTAATTTGACAGCAAATCCTAAGTCCTTTCTGAACAGTCCTTATTACAAAATTGATGCCTAAATGTAGGTGCCTTAAACACAACTTGGGTCTTAAAGAGAAAGTTCCACGAGTTGATGACTTTTGACTGGTCAACTCCTTTGGGACTGTGTTTCATTATAGCAGAGTACTGTTGTTCCTCCTGGTCCATCACTGTAAGGGAGCCTTGCAGGATGGGCCCTAGTTCTTGAGACACCTGATGCCCGTCTTCACTGACCCAGAGCACTCGTGTCCCAGCTCCTGACATGTATAGGGCAGATGAACTCACTATGACTCTTGTATTCTGACAGGTGAGGGTGGGATTGATGGAGATGGAGATATCACCCGCCCAGAGAACATCTCTGCTTTTCGGAATTTTGTCCTGGATAACACAGATCGCAAGGGTGTCCATTTTCTGATGGCTGATGGGGTAGGTTACCTTTTTTCCATAGACTGATGCATTAAGGATTTGTTATTTTAGAGGTTTGAGAATTGTTTGTTTTATCTGGTTCTTTAGCTGCTCCCAAAGATGGTATTTCACAGTTCAGATTGTAGAGAATGCATTTTTATTCTTTTTATACATTTTTTAAATGATAATTGTGTAGAGACTGATGTTGTGGATACCTTTGCCTGGAGCAGGGTGATCTTGGTGTTGCTCCTGGTGGAGGCTGTCTATACATGGTCACCTGTAAGCCTCTCATAGGCTGACAGATGGCCACCTAACCAAAGACGGCAGCACAGAGGAATCCACAGGAGGCTCTTGTCAGGGCTGGGTTAAAGTGAATGTTCAAGAGGCCTTGTCTATGGGCAGCTGCTTGAGGCACAGAGGGAAGCCCATTGCAGCTTTGTTCAGCAGAAGCTCTCACCCAGTAATCTGACAATGCAGGCATTCCTTTCTGGAGTGAGCCACCACTTACTCTAGAGGAAGGACAGACAATTTGGCAGCTGCTCCAGGATCATATAGCTAGAGTTGAGAAAAGCCTCTGGGACTCTTTGGGTGGCCTCTTAAGCAGTAGCTGTGTGGCTAGTGAAGGAAGGTGGGCAGGATGTCAGCATGATATCCAAAGATGCCTAGGCTCACCAAAGCACTGTGCACAGCAGGGAACAACAGATGACAGGCTTGGGGCTGGCTGTGAGGGAGGGGCTGCTCTGGCTGAGCAGATGTGGGAGTCTGATAGCGCTAATGAGGCAGCTGTTGCTGTGCGGCAGCTATAGAGTTGGAAGCTCAAGGGCTTTCTGCTTCAGCACTTCAGCAGTGTAAAGGGGTGACCTGGGCTTTTTTTTTTTTTAATTGACCCCATAATCAGGCATGCATTTTGAGAAGCATCTTTAAGTCTGGAAGACACTCCTAAACATTTCTTATCCTGAGTCCTTTAGCTATCACTTCTGTAGAACTGAGTCAGGGACACCTGGGGCGTGTTTAATAGAGGGCAGCGTCCTTTTTTCTTTATTTTATTGTAAAAAACACAAATTTGATCATCTTAATCATTTTTAAGTGTTAACAGTAGTGTTAAGTCTATTCACACTGTTGTGCAACAGATTTTCAGAAGTTTTCATTTTGCAAAACAGAAACTGTACCCATTTAACAACACTGTGCCACCTGATGTCCCCTGGCCTCCTTTACTTTTATGTAAGCCTGACTCTGTCTCCTGCTGGGATCTCACAAGGAGGGAGACCACTCTAGAAATAGCATCACACATTCTTTCAGTAAATACCCTGGCCAGAGAGTCTGCCAGCTGGATACAAGAGGCACCGTGGTCTTAGGACAGGAAAGGGGGTATTGTAAGTAAAACCTGAGTCAACAGAGAGAGATTACTGTGACTAGGAAAGTTAACTTTTCTCCTTCACCAGAGTGGGAAGCCGAAGCAGAGTGTTCTCACTGTACTCACTCCCTGGTCTTGTTAGGACTCACCAGAGCATTCTGTTTCCTATGTTGTGGTTGACCTCTGACTAGCCAATATTTTGCCTCTGTTCTGCCTTACTCTTCTCTGGATTCCCATGAGTTAAAACACATTCTAAACCATCTCCTTGGAAAAGCAGGCTTGGTTCCATCCCCTGAGAATGACAGAGCAGGAAAGTGGAGCTGGTCCAGTAGTAGGCCTGGGTCCTGTGCTTACTCCATCTAACAAGCCCAGTGACCTTCTAAAATAACTCAACACTGAGCTGCTTCTTCATCAATCAGATGGTGATCAGTGAAAACACTTCAAGAACTCTCGATGAAGATGAGGTAGTGATGTTATTCTTAGTCCTTCTCTTTTCTCTTTCCCACCCCATTCCTTGTGCTCTCATTTCAGGGTTTCTCGGTGGAGGGGCAGGAGAACCTGCAGGAGATCCTCAGCAAGCAGCTGCTTCTGTGTCAGTTCCTCATGGCGCTGTCCATTGTCCGGACAGGTGACACTTCCTCAGCTGTCTCCTCACCCCAGGACCCACTTAGAGGCCCTATTGGACAAGAACATGTACAAGGGGTTGGTGGGGAAGTTAAAAAAATCTGCTTATATTAGAGGACAGGTAGCTAAATGAGTAATTTAGGGAAGAAAGGGCTGTGGAATCCTCAAAGTCCCCTCCAAAGATGGTTCTCCCCCTTAAATTGTCTCTGAGTTTTAACAGACCCAGGTGCTGGTTTCCTTGACTTTGTCATATTTACTCCCAAGACTACTTCACCCATCTCTTGGAATAGACCCATTGGCTGCTTTTGGTGTTTTCTCTCTAATCTAGGAGGCCACTTCATCTGTAAAACCTTTGACCTGTTCACACCGTTTAGTGTGGGGCTTGTCTACCTGCTGTACTGCTGCTTTGAACGAGTTTGTCTCTTCAAGCCTATTACCAGCCGTCCTGCCAACTCAGAGAGGTGAAGCCTTTCTCTCTATATTAGCCAGATTAATTGGCTAAATGTCAGAACAGCAAATCATGGTGCATCTCTCTGGCATGACCTCTTAAGCTACGTTTAAAACCTTGACTTTAAAGAAGTGATGAGAGCCAACAGGATTCAGGATTCCTGGATCTTTTGGTCTTGTGATATGCCAGTTCAGCCTCTGCCTCCTTCTTCCAAGCCTTATGCTCCATGCTTATGTGAGGGATTCTCAGCTTGGCCAAGGAGAAAGTGACCAATAGTAGGGACACTTCAGGGGTCTTGGGCTGGGAAGGGGCAAGGAGCCGCTATCCAGAGGCACTACTGGGGTCCCAGTGTGACACTGCCCACACACAAGGTGAGAGAAAATGCAACCAATCAGAATTGCCCGGTGGCTTTGTTACAAACACATATTTCTGGGCCTTCTCCTGGGAGAGTTTGATTCATTAGGTCTATAATTTAACAGACTCCCCAGGTGATTGTGACACAGCCCGTCTGTCACAGGGAAGTTAGGAACTACTGCGATAGAGAGTAGAAATAGAGCTCAACAGAGAAGGATTTGAGGGGAACTTTAGCACCACAAAGGGTCTGTGTTGTTCTTTGTGCGTAGGCCTAAGGTTGAACAGGGAAGCCATTAAGCTTTGTGATTCCACAAGGGGTTGGGGGAAAAGGAATGTATGGGGAGGAAGCCCTTGCTCGGTGGAGTGACAGAGTATCTTCTGCCAGGTATGTGGTGTGCAAGGGCCTGAAGGTGGGCATAGATGATGTTCGGGATTACCTCTTCGCAGTGAATATTAAACTCAATCAGCTGCGGAACACGGATTCCGACGTCAACTTGGTGGTCCCCCTGGAGGTGATCAAGGGAGACCATGAATTTACTGACTACATGATACGGTCCAATGAGAGGTAAGCCAACGGGCTGGTTTTTGCTGGTAACACTGAGGTCCTAAGGAAGACCAGAGAGTGAAAGACTGAATGGTTGGCTCTTGGTATCACTTTGTCAACCCTGACAAATTGGCAACTGGGTTTGGTCTGCTGGTTTCAGGGCTCCCTGGGACTTTGGTTAGTTACCCTCAGGGACCCCCATCCTGCTGCCATGCCCTATCCCAAGGGTGGCAGGTAGGTGCCTGGCTAGTATAGGCCTGCCTGCAGGAGCCTGTGTATAACAGTGAAAGCTGACAGAGCAGCCTGTGTCCCTGGAGGCAGGAGTAATTTCCCTTTAATTGCTGCTGTTTGTAAAAGGCCATCATGCTTGTTGCCTGGTGAAGTCCCTGTTTGGAGGCAGGAGATGGATGGAAAGCATGTGTACAACATGCTTTGGAAGTGCCCAAACTTTTGCCATTTCTTCATGAGTTCCCCAGCTGGTGATCCAAATGCTGTTTTCTGTATCTTCTTTGTTTTCCCCACTCCCTGTTAGTGGTAATAATTTAAAGTTGTGACATTTGGCTTAGTTTTCTCAGTGGGCAGGCCTTTGAAAAAAGTGTTTGGAGATAGGCTGGAGGGTTGTATAGTAGTAGTGATTCAATAGAAAATGCTCTCTTAGGGGGCTAAACAGGTGTTGGAAAGGCCTTAGTTAAGGGTCCAACCTTAAGTCCCCCAGAGAAGTTTGAAGATAGAGGTGGCCCTGGAGAATCATAGAAGGGGAGGAAGTCTTTATCCTATTCTCTCCTATTTTTCCAGTATTGCCTGGTGTTTTAACTTTCCACAGTACTGCCATATAAGCGCCCTCATTTTGATAGCAATGGTAGGCACCAAGGTGGAGCAGACAGTAAACTTCAGCATGTTATAGATGAGGAAGCAAACAGGCCCAGCGACCCGCCTGGCTAGGGCTTTGTAACACTTCTGGGTTATGGAACATGTCTTTTGGCTGAACAAGTGTGCATAGATGCATGGCAGAACTGGAATTCTTTTCAGGGGTTCCAATAACACAGAGTGTTTAAGCAACTCTATAACCAGCCACTTTTCTTTTTCTAAAAAAGTTGAGGTATAATTCTGTAAGTGAAATGCAAATCTTAAGTGTATAATCAGTTTACAAATGCATATATCCTTGTAGCCTACATCCCTATTAAGATAAAAAATGTGGCCGGGCGTAGTGGCTCACACCTGTAATCCCAGCACTTTGGGAGGCTGAGGCAGATGGATCACGAGATCCGGAGATCGAGACCATCCTGGCTAACACGGTGAAACCCCATCTCTACTAAAAATTCAAAAAAAATTAGCCAGGCGTGGTGGCGGGCGCCTGTAGTCCCAGCCACTTGGGAGGCTGAGGCAGGAGAATGGCGTGAACCCAGGAGGCAGAGCTTGCAGTGAGCCGAGATCGCGCCACTGCACTCCATCCTGGGCGACAGAGGAAGACTCCATCTCAAAAAAAAAAAAAAAGATAAAAAACGTTTCCATCACCTAAGGAAATTTTCTTATGCCCCTACTCAGGCAGCCCCAAAGTAACCCCTCTTCTGAGTTTTATCACCACAAGTTAGTTTTACTTTTGTATTTTGTGTCTGGGATTTTTTCCTCCTCATGTTTTTGAGATTCATTCATATTATGTTAGTTGGTTTCTTTTTCTTGCTGACTAGTATTCCATTCCATTGTATGAGGATTCTTTTGTCAATGGCCACTTGAGATATTTCCAGTTTGGGGCTGTTACGAATAAAGCTGATACAGACATTCTTGTACAAAGTTTTTGGTGGACAAATGTTGTAATTTCCCTTGGGTAAATACCTGAGTGGGAAATTCTGGATCATAGAGGAGATGTATGTTTATTTTAAAATACCACATAGTTTTCTAAAACGCTGTGTGTGTGTGTGTGTGTGTGTGTGTGTGTGTGTGTACAGACAAACAATAAAACAATGTATATGTATATAGTATACATATAATATGTATATTATGGCCGGGCGCGGTGGCTCACGCCTGTAATCCAGCACTTTGGGAGGCCAAGGCGGGTGGATCACCTGAGGTCGGGAGTTTGAGACCAGCCTGGCCAACATGGTGAAACCCCATCTCTACTGAAAATACAAAATTAGCTGGGCATGGTGGCGCATGTCTGTAATCCCAGCTACTGGGGAGGCTGAGGCAGGAGAATCGCTTGAACCCGGGAGGCGAGGTTGCGGTGAGCCGAGATCGCGCCATCGTACTCCAGCCTGGGCAATGAGTGAGACTCTGTCTCAAAAAAAAAAAAAGTATATTATATATAAAAACAATAGAACAATTTATATATATTGTTTTATTCTCCTTTCAGCAAAGTGTGAAGTTCTGATTACGTCTTTGTCAGCATTTGGTATTATCAGTCTTTTATTTTAACCATTTGGTGCAATGTAGTGTTACATCATTGTGGTTTCAATATGTATTTCTGTGACAACTAATTATATTGAACCCCTTTTTATGTGCTTATTGGCTATTTGTATATCTTATTTTATGAAGTGCTTCTTCAAGTCTTTTGAACATTTAAAAAAATTGATTTGCCTCTTTATTAAGTTGCAGGAATTATTTTACATTCTGGATACAAGTCCTGTGAGTAGCTGGAGTAGCTAGGATTACAGGCACCCACCACCACCCCCAGCTAATTTTTGTATTTTTAGTAGAGACAGGTTACAGCATGTTGGCCAGGCTGGTCTTGAACTCATGACCTCAGGTGATCTGCCCACCTAGGCCTCCCAAAGTACTGGGATTTCAGGCATGAGCCACCATGTCTGGCTGACCTTTGGCTGTTTTTAATTGTTTTTTTGTTTGTTTGTTGTTGTTGTTGTTGAACTGTAGGAGTTCTTTATATATTTCTGGATATTAATCACTTGTCAGATATGTGATTTGAAAATATCTGTGATTCTGTAGGTTTTTTTTTTCCCCACTGCATTGATTGTGTCCTTTGATGCACTGAAGTTTAAAATTTTGATGTAATCCAATTTACCAATTTTTTTCTTTTATTCCTTGTGCTTTTGGTGTTATATGCAGGAAATCATTGTTAAATTCAATGTCATTAATCTTTCCTCTATGTTTTTAAAGAGTTTTACAGTTTTTGTTTTTTTTTTTTTTTTTGAAACGGAGTCTTGCTCTGTTACCAGGCTGGAGTACAGTGGCACAATCTCGGCTCACTGCAACCTCTGCCTCCCGGGTTCAAGCAATTCTCCCATCTCAGCCTCCCGAGTAGCTGGGATTACAGGTGCGTGCCACCACGCCCAGCTAATTTTTGTATTTTTGGTAGAGATGGAGTTTCACCATGTTGGCCAGGATGGTCTCGATCTCTTGGCCAGGATGGTCTCAATCTCTTGACTTCGTGATCCTCCTGCCTCGGCCTCCCAAAGTGCTGGAATTACGGGTGTGAACCACTGCACCCGGCCGAATTTTACAGTTTTATCTGTTACATTTAGATCTTTGATTCATTTTAAGTTAATTTTTGTATAGAGTATTAGGTAAGGGTCCTTCTGCATGTGAATATCCAGTTTTCCCAGCACCATTAGTTGAAAACACTGCCCTTTCCCCGTTGATTGGTCTTGGCATCTGTCATTTAACCATATATATGTAAGAGTTTATTTCTGGGCTATCTCTTCCATTGGTATATGTGTCTGTCTTTATGCCAGTAGTAGACAGTTTTTAGTACTGTAGCTTTGTAGGAAGTTTTAAAATTAGAAAGTGTGAGTTCTCCAACTTTGCTCATCATTTTCAAGATTATTTTGGCTATTTGGTGTCCCTTGAGATTCCATATAAATTTTAGGATGGGTTTTTCTATTTCTGCACATACGTGTATATATATATAATTTTTAATGTTATAAATTTTCCTTTAAGGATCCTTTAGGGCCAGGCACGGTGGCTCACACCTGTAATCCCAGCCCTTTGGGAGGCTGAGGCAGTTGATTACTTGTGCTCAGGAGTTTGAGACTAGCCTGGGCAACATGGTGAAGCCCTGTCTCTACAAAACGTACAAAAATTAGCTGGGCATGGTGGCTTACACCTGTGGTAGCTACTCAGGAGGCTGAGGCAGGAGGATTGCTTGAACTCAGAAGGTAGAGGTTGCAGTGAGCCAAGATCGCACCACTGCCCTCCAGCCTGGGTGACAGAACGAGACCGTGTCTCAAAAAAAAGGATGCTTTAGCTGAATCTCCTACATTTTGATATGTGTCTTTTAATTAACCTATGGCTCATATATTTTAAATTTTTCCTTATGATTTGTTCTTTGATTCATAGATTATGTATATGTGTTGTATTTAATATTCAGATAATTTAGGATTTTCAAGATATCTATTAGATTTAGTCACACCATTCTCAGAGAATGTATTCTGTATGATTTTGATCCTTTGAAACTTAATGAAGCTTATTTTATGACCCATCATATGCTCTATCTTGGTGTTGCTTGGCATAATGTTCTATAAATGTTAATTTGGTCAAGTTGGTTCATAGTGTTTTTCAAATTTTCTAAATCTTAACTGATATTTTGAGTACTTATTCTGTTAACTGCTAAGAGGGTTGTTAAAGTCTTTAACTATGATTATTGAGCTGTCTGTGTCTTCTGTTAGTTTTGTCAATTCTTCAGCTATTTGGGATCTTTGTTATTAGGCACATGTACATTTAAGATAGTTTTGTTTTCTTGATGAATTGACCTTTTATTGTTATGAAATACCCTATTTATTTCCAGTAATACTCCTTGTCTGAAAGTCTGCTTTATCTGACATTAGTATAGCCACATAAGCTTTCTTTAGCTTAGTGTTTATATGGTCTTTTTTTGTCCTTCTACCTTTGTCTTTATGATTAAATATGTTTCTTATAGACAACATGTGGTTGAGTCTTACCTTTTTGTCCAGTCTGATCTGGATAAAAGTCTCTGCATTTTAATTGGGGTGATTGGTGCATTTACATTGAGTGTAATTATTAATGTTTAGCTTTAAATCCCCTATCTTGGTTGTTTGATTTCTATTTATCCTGTCTGCTCTTTGTTCCTCTCTTCCTTTCTTCCCTCTGTTTTGTGGGGGGGGGGACTAATTCAGTATTTTTTAATAACTAATTCAGTATTTTTAAAATAATTCAGTATTTTTTAGTATTCCTTTTATCTCTTTGAGGTTTTTTAGATGCCTTTTTTTTTTTGCTATGTTTCAATTGTTGCTGTAGAGATTACTATATGCACCTTTAAGTAATCAGTCTGCCTTCCAAAACTATTTCATTGTTTTATGAACAGTGTAAGAACCTTACAACACGATACATGCTATTGTTCTTTTGTCTTTGTGTTTTTGTTTTTATATAAACTCTACTTTATATTGTTACTATTTTTACTTTAAACCGTTTATAGTCTTTTAAAGATGCACATGCATGCACATATATATCTAATTTTTTTAAAAAGGTCCTTGGTATTTACTGACATACTTACCTTTCTGGTGTTCTTCATTCCTTCCTGTAGAACCAGATTTCTATTTGGAATCATTTTGCTTCACCCTAAAGAATTTCTTCTAGCCTGTCTTTGTAGTACAAGTCTGCTGGAGACTAATTCCCTGCTTTTGTCTATTTAAAAATGTATTTAGGCCAGGCATGGTGGCTCACGCCTGTAATCCCAGGACTTTGGGAGGCTGAGGCAGGTGGATCACCTGAGGTCAGGAGTTCGAGACCAGCCTGACCAACATGGTGAAACCCCGTCTCTACAAAAGTACAAAAATTAGCCCGGCATGATGGCGGGTACCTGTAATCCCAGCTACTCGGGAGGCTGAGGCAGAAGAATCACTTGAACCTGGGAGGCAGAGGTTGCAGTTAGCCGGGATTGTGCCATTGCACTCTAGCCTAGGTGAGAGAGTAAGACTCCGTCTCAAAAAATAAATAAATAAATAAATAAAAATAATGTATTTAGACTGGGCATGGTGGCTCACGCCTGTAATCCCAGCACTTTGGGAGGCCAAGGCAGGTGGATCACCTCAGGCCAGGAGCTTGAGACTGGCCTGGCCAACATGGCAAAACTCCCTTCTGGCCAAAGAATTGCTTGAACCCAGGAGATGGAGGCTGCAGTGAGCCGAGATCGTGCCACTGCACTCCAGCCTGGGTGATAGAGTCAGACTCTGTTTAAAAAAAAAACAAAAACAAAAAACAAAACAAAAAACTATTTCCCTTTCATTTTTGAAGGATATTTTCACTGGGTATGGAATTTGAGGTTGATGTTTTTTCTCTTAGCACTTTAAAGATATGATTCCATGGTTCTCTGCTTCCCTTGTTTCTGATGAAAAGTCAGCCATTATACCTGTTGTTTTTCTGTATGTCATGTGTCTTTTTCCCCTCTGGCTGCTTTTAATATTTTATCTGTTATTTTTAATATCTCAATCTTGATATATTTATATGTGGTTTTCTTTGTATTTATTCTGCTTGGGGTTCATTGACCTTGGATCTGTGGATTGATTTCATTCAACTCTTCAGGAAATTTCTTGGCCATTAGTTTGTCAATATGTTGTTTTATCCTTTTTTTTTTTTTTTTTTTTTTTTGAGATGGAGTCTCGCTCTGTTGCCCAGGCTGGAGTGCAATGGTGTGATCTCGGCTCGCTGCCACCTCCGCCTCTGGGGTTCAAGTGATTCACCTGCCTCAGCCTCCTGAGTAGTTGGGATTACAGGTGCCCACCACCATGCCTGGCTAGTTTTTGTATTTTTAGTAGAGACAGAGTTTTGCTATGTTGGTCAGTCTGGTCTCGAACTCCTGACCTCAGGTGATCCGCCAACCTTAACTTTCCAAAGTGCTGGGATTACAGGTGTGAGCCACCGCACCTGGCCTAATATATTGTTTTATTCTTTCCTCTGCTTCTGGAACTCCAATTATGTTTATGTTAAGCAGTTTGCTATTGTCCCCAATACCTAGATGATCTGTTTTTTTTTTTCACTTTTTTTCCTCTTTTATGTTTCAGTTTGGGTTTCTGTTGACATGTCTGTCCTCAGGTTCACTGATTCTTTCCTCTACTATGTTCAGTCTGCCAATCCCAGCAAAATAATTATTCATCTCTAACATATTTTCATTTCTAGAATTTCTATTTGCCTTTTAAAAATATAGTTTCTATATCTTTGCTGAAAATCTTCACCTTTTTATATATGTCATTCACCCTTTTTTTTTTTTGAGATGGAGTCTTGCACTGTTGCCCAGGCTGGAGTGCAGTGGCGCGATCTCGGCTCACTGCAAGCTCCACCTCCTGGGTTCACGCCATTCTCCTGCCTCAGCCTCCTGAGTAGCTGGGACTACAGGCGCCCGCCACCACGCCCGGCTGATTTTTTGTATTTTTAGTAGAGACGGGGTTTCACCGTGTTAGCCAGGATGGTCTTGATCTCCTGACCTCGTGATCCGCCCGCCTCAGCCTCCCAAAGTGCTGGGATTACAGGTGTGAGCCACCGCGCCTGGCCGTCATTCACCCTTTCCAGTAGATCTTTTAACATGTTTATCACAGTTATCTTAAAGGCCCCATCTGAGAATTCCAACATTTGGGCCATCTCCGGGTCTTGTTCTGTTGGCCTGTTTTCCCTCTTGTCAATGGGTAGCATTTTCTTGCTTCATCGTATGCCTCATAATTTTTTTATTAAATGCCAGACATTGTGTGTAAAGAACAGTGAAGACTAAAGTAGAAAGGGTGGCTGTTAGTATACATAGGTCGAGTAAGCTTAGTCTATAGTTGAACTGAATCTGGGCTTTGAATGAGCTCACCACTACTTTCAGATTATTTAAGGGTGGGATTAGAAGCTTCCTTTTAGTAGGACTTGGGATCTAAGAACTGAGTGACCCAGTTTTCCTGTTCTACCCTCATCCTTCAGTAAGCCCCACATAACTGCACTGTGGGGTAGGGGTGTGGGTTTCTTTCTCAACTCTCCAGCTCCTTCACCAAATATAGATGGCCACTGCTCCCGTTTAACCTCTCTGTCCTGATGTCAGTTACCTGTCTTTTTTGGTAATCCTGAGATCAAATAATTTTTTTTTCTTCTAGCCACTGTAGTCTGCAGATCAAAGCTCTGGCGAAAATCCATGCCTTTGTTCAAGACACGTGAGTGTTGCCCACTTTTCAGAAACCACCTATTTCAAGGGAAGATCTTGCTTTTCCTCCCCACAAGCTGTTTGTTTTTTTCATTTCAACAAACATTTTAAAACACCTGCTTTTTTCTCATACTCTGCTATGGTCTCTGAAGGATGCCAGAGAAGCATATGACATGAGCTTTGTCCCCAAATACTTTACATTGTCTTTGGGCAGATAAGAGTAACCCAGGAAAAGGATACAGGAAAGGTTATTAACAGTGCATCAGAGGGTGTAGAGTGGCATGGCACAAGTAGAATACATAATGTTCAGGGGACACAGAGTAAAGAGTGATCAAGAGAGGAGAGGTAGGACTGATCAGAGAAACCTCGGGTAGGGGGTGAACATAAGCTAATTCAGCTTTGTGGGGCATGGTGACATCCAGTGGGATGGGTTTAGTGTGGCCTGTGTCAGCAGAAGAGGAGCTAGAACATGCTGATGGGTGATTGAAAAGGGTGTCGGGGAGGACCCTGGCATCCAGGTCGTCTGGAGGGCACTTTCTCCTTTCCCATTGTGGTGAGAAGGGCAGGTAATCCCATTTCGTGTATGTTTGAGCTCCTGTCTTCAAAAGGAGAGCCTTGCATGTGTTGTAATCACGCTGGGCCAGTGGCAGCATAGTGTCTGTGTGTACACTCACATGTTCATTCATTCAGGCCTCCTCTCTATGGGATATGAGGGGTGCACAGGGGGCACTCCTGTGCCTCTTAGAGATTTTAATCACTAACTGGCTTCATATTCCCAGGACACTGAGTGAGCCTCGACAGGCAGAGATACGGAAGGAGTGCCTCCGACTCTGGGGGGTGAGTATCTCCCCCGCCCATTGCTGCTTCAGGGCAGGGAAGCCATAGAGAAGAATGGGGTTGACTCCCAATCCTGTCACCTTAGGGTGTCTCTGCATCCAAAAATATCTGCTACCCTCACAGCATCCCAGAGGTTGACATCTCGGCATTGTTGGTAGTTACGTCCTTGGCCCTTTCACTGCTGGTTTGGCCCTGCAGCTGGGTCAGAAAGGACTAAGGGGTGGGGTGTGGGGAGGTGGGCCGGTGTCAGTTTTGCAACTGGTGGCCCCTTGTAGCAGCACTGACAACAGAGAGCCCCAGAGAAAAGGAAGTAGCCTTTGGGGTCCATTGCCACAGGATCTGAAAGGGAGCAGTGAGTGAATTATCCACCTCCATCCCTGTCAGCCTAGCCTCCTTTGTTGTGTGCCATTCCTCCTCCCCAGTCTGACCCTATCTCCTCCACCTGCATATACTCATACACGGTCTTGGTCAAAAGGGCATTTGAAAGTCAAAGCTCTTTGCTGTCTTATTTCAGATCCCAGACCAGGCTCGTGTGGCTCCTTCTTCCTCCGACCCTAAATCGAAGTTCTTTGAGCTAATCCAGGTAAGACTGGTATCTGTGGTGGACATAAAAAGTTAGAGATCTGTCTCTAGATGTGGATGGTATCACTGAGGCCCCAGATGCATGGTCTCCAGAGGGCTTGTGCAGATGCCCACCATGGGCTCTAAGGGGCGGAGCTAAGGCTGCCACAGGTGGGAACCTTTGGTATAGGGTGTTGAATTCCCCAAGAGCACAGTCAGGCCAACGGAAGATTCTCATGTTCAGTGCTTGGGCTCAGCATTCCTGCCACCCAAAGGGTGGTTCTGGCTGTGTCACCCTGGCAAGTTCAGGGTCCTGTGGGATTTGCCTACAAAGGAGACATAGAGTGTGGGATGATCTTAGGCAAGGGAGCTGGGCACAGGGTGAAGGGAGCTGCCAGGGAAGCCCGCAGCAGGGTTGGCCTAACCCCAGGTTCTTTGTCTTATTTCTGGTGAGCTGGTCCTCAGAGTTCTTTTGCCCTGTTTCTTCTACCACTCAACCTCCAGCTTTTACTTGGGCCTCATTTAAATCTGTCCCAGATCATGGGCAATTGTGCTGGTTTTGTGGGGGTCAGGGAGTAGAGACTGAGGTTCAAGATGCCCTCAAAAGAATAGTATGTGTACATTTTTCTAAATGGGGTAAAGAGATCACTAAACTGTTCTCAAACCAACTGCTGGAGAATCCTTGCTTTGAGTTTTATTGAAGGGGCAGCTTTTATATTCTGGTGACATTTTCTTATAGGTCTGGTAAATTGATCTGTACTTGGGGACTCAGTGTTCTTTCCTTTTCCAGCCTCTCCTAATAGGTCCTACAGGAACATTCCAAGCAGATGGAAATAGATCCCATTTAGTGCACAGTTAGGTAGAGAAGGGGGTGCAGGGGAGCATATTTCAGAGAGCCAATGCTTCCTGTCCCTTGCCTTGTCGAGCCTGCCCCCAGCCCAGATAGGCACCCATACTGTCCCTTCCCCCAACCCGGCAGTGTTTTCTCTGACTCGTGGCTGCAGGGCACTGAGATTGACATCTTCAGCTACAAGCCCACACTGCTCACCTCTAAAACCCTGGAGAAGATCCGCCCTGTGTTTGACTACCGCTGCATGGTATCTGGCAGTGAGCAGAAGTTCCTCATCGGCCTGGGGGTAAGTCTGCAGCTGGCTTCCTGCCCAGCTTGGAATGGTGGATTTGCCCTTTGCGGAATCTGGACAGCTGCCTGCCACACTTGGTACATGTTCTCTTGGCATTAAGTAGCTGTTGCTTTGACCCTAGTGAAGGTATTTCTTGAAACTTCGTTTCCTTTCTTCCTCTGAGTTTGCCAAGTGTCATTCATTCATTCTTTCATTTGTTTCTTCAATTCTGTGCATTGCTAAAGGGAACACTGCTACTTTTCTTGTGATACAGAGCTTCCCAGGCTAGCAGAGTGGTCAGCAGGCTTATCTGGCTTGAGCCCAGGCAGCCATTCCTTTGCAACACCACCACCACCCCATGCCATCCCATCCCCTGTCTTGCAAAGATACTCCCTGTCCCTACCCTGGGCCCCCTGGAGTCTAAAGTGAGGTGAGGGAAAGCCTTGGCAAGCTCTTTATCTTACTTAACTGGGTAAAGTCATTGCTTTTTCTTTCAACTCTTGACTTGTGTTTCTATATAATTTGATCCTGTCTTCCTCAGTTACTTCTTTTGTACCCTCTCACACTTTGTCTTTTTCTCATTTTACTTACTCTCTCCTTCTCTGCTCTCTGGACTCTTCACTAAACCCACCTTAGACATATACGAAACTGGATCTTTTTTGAGGGCCACTAATTATGGACTTAGGTCTTTTGAGTGGTGCCCTGCACCCGTTCCAAGGCTGAGCCAGATCTCTGCTTCTCTTCTGCTGAGGCACTGGAGAACACTACTATCATTATCACTAAAGTATAATGGATTTAATCTCTCATAGACATTTTCTTCTGACATTTCCCAGTCCCATCAGTTTGTAGCTGCCAACTAAAAGCTCTTTTGAGAAGTAAGCCTCTTATCCCTCGATCTCCATGCCTTCCTTACCTGGCTGTTTCTCTCTGCCTGTAGAAATCCCAGATCTACACATGGGATGGCCGCCAGTCAGACCGCTGGATCAAGCTAGACCTGAAGACAGAGCTGCCCCGGGACACTCTGCTATCTGTGGAAATTGTGCATGAGCTGAAAGGGGAGGTCAGAGATGGTTCTGCTCAGGTGTTGGCCCTGCAGCTAGGGGACTAGGGGGCTGCTGAACCTGGCCTTTTGCCCTGAGTTAACTTGGTTACATTGTGTGGTGGCTGACAGGGCCCAGGGCTGGGGTAAGGGTTTATAATGACTCCTCCCCGAGCAGTTGCTCTAAGCCACAGTGGTTCAGGTAAGGAGGAGCGCAGTCTCCGTGCGTCAGAGGAGACCTCGATTGTCTCTGTGCATTGAGGGCCCTGGTGAGTCTACTGGGTATTTTTTAGCAGCTGATTTAGTTTTTGACCAGAGATCCCTTGGGAAACAAGAGACTTGTTTCTCAGGAGCCATGAGTATGAAATCTATATGGTGACATTCAGAACAGTCAGTAGGAGCAACTGGCAAGGGGGGTAAGCCAGATCCTGGCTGGAGTGCCATGGCAGCAGCCTCACTGGGTTTGAGGTTCAAGGGGCCTTATCACCCAATGCCTTGGATCTTACCCTGCTCAGAAGCCGAGGCCAGTCTGATGCTGAGGAGCAGCTGGGAGGGAGACAAGAAAAATATCCTGCATTTAGAGCCCTACCCTTCCCCCAGCTGTAGGCAGAATGGAGCCAGCATGCCATGGTGGGTAGTGGGGGCTGAAGGCTGACACCTGGCAGAGTGGGCAGTGTACCTACTTATCCTTCTAGGGGAAGGCCCAGAGGAAGATCAGTGCCATCCACATCCTCGATGTCCTTGTGCTGAATGGCACCGACGTTCGGGAGCAGCACTTTAACCAGCGGTCTGACCTGGGCCCCAGGGTAGGGAGGGTGGGGGTAGGCCAGGGCAGCTTGGGAGGACAGCGGCCTCCCGAGGTGTGGCCCCTTATCTAGGCCTTCTCTGCTTGTTGACATCCTGAGAGTTTCCCCCTCCCACCCACTGACTGGTCCCAAAGTCAGGGTGAGAATTGGAGTTGCCACTTCAGAGTTTGCTAGGGCTTGGGCCCTGGTTATCAGAGATACCAGCACACTCCATTTTGCCACAGCTGCTCAGGTTGAGGTATTTATGTTAAGGTTGAGCAAGAGGGTGACCTTGCGGGTAGAGGGGGTACTCCTTGGAAGAAATATCCTGTGCTTGAGTGGTCCCATTTAAGTTGCTCATCTGAGTGGGTGCACTGTAGTTTCCATGCTTTGGGGTGACAGGGCAGACACATACAATAAAGATGATACTTGAAGTTCTAGTGGAGGTGACTGAGCACAGCTGAAGGCACACTTCAGGAAAACCAACCGACATAGTGAAATTAGAGGTCAGAATCCACAGGGGCGGGGCATGAATAAAGACGTCGGTGGAGAAGGGCAGGGCGGGCTTCCTGGGGGACATGGGTGCTGCCTCTTAGAGCAGTCTTGCCGCAGATTCAGAAGGTTCTCCTACTGGAGCTGTGAAAATGCCCTGGGGGTAGGGGTGCTGGTGGAGGCATCCTTGGCTTGCCTCTCAGAGAGACTGTTTGGATTGTAGAATTCAGCTTGCCGAGAAATTTGTGAAAGCCGTTTCCAAGCCTAGTCGGCCCGACATGAATCCCATCAGGTGAGCATGTGGTCCCTACCCTCCATGCTTCTTTCTGGCCAGTACCTGCTGCTCCCGTCCAGTGAGGGACAGGAGGGCTCAGTGGAGGGCACTAGGCAAGTGGGTGTTAGAGACAAGACCATTCTTGCCATGAAGTTTGTTTGGGGGTGCTAGGTAGGTGACTTGCCCCAGAGCATCTCCCCATCCTGCCTGGCAGTGGGTGAACTTCATTCTGAGGGGTTAAGGCATCCTTGTTTAGGATGCACGTGCTTCTGAGAGTGCCAGCCCACCTCATGAATACCCGTTCCCACTTGAGCATTGTTAGCACATTACCTGGCCTTTTAATTTTTTTTCAGGTAAGAAATGGGTGCTGAGGGAATAGGAATTTTGAACATGAAAAAGAGAAGGATTGTTTGAGGGAATGGGACCCCCAGTGCTGAGGGAGAAGGAGGCCAGGGTTGTAATGTTAGATAGTGGGAAAGTTCCAGGACCCTGAGAGAGAAAGGAGGAAGAGAACAGAGTCAGGAGGAGACAGATGGAGGACACACTTTTCCAGGGTAGGCTGAGGTCTGAGGTTATTGCCAAAGGGCACTGCTTAGCCCTGCTCTCGGGAGCTTCATGCGGCTGGAGACTGAGGTATCTATTTACACTTTATCCACATTGTTTTTGTTCTTTTTAACATAAATTTACTTAGTTAAAATTAAATCCAGTATTGAGAATGCACTTTATAGATGGCATGTGAAAGTTTCAAAGGAATTTCTTTCTGCACTTTAAAATGTCCTGTCTGCTAGGTCCTGAAAGACAGCTCCCAGGGGGAACCCTGCCTTCATTGCTTGTGGTTTGGTTGCTCGATTTCTGGGAACGTTCCCCACTAGCAGTTCCAAAGACATGTTCAGGGCCCCCAAGAGCTGAGCATGGGCATCAAACAAGAGCCCTGCATTCTTGTTAGGGTTTCCCCACCCGCTGTGGGTAATAGGACTATTAGGACTGTTTAGCAGTAACTTGTTATGGAAGGCCTAAAATCCATGTGGACAGACCTGGGCAAGAGCCTACTCCTTTGTTTTCTGCCCTCTGGTGATGGTGAAGATGACTTGGGGGTGGGAATGCTGACAGAGACATCTTTGTCTGCCAGACTTTTCTTCCTCTTTCTCCCTCCTGTCTTCAGTATCCAGTTTCACTCCCCAGTTGCCCTGACGCAGGCCTGAGGAGGTGCTTGGCAGCTCTGAAACCCAGGGCTTGTCTGTGTAGAACAGCCATGTTGGCAGGCTTGGTGTCCTCGCTGCCGGTGGGCTGGGTGGTTTCAGGGAGGGCCTGGGGCAGAAGCCAAGGTCAAGTGCAGTCTCCTGCCTCCCAGCTGCCTCCTGGATGAGAATGTCCCCCAGGAAGCCTTTGTCTTGTCTCTGTCCCTCTACCTGCAGGGTGAAGGAGGTGTACAGACTGGAAGAGATGGAGAAGATTTTTGTCAGGTGAGTGACTTGACCGGTGAAGCTCAGATTCAAGAGGAGGTGGGGGTGCGGCCGTGTCCTGTAGTCATCCTCCGTTTCATAAGATGGGTCGGGGGCGGGGGGTGGTGAGCTGCCTCCAGCGGTCCCCTCACCTCATCTGCCTCGCTGCAGCACTGCTTGCAGTCAAGAGTCCCCCAGCTGACAGCTGCTTCAGCATCCTATCAGGAGGGAGCCAGGCGGGCTGTGTCAGGCAGAAATACGGGCTCATTGATGCTGTCATAGTTACGATGGGCCCTGCGAGGGGCAGAGCAGCAAGCTGCTTGAAATACCATAAATCCCAGCTCCCGCTGCTGAGAGAGAAATTGAGCCTGGAGGGGTAGAAGGGGCATAAATGCGTCCTTATATTCTTAGTGGTGTGCGGGTGCTCACAGAACTCAGTCTCCTTCTGGGTGTGCTTATGTAGAGGTTACATTAACTCTTCAGTGGCTGCAGTGTTGCCATGGGCACCCGTGGTGTCAGATCTCACCCTTACTGGTGTCACCCTGAAATCCCTCAAGCAGCAGTGACACAGCAGGGTCATTTGTTACTCCCCTGCCTCCACTGCCTGAGTGGGAATTCAGGGCCTGAATTCTAAACTCAGCATGGCCACCCACTCGGCTGTGTGCCTCAGTTTCATCTTAAGTCAAACCAGGATCAGATACTGCAGTTGGGGTGATTTTATTAGTCAGAGACTAATTTTATCAGCCAGGGCCTTTTCTCTCTCATGCACGTACCTTCTCGGGGAAATCAGGTTGGAGATGAAGATCATCAAGGGCTCCAGTGGCACCCCAAAGCTCAGCTACACAGGGCGTGATGACCGGCACTTTGTACCCATGGGCCTCTACATCGTCAGGACAGTGAATGGTGGGTGAGGAGGGACTGTTCCCGCCATCCCCTCCCCTCTCCCCTCTCCTCGCCAGGTGATGGGTCCAGACCCTACCTGAGCCAGAGCGAAGGGCTCCCAGCTAAGGTGGGTAGCAGCCAGGCTGGCATTTCTCTGAGGCATATGTTAGGGGACAGTGTTCCCTGAGCCTCTTCTGTTCTTCCGTGGGCCCTGGGAGTTGGTTAGGCAATAGGGAGAGGAGCTCAACTTGTACACACGCACGTGTTGTTCTCATGGCAGGAAAAGGGCCTTCTCAGTAGACAGCAGCAAATCCAGAAAGTCAAGCTTGGTTTCTGTCCATTTGCATCCCCCTTTCTTCAGAGCGCTCTGGCTAACAGAGTCCTACATCTGTCAGAGTCCTAGAGATGTTACCCTGATGGAGGGTTGGCAGGACTGGGGTGGGGTCGTTGAGAAGAAGTCATCGCGTAGTCATTCTCCTGCAGCCCCTTTGGGCTGGTGATGAAGGCTGCTGCCTCACGGGCTATTCCCTGCTTGCTTTTGGTGGGAGGCAGGAATAGGACCACCGGGAGTGGAGGAAGGTACACGCCTGTCCTCCACAAGTGCTTTGTGTCCCTTCTGGGCTTCATCCCCTCTTCCTCCCATCAGAGCCCTGGACTATGGGATTCAGCAAAAGCTTCAAGAAGAAGTTCTTCTACAACAAGAAAACCAAGGACTCTACTTTTGACCTCCCTGCAGACTCCATTGCCCCATTTCAGTAAGTAGCTCTCCTCCAAGCCTGCCCTCCTTAGCAGCCTCAAGTACTCCTGCAGGATGCCAGCCAGCTGTCTTGGGGGCACACCCTGGGTCCTGAGACTGTTGCCCATGCAGGGGTTCCCCTGAGCACAGGCCTGAGAATACTTGTGGGGATGGCAGCCCCCTGCAGGTGTGGCTGGACCTGGGTAGAGCTGGTGAGGGAAGCACGATGCCTGGACCTGCTAATGGTTACGGGCCTGGCTGTGAAGGCCCATCTGGGCAGCGTATCCACCCCATGGAGCAGCCACGTTTCGGTGACATTCCAACACTGGCCTGATGGTGGGAACCTGCTGAGGGCCCACAGCCCTGCCCCTTGGCACTCAAGGTCCCAGCTGTCCCTCATTAGGACCCGGTGTCCATTAGTCAGACTGTTGGTCATAGGCTTCCCCAGCAGCCCTAATGTGCCTGTAATTAGCCACTGACATTTTCTGTCACCACACTACTAATACTGTATATTAGAGAAGCACAGACAGATAAGTCAGGAATATCAGTCACTGTAGGAATCCAGTTGGATGCAATTAGCAGCAACAGCTGTTTGTTGGGAAAAGTTGGTTCTGGGAGGCAGGGGAGTTAGGGCCTACCGGGTACCTTTTGCCTGCCGGGGGAAGAACCTCAACTAAAGTCATTGACAGACCCCTCCGCCCCACACCCTTAAGAACACATGACCCTGTGCCATCTGGGTGCAGTCCTGACCTCTTTCCCATCCCTCTCCTCCCCAGCATTTGCTACTATGGCCGGCTCTTCTGGGAGTGGGGGGATGGCATTCGTGTGCATGACTCCCAGAAGCCCCAGGACCAGGACAAGCTGTCCAAGGAGGACGTCCTCTCCTTCATCCAGATGCACAGGGCCTAAGAGCCTCAGAATGTGCCACCCCTGCAGAATGCCCTGTCATTCCTGAGATGGGGCCACCTGGGGCCCACAGTGCTGGCTTCTTCCCCCTCTTGAAAAGGGACTGGGGAGCATTGCACCTGGCATGAGGAGTGGGTGGCCTCCTCTCCATCCCCTGAAGAGCTCAGGCAGGGCCCTGCAGAGAACACTCATGTTCCTTCTGGGACACCTGCCTGGGAACTTTCCCCTGCCAGGACTCAGCCTGAAGGAAGCTGCTCCTGAGGCAGGTATGAGGTCAGTGCCTAGGGCACGTGGGACTGATGGAGGACATATCAGAGTGGCAGAGCTGTGGGCTCTGCTGTTCTCTCCTGCATCCTGTAGACTCACTTTTCTGAGTTCCATGCACTGCCCTGAGGGTAGCCATGCCCTTGCTTTGCCCAACTTTTTATTGGGCCATCCCTGAGTGGGTGGAGACCTGCTGTCATGAGCTGGCCAGGAGAACCTGCTATAAAAAAATCAAGGTTTTGTTTCTTTGAACTTACTCTGTTTTGATGCCAAATTGGAGACCATTTTCTTGTCTCCTTCCCCCACTCATCCTGGCCTTCCCTGGAGTTCTTCCTAGCCCAGAGCTCTGACAGTCCAGCAGGGTGGGAAGGAGGGAGTTTGGGCAAACTCTCATCCCTGATACCACATTGAGATCCTGGGAGCCCTCTTTTCGTACTGAGTATGGAGTTGTAGAGCCATCCTAGGTGCCATCCCCTTTTGGTCCAAACATTGGGCAGCGCTAGATGGCAGGAAGCAGCCTTGAAGACCCGTCTTTCCCCCACAGCAGCAGGGGCCCCAGCAGTAACAAAGGGTACCTCCAGGGGTTTGGGTAGCGCTGCCCTCTGGCAGTCATGCACCGCTGTCTGCCATAGCCGCTCTAGGGTCTTGGCAGAATTCTGAGCTTGAAGTGCAGCTCCCTTACTACCCTTTCCCTTCCTTTTTCTTCCCTAATAGGAGGTACAATCTGCTTTTGTTTGTCGTTAAGTGGTCACTCCCATTTCCTTTATCTTGGCCGACAACACAGAGAGGAGGGGGAGCTGGGCAGTAGCTTGGGGTGGGGGTGGGCACCTGTGGTTGTTTTTAATGGGAAATACCTCTCAGAGATGTTCATGCAGGCTCCCTAGGGCCCCATCCCAGTGCCAGGCTGGTTTCCATGGAGATAGGGCACTGAGGCTCCCGTGAGGTTGGAATCGACTTCACCATGGGGGTCCTTCAGCCAGCATCCAGCTCCCCACCCCCAGGCTGGCAGTAGCACTGCTGAGATGCTGTATTTCCACCCAATTCTGGGTATATCAGTGTGTCTTGCAGAATCTTGGATCATTAAAGATAAACATATTTTTAATGCCTGTGTGGCTCTGTGTTGGGGCTGCTGCTGTTTGTCCTCAGTGCTTTGTGATCTGAGACTGGCTTGGATGAAACAGCTTGAGCCAGAGGTGAAGGGGAAGCAGCTCTACTCAAAGCAGAGGAGAGAAAAGAGGGTTTGTTTAATCGGAGCCTGTTCAAGCTCTTGGGCACCTGCAGGGCTCCCAGGGCTGCTGCTTGCTGCTCAAGAGGGGGCTCAAAGAAGAGTTGGGGGAAATTGTGCAGCTCCTGTTACAAGCAGGGACTGCAGAATGAATGAACCCACAGCCCCGGAAGGGCAGAGAGGCACCTTCCCCCCTTACATAAATCACACAGCTCACTCCATGGTGGCACTGTGACAATCCAGGATCAGTCTGTGTGACTAAAATAACAGAGGCGTCAGACCAATTAGTGTCACTAGACTTGGGCGAAAGAGGGAGGGAGAGATAGATGGTTTCACTGACCCTAGCCTGCCTCCCCTCCAAGGAGGGCTGGTTCTGCCTGCACGGGACTGTGCTTGGGGGTGGGGGATGCAGATGCTGCAGGCACCTCCCTCTCTGTTCCCGGCTGGTTTCTCCACCAGTTAGTCATCGCCCTGGTGCTGGTTGCCCCCCAAAGTCCGCCTTCACTTTGCTGGACTTCCTCACTTTGGCCCCAAGAGTCCTTTGTGTATGGCCTTAGTTCCCTGGGCAACCCCATCCCTTGTTTTTCCTACTTAACTGGTTTCATCTCGGCCATCCACGCCCTTCCTCTGTTCTGCCTTGCTGTAGCCTCCCACCTGCTCCCCTCCTTATTCCAAAGCTAGGAGTTTTAGAGTTGGGGGGTGGAAGGGTAAGGGAGATGTCTGAGTTTGCTGCTCCTGCCACAACTCCCCCTCTGATCAGCCCCACCCCTACTTCTCACTACAAACCCTACCTGATTTACTGGCCACTGTCACCGTAAGTCTGTCTGGTCATTACCATGACTCTTCCTGCCCACTCACAGCCTCCCCAGCCTTGCCTGCCTGTCGAAGATGGATTAACTCCGCACTCCCCTGGGATCGCCACATGACCACTTCAAGTCCCCAAGCCGCCCTTCGCTGCACAGACTGCATTTTTTTCTGCCATAATTACAAGCAATGGCACTGACTGGAGGGCATGACAGTGTGTGGTGGGGGGATGGACAGGTGGCACAATGTCTGCTGCTCAACCCCAGCAGTGCCCGAGCCCTGGAAGTAACTCCCACTATTTGGCTTGGAAAGTGCTTCCCACTGTCTCCTTCCCACTCGAGCTGGGGGCCTTCTCCTCTATTCTGAATTGTAATCCAGAGCTTTCCCTTGAACATCTCTTCTTCCTTGATTCCTGAGTGCCGCCTCTGCTGCTGCTGCCTCTTCCTGCCCCCACCGTCCACCCTCCGCTAGTCAGACCATGACATTTACTCAGCAGACGGGAACAGCTTTGTGTTCTTTATTGCCTCTCCCTTGGGCTAAGGGAGGGACCAGCACCATGTCCTTCTGGAGACCCGGAACCCCCCAGCAGGCCAGGGAGGCAAGGCCTGGGCCGCCAGGAAGCCATGCTTGAACACTAGGTTGGGAGGGGAACACCCCAGCACCTTGGTCCTATTGAGGCTTGAAGTGCCTGCTTGATCCTGATCAAGGGGCCAAGTGGAAGCCTGTGCTGGTTGTGGGGAAGTGCCAGGCTCACATGGTCCAGTAGGCATAGACGAGCGTCAGGAGGATAAAGATGGCCACAGAGAGCAGCATGTTCTTCCGGTTCTCTTGCCGAAGAAACTTCAGTTCCTTCTCTGGGAGGAAAGAGGGTGATAGGGATAGGACAGGCAGTTTAGGCCCGTCTGTTCTGCTCTGCCTCTCCAACGAGTGGGTACACACTGCTGAGGGCAAAGACGCACCCTTCCAGCCACCTCCTTACCCATAAAAATGACTCTGCCCTTCTTAATCTGCCCAAATCCTGACACCCTTTTGGCTATAGAGCCAGCCTGATAAAGTCCCAACGCCCAGTGCTGCTCAACTATGGCTCTTTAAATGTGGTTGAGGTTGAGGGTGAGGTGGGTGAGGAGTCACCAAAAATGCCACACCTGAAAGCCAAGCTAGGAGGTGGTGTGACCGCCAGGTGAGTCTGCTTGCCTGTCATGGGGTTGGCTGTGGTGCTCATCCTTCAAGGCATCTCATCCGCCAACCAGAAACTGAGGGCACCTGGGGCCTCCTTGGGCCTGACAGTGGAGGAGGTGCTAGGTGGGGCCACGTGTTTCCTGAGTCCCTGCCCTCTGCCGGGTGCCTGGTTGAGCAGAATCTAGGGACGCTAAGATGCAGTTTGTGTCCATGAGGCAGCTGGTCTTGACTCTAGAGGAAATCAGTCCTGCTGCTCTATGGCCACACTTGTATCAAAGTATCCCCTCCAGGTGACACGCAGGTAGGGGGTACTCTGTGAGGGCTAAATTGAGTGGTGGTGTGGTTTTGTGTGAAAACCGCTAAACTTGAAGGGAAACTAATGTCCCATCCCTGTCTGTGCTGGGCAGTGGGAAGAGACACCTGCAGAGCTGCTCTGGGCAGGCCAGACTGAGTCCAGGGCCCAGGGTGCACCGGCCCAGACATGCTGAACTCCAGGCAGGGCTGGTAGGTGTGCACTGTGCCTACGGCATTCATCAGACCAGCGCTTCTGGGGGACTCCTTGCCATTAGAACCTTCCTGGGGCTGATTCATGGCCAGGCCTGGTCCCCCAGGGGAGAACAGAACCGACAAGTCTGAGGAGCACCTATAGACCGTGGTCCTCCCCAGCCTTTAGCAGGGAGCCCACCAGCCTGCCAGCCGCCCTCTGGCGCCCCGCCGGGCCTGGCCTCTACCTGCCTCTGCCCCCAGCGCCCAGAAGGTGGCGGCATCGCTCCACCCACAGGAGCCCTTGCCGTACCCAAGTGGGAGGTTCGGCTTCCTTCACCCCTCACTTCCCACTGCATGGTTTTCCTGGGAGGGTGTGGTGGGTTGGGGTGGGGTGGGCTGGGGCGTGGGGAGAGCAGACTTCCGATGTCTAGGTGAATGATTGTCTCCTAGACCTGGCCACGGCCACATCCCTTCATCCCAAAGAGCAGACAGACCCACAGGCGGTCTCATCCTCCCTTAGAACAAAGCAACAAACCTGCTCTCCCGCAGGCTGCTGGACCTAGCAGGGGTGTCTGCAGCCTCTGGGGGCTGGTTCCCTCCCAAAGAACCCCCTTGCTCCCTGCTGCCTTGTCAGGCCCCTTGGGCTTCTGACCCTTCCTGGTTCTGGGGACTGGAGGCTGGGGCTGGTAACTGAAAGGAACTTTCTTACCGTAGTTGGAGGCTTTGTTCATTAGGCTGTTTTTCTCCTTCTCCAGGGACCTCCTGTGAGGGGAAAGGAGCTTCATGGACCAAACCCTTTTCCTTTTCCCCACCCGAGGGGCAGCTGGCATGCCAGTTGGCAGGGCTTGGGTCTTGTTCGGCGGCAGGGGGGGTGTGCACTGAAGCTAAGATGTCAGGGACCCAAACCCTCTGCCTCAGGCCTACTTTGGGGGACCCAGGATAGATACAGGGGGTGGGGGCCTGATGGGGAAGGGTGGGGTGGCTGGGCAGGAGCATTACCTGGCCTCTGGGCTCAGCTCCCGGCTGTGGAGTCTGGAGTTCACGGCCTCCAGGTCTCTCCGACACTGGGACAGCTTCTCCTCTAGCCCATCGATCTGAAACAAAGGCCACAGAGAGGTGGGCTGCCGAGGCTTCTAGCTCTCAAAACACTGGGACTGGGAAGCAGGGCCTCCGGGAGTCTTCTTGGACAGGTGTTCCCCCCATTCGTTTTGGCAGGGCAGGGCACCCAGGCCTGTCTTCCCTGGAGTGTCTTTGTTTTGCTGTCCTCTGCCTCCACGTGGTTCAGCTCTGAACTGCACAGGACAGTGGCCTGAGCCACACTGTAAACAGTAGTGGGTGTTGCCCAGGGTCTCACAGCTGTCCCAGCCCTCTGGGCCAAGCACAGGTTGGGGGTGGAGAGGAGCAGCCCCTTGGTCTGTTGTCTCCCCAGCACGATGCCCCAGTTGGGCGCACAACAGGAGCAACCAGAACCCTGAACACGGCATGCACCTGCCCCACGGGCGTATCCTAGAGTGGCGGAGATGCTGTGAAGAAACTGGCTTCCAAACACTCCACACGTGTGGGGCCGGGTGATTAGACATCTAGGGGCAACACAGAGGTGTTTTTCTCATTGACATACTTCATCTTAATAACTTAGTAGTCCAAGTTGTAAAAATATACATTTTTCTGTGAGAATCAAAAATTACTGAGAAAAATGCTCAAAAACACCTTTCTTCCTCTCTGACTTGGTTCTTAAGCAAAAACTTTACCTACCATCAAGGTAGCAAAATAGTTAAGGTATCTGTTTTTTCCATTTGTTTGATTAGAGTTTCAGAGAAGTGTTCTTGGGGAAATACTTGAGTTGTGGAGAAATGTTTAATAACATACTGGACTGGGTTGTCCAAACCTGGGTTTTGGCATTGAAAGTCCATCTCCCTGTGTCTGACTCAGTCTCCAGGTGTTTAGCTGGCCACCTCTCTGGCTGGGGCGAGCCTGGGTGTCAGTGGGTGGAAGGGTTCAGGGGGCTCTGTGACCCTCCCAGCAGCTGACTGAATAGTACCTCGGAGCCCCATAATGCTCCATTTCCCATCTCTGACTTCACTCATTCTCACCACTTCCCTAGGAGACATGGCAAATAAGACCTCCATTTCACGAATGGAAGAATGGGGGTCCCCCAAATGGAATGACTTTCTGAGAAGTCAGGGTGGGGCACCCCTCTCCTTATCAGTCTCAGCCAGTTCTCTGCCCCATTCGCTTCTGGAGTTAGCCCCTGCAGGGTTAGTAATCAATGACTGCAGGTAAGATCCCTGCCTCCCACAATGGCTGGTTAGAGGGTAGCAGGCATTCTGGGGCTGAGTGTCAGGAGAGTTGCATTCCAAGTCTCTGGGCCTTCTGTCTCTCTCCACGGCCAACACCCATCTCAGCCACTTCCATGTCAGCCACTTTTCCTTCTTCCCGAGGGAGGCCTGGCAATGACACACCATCCACCCCCTGCCCTGCAGCCCCACCATGGCCACCTCCAGCCCCATAAGCAGGGCCCTGTGGGAGAGAGCGACCACAGAGCCTTGAGTTAATTGCCTGGTTAATTGTGTCGTTTCTCTGCTACTGGGCACCCAAAAGGAGGGCTGTCCTGGGAAACAGACCCAGCCAGGAGATGGGGCTGTCCCTGGGGAGGCCAAAGGCCTACCTAGAACCTGTGCAGCATGGAAATGAACACTGGGAAGCCAGATTCAGGGAAGAGCGGCAGCCCCATGCCCAGTGCCTCAGGCCACCATGTGGCCTCCCCTTTACAGCAGCACCCCCAGCACACAGCCCAGCCCCTCAGTACCCTGAGACTCAGATTCCACTCAAGAGCACAAATAAAGCTTAATTCTTGATGCCCTACCTCCTCCACCAGGCTTCCCTGCTGCCCTTGGCTGTGGCAGGGGGGTGGGGGTTGGGGGGCAGGGGACGGGGTGCATTCCACCCTCCTTCTCCTGGGAAATTAACCAGTCCTTCCTTCATGAGGCTGAGTATATTCTTTGTTGCCCTTCTGTTTGTGTCCAAACTTTATCTTCCCAAACTCTAGGGGTCTCTAAATGGTGCCAACTGGCAGCCCGTAGGTCAGGTCTAGCCCACAGATTGGCCCATTCCACTTATATATGTGAACTGCCTGGTCCCGGCAGAGGCCCGAGTCTAAAGCTCCTGTCCTAGAAGGAACAGTGACCATCTGTCTCCTCTTTGTGCCCACCAAGGCCTAGCCTGCTGCAGTCTTTGTATTTTTAGCCACAATGAGTGGAGTTGAGCTTGGGTGGGACTGAGGGGCAAGGACAGACGGTTTAGGTCTCACGTAGCAACTGGAGCCTGAAACCTCCGTTCTTCTTGTCCATAGAAGCTAGAAAAAGCTAGGAGGAGGAGAAGCAACTAGACATGCACATAAATTGTACGCTTTGCAGATTGCCCAGTGCAAGTCTTAGTCCTAGGTGAGATTTCTCCTTAACAGTCCTTGAGCCAGGCCTTGGTTTGCGTGTCATTCTGGGGAGGGAGCAGATTGCGGAATTCCATCCCTGAACACCTCTGGAAGGCTACCAAGTGCCCAAACAAGTGGTAATTGCCCCCAGAGCAAGGCCAGGAACTCATGCTAAGCAAAATCTTAAAATTTTGAGGTTGGCAAACCACAAGTGGCCAAGCCAATCTGCTATCATGCTCTGGGCAGAGCCTGCGGAGCTGGCAGTCGGGGGCCTTTATCTGAACAAGCCCAATTTATCTGCAGTTCCACTGAATATTCCCACTTTCATTTGCCACTTTTTAATGAGGCTTAAACGGTCGAACACAAATCAAGGTTTTAGGGACTCAAGTTCTAACCTCCCTCTATGAATATTTATGTCCTGCTGACAGCTCTCGCTGATTCCCTTCTAAATAGCAAGTTCCCCTTCTTTATAACCCAGCTGCTTGATGTGGGCTGAGTGAGGGGAGGCTAAGACTGTCAAGAGGCTCTTCAGAGGCCACAAACCCATCCTCAGAAGGTGACCCTGCGGGGTCCCCAGCACTGGGCCTGGTTCGGGAAGCTGACAATCAAACACCCTGCAGCATTTGCTGAAGCAGGAGCCAGCTGTCAACATGAGTGGAGAGACTCCAGGGGACCTGGCTGCAGAGGCAGGGAGGGAAGGTAGGTCCAGATGCCTCTTTTAGTTGTGGCTGGGGTCAGGAGTGGTGGCTACAGAGCAGAGCTGACACAGCAGGATGGGCCTGAAAGGTGGGAGAGGACCCAGAAAGTGGGTCTTAAAGGAAGTCCCGACTTGGATTTTCAGCCAGCTCTCAACTACATGCACACGGATTATGCACTTTGCAGACGACCCGAGGCAAATGTGCAGTCGTTGGTTAGCTCTCTCCTTGCCACCACCAGGCTAAAGGCAACGGAAGACAAGACAGCCAGGACCAGGAGAGAAGATGTGGGGATTAGGACCAGATAAGGAGACAAATGTCAAGAAGATTCTAGAAGTGTAAGGGCCAGAACTGGGCAAGCAGTTGGGAGCTCAAGTGCCCAGAAGCCTGGAATGGTGGTTCCAGGTAAGTGAGTGGTAAGGAGCATGGGCTATAATCAGTGCCCCTGGCTCTGTCACTCACTTGTGGTATGACTGGGCAACTCCCTTAGTTCTGTGCTCAGTTGACTCACGTGTAAAACAAAGATAACCACATTTCATATTTCAAAGAGTTTTGTGAGGATGACATGGAGCCAACAGGTAAGATGCCCAGAACATGCTTTACATGGTCAGAGTTCAGTAAGTGTTTGCTATCTTTATTATCAGAGAGTGGTTTGCACTAGATCTTTGGAGAATAAAAGAAAACCTGGTTAGTCCATGGCAAGAGTAAGAGAAGGTGATAGAAGCAGGGGTGTGGCTGGGCATGGTGGCTCACGCCTGTAATTCCAGCACCTTGGGAGACCAAGGTGGGCGGATCACGAGGTCAGGAGATCCAGACCATCCTGGCCAACATGGTGAAACTCTGTCTCTACTAAAAATACAAAAATTAGCCAGGCGTGGTGGCGCACGCCTGTAGTCCCAGCTACTCAGGAGGCTGAGGCAGAAGAATTGCTTGAACCCAGGGGGTGGAGGCTGCAGTGAGCCGAGATGGCACCACTGCACTCCAGCCTGGGTGACAGAGCGAGACTCTATCTCAAAAACAAACAAACAAACAAAAAAAAACAGCAGGGGTGTGAGGTGGAGAGGAATCTCCATGAGTTGCTGACTGGCAGTGCAGGGAGGAGGGCCCCTCTACCTTGGATGTGGCCATTCCCAGTCCATGAAGAGGTTCAGCAGGGAGGGCCCCCAGGGTAGATGTCAGAACAACAACAGGCCACAGGCCAGCTCGCTCCGCTTACTCCAGACATGGCATGGTGGGAACCTTGCGATCCTTCCCTGGGACAAAGCTGGGGTGGGCCTCTGGAGCCAGGGCCAGGTTGCAGACATGGCACCTGGTAGAATCCTAGCGTGAGAGGCCTGGAGCCATGTCCAAGGTGGAACAGCCTGGGGGCGGTCTGGGCATCAGTGGGCATCTGAGGAAATGTGGAACAGCAGGTGAGGCCCAGCAGCCAGAGCCAGGGCTCACTCACACCATGGTTCTAGGCAGCCTGAAGAGGCCCCGTGGAAGGGATCCCACCAAGCCCAGTAGGAAGGGAAAGTTATACTCTGAAGGCCACAGGGGCTCCCAGGACTCCTGCCCGACAGGCTGCATAGTAGGGCCAGCTGGCAGGAAGAGGCATGCCTGGCTCAGGGGCCAGGACTTGCCTGGAGCTATCAGGGGGCAGCACTTACGGCTGTGACTGTGACCGGCAAAGTAGAGACAGCCAAGGCAGAGACCTAGACGGCACAGTGTGGGGGCAGAGAGCAGGTGCCCCCTGCTGTACAATAACATTAAGAACCACCCGTGCATTATATTTACACTCAGAAAACCAAGGTCAATTTTTACATGGGGAAAAAGCACTGTGTCCCAGTCACTGAGATGAGTCAGCAGGGGGCACAGGGCTGCGATCTGCAGGGGCTTTGGGGACCCCAGGAAGTAAGAGAGGCGATGGTATGAACCCACTGTCAGCCAGCACACTGCTTCCTGGCATCTGGCCCAGCCTGAGCCCTGGGGAGGCGCTGTGTGAAGCCCTGTGTGAGCGGTCCAGGGGCCCAAGGAACAGGTTGGAGAGTGTGAAGGGTGTCCTGGGGAAAGTCTGTTCTTTACCCAGAGACCAGCAGTGGCTAAAAACTGCCTGGGGGGATGGCTGGGGAGTCTGCCTAGGCAGGGGAGACACAGAGCACAAAGGAAGAGGGGAGGAGGAAGGAAAAAGAGGCATATGAGGCAGGGAATGGAGAAGGAGCATCCCTCAGGTAGACAGGTGGGAAAGGCCCCAGGGGAGGCCTTAGGGAGTGGGACCCAACAAGTCCGTTCTTTTAACAGAAAAGCCCCGTAGTGATGCTGCCTAAATTACTGAGAACTGCTGCTTCTCAGTATCAGAGCCTGGGGCAGGGAATTGAGGCCTGCTGGGTGAAGGAGTGAGCTCAGCGAGGAGACCCATGAGACCAAAGGCCCTCCACAGAGGGGGTGTTCTGTGCAGAAGAATGAGAAGATCTAAAGTCAGCCCAGCAGTCAAGGCTGCAGAGGCTGTGTTGTAGGCCTGAGGGGTGCTGGGGACAAGGCCCTAGCCAAGTAGGGCCGTCAATCCTGCTGGCAGGTGCCAAGAGCAGAAAGGGCTTCTTCATGCCCAGCGGCAGGGGCAGGGACTCTTCCTGCAGCCTCCCTGAGAGCCCATCAGACAGATGCAGCTCCAAGCACCCGGGCCTGGAGTTCAGCAGCCCCCAGGCAGATAAGCAAACTCCCCTCTGCAGCCTGACTTGGGGAATATCACCTTATTCTGGGAGCTTTAAGGAAGTCTCCCTGGGGTCCTATATGCCATAAAACCACTGTGTTAAGAGAAACTGTAAAATTCGTGTGAAATCCCCGCGAGGCATCTTTTCAGGAGTGTAGGCCCTCTCAGAATCAGAGCCCCACGGAGGCCTCACTGGGGGCAGGGAATTTCGTGCCAGCTCATGCACAGATAACTGCCCCAGCATCCTGGCCAGGTCAGCTGATGGGGTGCCAGCTCCACGGCTAGCTGCTGTTGGGGGCCTCATATGCAGCTTTTCTGCCAACAAGCACGAGACAGTTCGAGCCACAGGCTACCGTTCACTCTATTCTCCTACTGAATGGTGTTCCCACAGAGCATCTAGACAGCCGGGGAGGTGGCTCTCTGCCCACTCCCTAATGAACCACTGTCTAGGGCCAGACCTGTTTCTGGGAAAGGGCAGAAGGCACCCCCGGGGCCTGGTGCTGGGCTACACAGGCCACTCTGCTTTCTGATTTAGGAAGCTGTTTGCTGTCTCTCCGGCTTTACTCTTGGGAGCTTCTGGCCAGCGAGTGACAGGTTTGCTACAGGGTCAGGCAGTGGTAATGGGGCATACACTGCACCTGGCTGGACAGGTCCTTACTGGGCACTCAGACCTTCCAATAAAGAGCGTGGTGCCAGGGTAGCTGAGCCGAGCCAAGTCACAGAGTCTCCAGTGTCTGCATGACAGCATGAGTGTAAGCAGCCTCTGGAAACCAAAAGTCCCAGCAAAATGGAACCACAACAGTGACAGCAGCAGCAACACTTCTGTAGTCTGTGCTGTGTGCCAGGCACTGACCTACATGCTTTACACCGATTAACTCACATAATGCTCGCAAGAACCCTGTGAGGTGGGCAGTATTATCAGCATCCACATTTGACAGATGAGGGGACTCAGACATAGGTAACTGTCCAGGGTCACACAGGCATTAAGTCCGGGAGCTGGGCAGCCACGTCTGTGCCCTTAACCACCATGCCACATGGAGAAGGCAGCGCTCATCAGCTCTGAGGGACTCCTAGCTCCTGGGCACAACCTCCACACCTTACCCCTGGAGCTGGGCAGGTTGTGGGCAGCTTCCTGTGTCTGCAACCGCCCTGCAAGGAAGGGCCCATCTCCATCTTACAGAGGTGCAAGCTCCCTTGCAGAGGTTTTCAGCACCTTGCCCAAGGTCGTGTAACTGGGAAGGGGCAGAATTGAAGCCTGAATCTGGGTTTTTCTGCTTCAGGGCTTATGCTCTTTCCACCACTTCAAGCTCTTTCTCCAAAATCCCTCATGAAAACATTCATGACAAGAGTTCTGCAGAACAGTCATTCCACATCCCAGCTGAAGCCCATCTAAGCTTGCTGATCTGGCTTCAACAGATTCTCTACTCGGAATAATCTTGTACAAGGCTCTGCTCAGTTTCTGTCTACATAACAGATACTCTCTGTGAGGGAAAGCCCTCATTGAAATTTGTTTGTTGAGACAGAGGAGACAGGAGCCCAGCGTCTGCCCTTACACTGGGCCAACTCAATGAGCTTCACAAACATCCCAGGCATTTTGCCCCAGATCACCTCGACTGTCAAAGCATCCTCCAAAATTCACACAAAACAGATCCAGTTTGGAGACGGAAAAAGGTGGGCTACTTGGGCCTGATAAACCCTTCTTTCCCCAGCAGTACCGAAGCCTTCCCTTTCACTTGCTAATTCACAGCCTGGAGAGTGGTGTCAGCTGTTTCATCTCCAGCCCCAGCAGCCTGGGAACTGGATTTTTGAAAATTCACTCATTTTCACACGTCAGGAGACCCCAGGACATTTATTATAATGGGTAAAGCAGCCAAGTGCCTGCCCAGATGGTCTCTGGCAAGAGTGCAGGGGCTTTCCATTTGGAGCCTTCAGGCTCCACAGCAAGTCACACGGGGTTCTTAGGCCTCAATTTTCCAGGTGACAAGCCTCAAACCCCAAGGGGCCCATTATCCCCACATCGTTTAAGGGATGTTTTTCTGTGGAGGCGGCTCACAGAGCTCTGTGGGGGCAGAAAAACCTCCGCCCATGGCTCCCCACATCAACAGGCCCTGTAAGGATTTCTCTCGCAGGTTGTGCAGCTGAAGACGGCAGACCTTCCCAGTTTTTAATCAATGAACAATTTTCAGGAAGAGCAGGGAGAGCCTAGGGGCTTGTCGCTCGCCTGGACACACCCCCATGCCAGGTCAGAAAGGCGAGGGAACCGCTGCAGCCCACGCGAGTCCCGACGCCTTCCCGCGAGGAGACGGAGGCCGAGCCAGCCTTGCAAGTTAGCGCCCGAGCCAGTCCGCGCCCGAAGATGCCAGCTGTCCCTGGGCCGGAAGGTGGTGTGGGGTTTGTTTTGTCTTCTTTCCCCCCGATATCTATTTTTTGATAAACTAGCAAAAGCTTGTTCATCGCTGAAAGGCTCAAAGCACTTTTCAAGAACTGGCATCCACCCCGAGCCTTATGAATTCATTAATTAAGATGCTGGCAGACAGCCACTCCACACACGCCGCCATCCAGCCGCGCTAGGTAATGAGGTTTTAGTCTCCTGACCCCCGTCAAGTGGCGCAGAGCCAGATGTAGGCTGCCGCGAGAAATCACCTGCCCAATGGCGACCTGTCGCTCTCGCCTGGCAGCAGGTGAGGCTCATTTAATGGTCAGCGGCCCCTGAACAGTCCTCTGCGTGCTGCGAGCCTTTCTCCCAGCCCCTGGCTTGGGGTTCAGGGTCCCAGCAAGGTGGCGTCTAACCGCCTGCTCTACTGTGACCTCCACTCAACTGGGCCCAGACGTCAGGGTGGAAGGTTCAATGCCTCCTCCTGCCAATCGAGCCAGTTCAGCAAATATTTATTGACAGTCCACTCACCTGCTCCTAGCCCTTGTCTCAGGAAAGTGGGAGGTTCCCCTGAGCCCTGTGCACAGCCTGCTCCAGAGCGGAGACCGTCTTCAGCCACACTTGGTGCTTCTGCCTGCCCTGCCCCACGGAGGCTACTGCAGTGGCTGGCACCATACAAATAACCACAAGCGTCAAGCCTTCCGGTGCTCTTCCTGGCCTAGGCCATTCTCTCCCCTCAGCCTACCACTTCTCATGGTCAGTGATCCTGCCTTTTTTTTTTTTTTTTTTTTTTTTTTGAGACGAAGTTTCCCTCTTGTTGCCCAGGCTAGAGTGCGATGGCACCATCTCGGCTCACCGCAACCTCCACCTCCCAGGTTCAAGCGATTCTCCTGCCTCAGCCTCCCGAGTAGCTGGGATTACAGGCATGTACCCCCATGCCTGGCTAATTTTGTATTTTTAGTAGATGGGGTTTCTCCACGTTGGTCAGGCTGGTCTCGAACTCGTGACCTCAGGTGATCCGCCCGCCTGGGCCTCCCAAAGTGTTGGGATTACAGGCGTGAGCCACCGCACCCAGCCGATCCTGCCCTCTTTTTCTGGTAAGGATTCCAGTGAATTTTCAATGACTCCCATTAGCATTTATTCCTTACAGCAGATACTGTCAACTGGCCAACACAACACCGACTCCCCACCCCTGCTCCTTTGCCCACCTCTACTCCAGAAGGTGGAAAAGCTCAGCAGATGCTCTCCCAACCTCACTGCAGCTAGGCTTGCTCATGACCCAGTTCTGGCCAATGAGACGTTCCAGAAGTCAGCTAGGAGACTCCTGGGGAAGCTTATGCTTTGTTGATAAAAGGGACAGTGTTGTTCCTTCCTCCTCCTTCCTGAGTTAAAGTTGAATATTAGACTGGAGCTGTGGCAGCTATATTGTGACCATGAGGAAACAGTGAAGAGAATGCAGAAATACCAACTCTGACATAGCTAAGCTTTTGAACCAATGCCAGTAGCCACCTACCTACAAATTTTTTTTTTTTTTTTGAGACGGGGTCTCTGTTGCCCAGACTGGAGTGCAGTGGCACGATCTTGGCTCACTGCAACCTCCACCTCCTGGGTTCAAGCAATTCTCCTGCCTCAGCCTCCCGAGTAGCTGGGATTACAGGCGTGTACCACCACTCCTGGCTAATTTTTGTATTTTTAGTAGAGATGGTGTTTCACCATGTTGGTCAGGCTGGTCTCGAACTCCTGACCTCAAATGATGCACCTGCCTCAGCCTCCCAAAATACTGGGATTACAGGCGTGAGCCACTGCACCTGGCCCCTACAAATTTCTATAAGGGGAAAAGTCTACTCCCATTTGCTTAAATCATTGAGGTCAGTTTTCTATAACTTGTAGCCAAAAGCTTTCCAAACTGATAAACTTTCTGTACTAGGGGTCAGATCCAACCAAGTTATCCACTTTAGGATACCGGCTAAGACACCACACATCTGTTAACTCAAGACCAACTGGTCACTGAAACATCTAAAGACACCAGTTTGAACAGTCCAGCTACAAAAGAAAAGTGCAATGACAAAGGAACAGCTCATTACCATCAGAGATCCGAAAACACAAACAGGTTTTACATCAGTCAAAATTCTCCTATCAGTTTAGACTGAAATTCAACCTTTCCTTCCTCCCACACAACATTAAAATCAGTACTGGGTGGGTGATTTCTCATTTGAACTATAATTTTCTTTTCTTATTAAGAATGAAATCTCAGAAGCTAAAACTCACAGTTTTTTCCAACTCTGAGATCTCATATGGTGGCAAATGAATTGGATAAAAAGACCTCAAAAGGAACCACTTTGAGGGGGAGGCTAGAGGGTGCCCTGGTTGTCCTAAGAGGTGGCTGCTTATACAGCTGGCCCAAGCCAGCCCTAAGGGTGAGTGCTGCCTGCTTGGTAATTGCTTCATTACAAGTGGAGACTGTTTGCAGGTGCTGAGATCACTCACTTGTGGGGGTTTTATTGCACTCGTCAGATTAACAAACATTTTTGATTAAATCACCACTTCATTGGCTCTGAGCACACAACTTTTAATAAGAGGACAATATCTACTGCTACTGAGCATCAGTGCACATTCAATACTCAGACCCGCTGGGGGCAACTGAGAAGCAAGGTGGGGAGACAGCCAGCCAGATGTCAGGCTTTTTCCAAGGCACACGGTTACAGATGTCAAATCTTCGAATATCCAAGCAAAAAGTAAACTTAGGGACCAAGATAGCAAATATAAACATCTACCGTGGTATGGAGAGGGTAAAACAATGGAATCTGCCCCAGTATAAGGCACTTGGAGAATACATGCCCCACCAAGTTTAAAAACGTAAAAATCCGGCCGAGTGTGGTGGCTCACGCCTGTAATCCCAGCACTTTGGGAGGCCGAGGCGGGCGGATCACTTGAGGTCAGGAGTTCAAGACCAGCTGGCCAACATGGTGAAACCCCGTCTCTACTAAAAATACAAAACTTAGCTGGGCATGGTGGTGCACGCCTGTAGTCTCAGCTTCTCGGGAGGCTAAGGCACGAGAATTGCTTGAACCCGGGAGGCTGGAGGCTGCAGTGAGCTGAGATCATGCCGCTGCACTACAGCCTGGGCAACAGAGCAAGACCCTGTCTAAAAATAAAATAAAATAAAATAAAAACTTAAAAGTCTGTCAGCCAAACAGAAGACATCTGTGATCTGTATTTGGGCCATAGTCAAGGAGTTTGTAACCCCTGGTGAAATTCAAGTCCTTCATGTTATAGATGAGTGAACGAATGCCCAAGAACGAGTTTGACTTAGCCATGGTGGAAGGATGCAAAAGAAATACAAAGGCTGGAGCTACCATGTATTGATTACCAATCCGGTGCCAGGCACGTGCTGGGCACTTAACGCAATGTCTCATTTAATCCTCACAACCACACTGTGAGGTGAGGTGCCATCTGTAGTGAGACTACAGGCTGTCTGTGAAAACACACTGGTCTCTTCCTCCATAGTAAGCAAACAGTAGCTGGCTATGTGGCCTCCTGACTGGTGAACGCATTTCCCTGATCCCTTGCAGTCAGGTGGGGTTTTAGTTCTTGCCAATGGAAAGTGGACAGTTTGGGCCCAGGACAGTGGGTGTGCTTCCTCCATTCTCCTCTTTCTCTGCCGGTGGACACATCAGTGGGGTATGCCCCGGTTCCACTGATAAGGTGACAAGATCTCAAGAGATGGTGAAGCCACAGAGGAAGGGAATCTGGCAGAACCACCATAGACCTGGTACTCTAGACCAGGAGTTGGCAACTAAGCCCTGTGGCCAAATGGTCTAAGGACTGTTCTTGCAGATAAAGCTTTAGTGGAACACTGACACACCCACTTATTTACATATTCCTTCATTTACATACTCCTACCTTAGCCTGAATACAGTTGGTTCTTGTTGTTCCTGGTAGCTATGTCCTATAAAGTTGCCTCTAATATTGAATTAGCAAATACCAAACCAGGTGAGGTTCCTGCAAGCCTATGGACACAACATTTTTGCAACCTTGTTTCATGTGTGATTCTGTTTAAAGTGACCTTATTCAATATATATTGTTGATTCATTAACACTGGACTCACAACCAACAGCACTATACGTGCTGTTACATCATGAGTTATATCATGCCTGAACAGTTTATCTAAAAAACCTGTTTTCTTCTACAACACATCACAGCCTTCTTGGATTTAGGAATGCCAGACAGCACTTCAGCCCTATGCTTGGGGTCGGGGGTCGGGGATCGGGGGCACTTTAAACAGCAAAATCAGGCAGTGGCTCACACCTCTAATCCCAGCACTTTGGGAGGCCGAGGTGGGCAGATCACCTAAGGTCAGGAGTTCGAGACCAGCCTGGCCGACATGGCAAGACCCCCGTCTTTACCAAAAATACAAAAATTAGCCGGATGTGGTGGTGGTCTAATCCTGGCTACTAGAGAGGCTGTGTCGGGGGAAGGTGGGGGTGAACACTTGAATGGGAGGTGGAGGTTGCAGAGCCAAGAGTGCACCACTACACTCCAGCCTGGGCGAGAGTGAGATTCTGTCTCAAAAGCAAAACACAGCGAAATACCAATAAAAAACATGAGAATGAAAAAAACAAAACAAAACAAAAACAGGGCACTAAATAGAACACAATAAGGACCCTTGTTTACAGTAGGACAGCTGAAACAAGGCAGGGCATCATCACCTGTTCAACTTTAGCTGAGAACATGGACTGCGAGCGACTCAATTTTTTTCCCACTGCTTTGCATTTGCCACAAAAGCACTGTGAGTACTGATTTTGGGGTTACAAATACATTTTAGCCATTAGGGAAATTCGCAAATGTGGAATCTGTGAATAATGAGGATCAACTGTAGTTGCAACCCAGACCATTTGGCTCTCTAGAAGAGACCATGTCTCTTCTAAAATAGTTACTATCTGACCATTTGCAGACATCTCCTGCCCCTTGCTCTAGCCTGTTAGAAAAAAACTCACTTTCTTGTTCTTGAAGCCACTGAGTTTTGGAGTTTCTCTGTTACTGCAGCTTATTGTACCCTAATGCAGGTTACAAAGTCTATGTTCTTCCCGCCACAAAGTACCATCTCAGTCACCACTCATAAACCATCCTCTTCACATTTCCATCAACCTTTTTCCTACCAAGTGGGCCAATATTTCTCAAGGGATGCCACTAAAACTACCCACATCACCATGGGGTGTGTGTGGCTTGTAAAAAAAAAAAAAATGCAGATTCTGGCCGGCTGTGGTGGCTCATGCCTGTAATCCCAGCACTTTGGGAGGCTAAGGCGGGCGGGCAGATCACTTGAGGTCAAGAGTTCAAGACCAGCCTGGCCAACACGGTGAAACCCCGTCTCTACAAAAATACAAAAATTAGCCAGGCATGGTGGCACGTGCCTGTAATCCCAGCTACTCGGGAGGCTGAGGCACGAGAATCGCTTGAACCCAGAAGGCAGAGTTTACAGTGAGCCGAGATCACGCCACTGCACTTCAGCCTGGACAACAGAGCGAGACTCTGTCTTAAAAAAAAAAAAGCAGATTCCTTGTTAAGAATGCACATCAAAGTCCTACTGAATTACTCGGGGTGTGGGAAGAGTTCAACTCTCCATTTTTAACAAGCCCTGTGACTCTATGCATGCTAAAGTTTGAGAATCACTGAACTCACTAGTAAGCCTGAAGAAGACTATGACCCTGTACCTCTCCTGCAACCTCCGGGAGGATGCCCTAAGGGAAGGAAAACAGGGGAAGCAAGATGAATTTCCAGGAAGACCACCTGTGCTTGATTCCCAGGCTCCACCACTTCCACCATCTCAGCCTGGGTTCCACCTGGAACCTCAATTTCCTCATCTGTACAAACCTCACAGGCTTGCAGTGAGGATTAACAATGCAATGAAAGTAGCACATAGCGGTTGCTCAGTATGTATGTTTTCTTTCCCTTCTATATGCAGCAAATTATTTTTAAGCCATTCAGTGACATCACCAATTCCAGAATTCTCTTTACATATTCCCAAAGTAATTTTGAAGGTACAAGCTTCCATACTCCGGAGGAAAAATTTCCCCTTTTAGAGGATATTTAAACCATTAATAATATACACCAGAATGGGCTCCCTCATCTTTGAGTCCTAGCCCTTTGGGAGTTCTCCTTAGATTCTACAGGTCCCTATTTCTCTGGGGTCTCCCTCACCTCTGTACCCATCCCTTTTGTTCTGTGTCCCCCGCTTTGAGTTCCCTCACTTCTATGCCAGGCCGTCTTTGGGGCTCCCCTTCACTTCCATGTCTCTTCCTCTCTGGAGATGCCCTCTCCAGAGAGTCTGGTTCGCCCATCCGGCACCTCCTCGGGCTCCCTGTCCTCCGGGAACCCCGTGGGCCTTCTCACCCCTCCCGTCCCTCTCCCCAAACCGCGTCGCCCTCTCATCCTACGCTTGGCTCCTCCTCCTATCTATAGCCCAGCCTATCCCTTATCCCGCGGCCAGGAGAAGGCAACTAACGAGGTGGCCCAACCCCCACTTTTCCCCTCACCTCTAGAGCGACGCCCAGATTCTCCCGCTTCTTTTTAGTCATGTTACTTGCCGGGATCCCCCAGTCATCACTGGACGCGCCCACCAAGTCGCTATGTGCGCATGCTCAAGTCTTCGTGCTTCTCCCTCATTGGCCACCGAGTCAGCGGGAGGTGGGGCTGCTGCCGTCGCCATCTTGTTGAGGGGCGCGGCCGGCTTGGTGCGGACATGTTTATGAGGGGCAACCTCTAGCTTGAGACCTCAGCCTAGATGGGTGGAGGGTGGAAAAGTCGGTACAGGGAGGCAGAATGTACAGCCCGGGAGTAGACCTGCCCCTTTCTTCCCCAGTTTTAAGCCGCTTTGCATCACTGAGAGCCTTTTTTAACCCCATGTTCTCTTTCAGTGTGTTTTGTGTTTCAGCAACAACCCCGTCCCTGTTTAGGCCACGCCCCCCATTCAAAGTCTGTCCATCCTTCAAGGCCGGTGCTGGAGCCTTGAGCTTCTCGGCCAATGGAATCTGATAATGGCCCTCTATTGTTATTTCTCCTTTGTGTCTTGACTTCTTTTTTTTTTTTTTTTTGGTTTGTTTTATTGTAAGAACAACCTACAAACATCACAGAAAACATATAACTGAGAAGCAGCATCCTTTATTCTACCAACTTTATCAGTTCCTCTTTGCTTCTGTTTATTCCTCCCAGGCTTGGCCTCACACACAGTATTTTACATTGTTGTAATCGTACTATACTGTACACCATAGACCCACGGCCTTTGAAATGTTTTGACTGTGACCCTACGATAAAAAAATGTATTTTATACCATGGCCCAGTTACCCATGAAACCAAAACCAAAGTTTCACAGTAAGTACCTTTACCTCCTGTAATGCACTCTGTTATTTTGTATTCTTGCCTATTTAATTAAAAAAAAACAAAGTCGGGCACGGTGGCTCAGGCCTGTAATCCTGTGTCTGGAGTTGGTTCCTTCAGGTGGGTTCTTGGTCTCACTGACTTCACGGTGAGTGTTACAGCTCTTAAAGGTAGCACGGACCCAGAGAGTGAGCAGCAGCAGGATTTATTGTGAAGAGCAAAAGAACAAAGCTCCCACATCATGGAAGGGGACCTGAGTGGGTTGCCACTGTTGACTGGGGGATGGCCAGCTTTTATTCCCTTATTTGTCCCCTGTTACAGAGCACTGACTGGTCCATTTTACAGAGTGCTGATTGGTGCATTTACAGTCCTTTAGCTAGACACAGAGTGCTGATTGGTGCATTTTTACAGAGTGCAGATTGGTGCATTTACAATCCTTTAGCTAGACACAGAGCGCTGATTGGTGCGTTTTTACAGAGCACTGACTGGTGCATTTACAATCCCTAGGTAGACACAGAGTGCTTATTGGTGCATTATAATCCTTTAGCTAGACACAGAGCGCTGATTGGTGGGTTTTTACAGAGTGCTGATTGGCGCATTTACAATCCTTTAGCTAGACACAGAACGCTGATTGGTGCGTTTACAATTGTCTAGCTAGACAGAAAAGTTCTCCAAGTCCCCACTCAACCCAGGAAGTCCAGCTGGCTTTACCTCTCAATCCCAGCACTTTGGGAGGCTGGGCAGATCACGAGGTCAGTAATTTGAGACCAGCCTGGCCAACGTGGTGAAAGCCCGTCTCTACTAAAAATACAAAAATTAGCTGGGCGTGGTGGTGGGCGCCTGTAAACCCAACTACTCGGGAGGCTGAAGCAGGAGAAACACTTGAAACTGGAAGGCGGAGGTTGCAGTGAGCCGAGATCGTGCCACTGCACTCCAGCATGGGTGAAAGAGCGAAACTCCATCTCAAAAAAATAAACAAAAACAAGTTGGTGGCAGGACACCTCTTAGGTTTATTTCATGACCCCTTAATGGAGGTTGAACTGCAATTTGAAAAACACTGCCAAGTATGTTTTTCTGTGTCTTTGAAATTATCACTTGCGGTGGCCTCATGTGCCACCAAGGGAGTCTCTCGCATTCTTGCATTGGACATCATTTTATTGACAGTAACTCCAAATATTGCGAAAGCAAACCTTTTCGTGCACACAGCTCTGTCCTCTGGATTCTTTCTTTAAGATAAATTCACAGAAGTAGAATTACTAGGTCAAAGAGTATGAGACCAGAATCAAAGCTCCTTATTTCCTGACCAGTTATCTCTGTTGGTGCCTGTGTTTTTGTATGTGAATAATAACCCCAACTCAGTGTTAGGGGGAAAAATGTTTTCAGATCTGTGTTCTCTTCTTGATAGAGACATTGAGTGATGGAGCTGGAAGGCGTCTGAGATACCATCTCGCCTGGCTGCCTGACTGAGGCCCACAGAGAGAGAGTGTAGTAAATTCTATCTGAACAGGAAGCAGGTTGTTGAGCAGTTGTTTAGTGCAGTTCTCAGCTTAACACCCAGCACAGGAAAAACTGATTCAAGAACATTGTCCATCAACTGTCAATCAACATTTATTGTCAGAACACTCTTCACAGCATTGGTTCCAATCCCGGAAAAACCAGACTCTGTGCTTCCCAATTATCACAGGCACCGGCCCAGGAGAGGTGAGAAGAGGAAGAAAAACACTGTGTTCTTTGAGAAGTGACTCCTTCTGCATTTGTTTGGCACCAAGAAAAAGCCACAGAGATCTGGGTGCGCCTCATGTCGGTCCCTTGTCCATGAAATGATGGGCAATCTGTTGTCTGTCTTCCTGAAGAGCCTCGTGTTTTCCCAACCAAACCTTGTCCCACAGGTCTGATAATGGGAAGAAATGCTTGAAGTGGGGTTGGAATGAGAGTCTATGTGGGTTGTAGTGAAAGGGGAGGCTTTTAGAGGGAGATCAACCTGGATGCCAATCCCAGCTCTGCTTCTTAGCAGCCTGTGATGTGAGGCAAGATACTTCAGCCCCGTAAGCTTCAGCTTCCACATCTATAAAACAAGCACATCATACCAAACTCATAGGGCATTTGTGAGAAGTACTAAGTGGCGGGTGCTGTGGCTTGTGAGTGCCTAGGAGAGGCTCAGCAGGACTGATGAGGCTGCTGCCAGCTTGTCGTTATAGGGTTTTGTTTAGCAATTGTTGCCATGGGTATTTTTTGTTATTATTTTGTTTTCAGTTTCTATCAGCTTTGACACTATTGTATCTGTTGTTATAAATTTGGGGCAAATACTTGGGTGGTTTCCTGCTATCATGGGTGCATAGTTCACTGCAAAAAGGCAGCCCCTTGCAAACACAAGCGTTTCTCTGTAAACAGGAGATGCCCTCTCCACCTGTCTATGTGTCCTTCCTGCTGAGACCATCAATTACGGGTTTCCTTTGCCCCAGACATCGCAGACAATAGTGACCTGCGTGGTGTCAGGGAGGATGCAAGCACCCCAGGTACCCCACTGAGGTCCTTTCATCCCCCTGGCACATACAGAGACCCAGCCTGGATTCCCATGGAGGCTGTTTGCTGAGCCTTAGAGCAGCTTGACTTGCCTCCATGTTGGAAATTCTGCCCATGAGCAGATGGATTACTGTGGGCCAGCTGTCTGTCTGTCTGTCTTTATTACCCCAGGGAGCTGTGGTTCTGAACCTCCTATTGGGGGTTTTAGAACTAAGTGTTTCAGGAAAGTCGAATGCTGCATTGACAGACAGGAGAACTGGAGTCGTTCCTGGCTAGCCCAAGTTCTCACTGCATGACCTTGGGCAGGTCAAGCCTCCTCTTTGGCTCTTAATTTTGTCTGCTCAATGGGTACAGTGGGGAGAACGAGACAGTCACCCTAGGTTCCTGTTTTTCATGACCTTGTTATTTGTAAGACATAACGAGGAAGACATAAAGCTTCCTTGTTAGCTGTAAGGGAGACATATAAAGTAAGAACTAACGATTACCTCAAGATCTCTTTAATCTAGTTAGAGAGACAGACTGACAACATGAAATAGTGCATGCCAGACATCATATAATTAAATGCCAGCTGTCTGGTACTCACTGTTGATGCATTAGGAGTGCAGAAACAAGAGAATGGGGTGGGTATTTGGGGATGGCTTTGTGGAGGCTCTGGGTCCAGGAGGACAGATGAGATTGCGTCAGGCAAAGATGCAGGAGAGGGCATCCCAAGTGGGAACCCACAGGGCTTCCTGTGCCAAGGAGGGGCGCCCTTTCCAACTTTGCATGAAAGCAATTTATACGCTAGCCACATCCCTGACTTATTTGTCCTAGAGACCCTGGGAGACCATTTCCTCTATCCCATGCCTCCTTCTGGGTTTGCCTCAGCTGTGGGGCCCAGTGTTGGGTCCCCATCGCTGCCCAAAGGGAAGCTTTTCAGAGCAAGAATGAGGGAGAGTGGCATTGCTCACTGTCAGAAGCATTTCAGGCAGGAAATGAAGAATTTTTTAGGTGGCTAAAAATACTGTGAAAGCTGATTTATGTTTGCATTTTGTTCCAGGACAGCAGATTATAGCCCAAGTTCTGAGGCAAAGGCAGCAGCGCCTTTATGGCCTGCTTGGAACAGTTTTATGTCTTAGTGAGTTTTATACATTTCAGCTAAGCCAAGATGCTAGAACTTTTTTGTCCATATATTTCACTGGGGAAAACTCACATACCACTCCTTGCACCCAACCTCATGTTACCATGCAAAAAGAAAGAAAAGGAAGGAAGGAAGGGGAAAAGAATGTGCTTGCTATTTAGTTGGTATCCAGTTTTTAGTTAACGTAAATCAAATTGTAGACAGTGAATCCACATGAAACTGAATTAGACAGCCAGTGACATGAAAACCAAAGGATCTCTATATATTGTTGAATATGCAGACCACTCCACCCTGCAGCATCTTTTTTTTTTTTTTTTTTTTTTCTGTCTCACTCTGTCACCCAGGCTGGAGTGCATTGGTGCAATCTCAGCTTACTGCAACCTCCGCCTCCTGGGTTCCAGTGATTCTCCTGCTTCAGCCTCTCGAGTAGCTGGGATTACAGGCACCCACCACCACGCCTGGCTAATTTTTGTATTTTTAGTAGAGACGGGGTTTCACCATGTTGGCCAGGCCGGTCTCGAACTCCAGACCTCAGATGATCTGCCTGCCTCGGTCTCCCAAAGTACTGGGATTACAGGCATGAACCATCGAGTCTGGCCCACCCTGCGGTATCCTCTTGATGAGAAGAAATTTCTACCAGACATTGGTGCTGAGCTAAGCTCTGTGGCCTTTCCTGGCATGCTGATATTCTCTTATCCTATGACTACTGTATCTTTTGTAACTGATCATGTTTCCCACTTTGTTCATGAGAAAGCTCAGAACCAAACTTGTTCAGGGACTTTGAGCATAAGTTTCCAGGTACAAGAATTTTCCCTGGCTTTATTTGATTTTTCTACCCGTGTTTTCCCTCCGCTCTATCCCCTTACTATTTTTATCCCACTATATTGTGTGCATTTTGCTAAGCTACCTCAAATCCTTTTTTGAAACACAAAGGAGCATAAATAAATCAATAAATAGATCCTGTGTTTGTAAATATGGCACTTTGTTCTTTCTACAGCAGTGTTTGTATCCATTAACTCTGTGGGTCCTCACATACCTCTGTGAGGAAAGTAAGGCAGGCTCCATTGCCCCAATTTTCCAGACATGGAAAAGTTTGCAGAAGAGGATACTCACCCCCTCCCTCTGTATAAAAGACCATATGAGCCTTTCTGAAGAAAACGAGAGTAAGAAACTAACAGCCTATTAGGTGACTTCTTAGTAGATATAGATTGAGGAAGGAGAAAACCAAGGTTGCTCTTGCCAGTTGGAAAGGATACAAATTGAGGTGACCCAGGCTTCAGAGAGTCCCCCAGAGTTCACGTCGGTGTTGCCATCTCCCCCAACCACCCCACCTTCTTATAACAGATCCACTCCCACTGTTCACATGGGTGGCATATGATCTAAGCGGGGCAGCCAGTCATAGAACCACATGTCCCTAGCCATAGTGATTAGTTCAGAAGGGAGGACTCATGATCTGAGCTAGGCCAATAAGAATCCTTTCCTGAGATTTGTTTCACCTGTAGCTGGGAAAGGAAATCCCACCTTAGCTTTGGTTGCAGAGCAGCTGACGTGTGATCCTGGAACTGCTGGCAACAGTGTTCTCTTCCTGAGAAGAAGCTCATGGAGTATGAAAGAGGGCAGGCAGCCAGCACAGGGCAGCAGCAATGAGAGACAATGAGGAAGACTGCCCTGGGGGTGCTTGTTTGAAACTTGAATTCCAGGTGCCCTAGCCTCACTTTTGCCCCTCGGAGAGTGGAGGCCAACAAATTCCCTCTTTTGAGTGAGCTAATTTGATCTGAGTTACTTCATTTACAGCCCACAGATTTTTTGATTCATGTAGTTTTTAGACTGAAGGAATAAACCCAGAAGTTTGCTTCTCTGGTGTCCAAGTTTTGGTTTCCCACCTCTGTGGGTCTCAATGTTCAGCTTATCCGAGAGGTCTTAGGCCCTGGGAAGTAATAATAATAATGTGTCTATCTACAACTGGACCACAAACAAAAGTACTAGAACCTAGTTCAGAGCGTGGATCTGACTCTGCTCTTCATCAACTGTGTGACCTTGGGCAAGTTATTTAACCTCTGAGCCTCAGTTTCTTCATCTGTGAAACAGAGATCATAGTAGCAGCTACTTCATAAGGCTCTTGTGAGGATTATACATAATAACCCTTTTCAGCATATGACGCTATGCCTGGCATCTAGTTAGCACACCACAAATATAGTTCAATTATTATGGATAATTTTATACACAATATCCCTCAAACAGTTCTATGAATAAGGCAGAACACAGATTCTCATATCTGTCTGGGCAGCGAAGACTGTGATGCTTAGAGGGCCGTGACCCACTAGGTCACGTAATAAGTGGAAGAGTCTGGATTCTGGACACCAGAATCAAATCCGGAGTCCCCCCACTTTGGACTTTGCTTCTCAAATGGCATTGTGTTGGCAACTGTCAGAAGGCCAATTTAATAGCTTATAAAGGGCACTGTCCCTCCAGGGACAGTGTTTATTAGAGAAGTCAGATTCTGGCCAGAATGCTGCTTGGTGGGGACAGAAGATTGGCTCTGGAAAGATGTCCAGAGAAAAGACTGCTTAAGCTGAAGTCCCCAGGCACCCCTGGCCAGTGTCAGCACACCCTCCTTCTCCCCGTCTTCTCCCTCGCTGCCAGCTCCTTGTACCCGCACACTTTACATATGAGAATTCTAAAAGACAGACGGTCAGAACCAGAAGCTAATATAGGGATCACTGTAGTCCACTCAGCCTTTATTAAACAGGCATAGTAGATGTAATGATGAGCCAGACACAGATCAAATCTCTCATTTACAGATGAGAACTGCGAGTCTGGGAAGGAAGGTATCTTCCCTAAGGTCTACTGTGAATTAGTAACTGCGTTAGGCACCTTCTAGAGAATATCTGCCTAGCTCACAATAGGCCCCCTTTCCTGAGGTTTGTGTGATCCCACCTACCCAGTCACAGCTGATTCGATCAGAGGAACACACCTGACCAAAGCTGGGCCAATCAGATTTTAACTCCCAGGAATCTGACCCTAGGATGAGATGCTGATCATAGTTAGCCCAGGGAGGAAGGGGACAGAATGACAGCATGGTTATATCAATGGTCCAATTCTTGGTTCCAACCCTTGATTGTCCTTCGAGAGCACCACCCATTCCTTACAACACATCTCTCCGCTTCATTTTGGGAGTTTTGAAGTTATTAAAGTTATTGATTTCTTTTCCTTACAACCAAAATAATCTAAATTAAGATTGTGGCCAAGTTTGGATTAAAACCTGCCTCCCGGCTCCAAGACCCATGTTTTTCTATCATGCTGACTGGCAGCAAAGACGTCTTCCCATGGATTTTTCAGAACTCTGTTCTTTAAATGTGACCTTAGATGCACCAGACTCATGCCATCCAAAGGTTGGAGGTAGGTGGTGGTGGGGGGTGGGGGTAGATGGTGATGGGGATGGGGGTAGGTGGTGGTGGGGTGGGGGTAGGTGGTGGTGGGGGTGGGGGTAGGGGTAGGTGGTGGGGGGTGGGGGTAGGGGTGTGGGTAGGTGGTGTTGGGGGTTGGGGGTAGGTGGTGGTGGTGGGGGTAGGTGGTGGTGGGTGAGGGTAGGTGGTGGTGGTGGGGGTAGGTGGTGGTGGTGGGTGGGGGTCGGGGTAGGTGGTGCTGGGGCTGGGGGTAGGTGGTGGTGGGGGTGGGGGTAGTTCTGGCAGGTGTCAAGTTCTTTGTTCTCTAACGCAATTACCTTGGGGTGGGGGATGGTGGCTACAGTGAGGCCTTCACCAGCTGCGCACCCAGGGCAGGTTGCTTTTCTCAGTTTCCTCCTCTGATATTTATCTTGTATGTGTAAAGTGCTTAGAGCAGTGTGCAGCAATGCAAGCTATTTATTATGTGAGTAACCTGCTTTTTAAAGATGGCATTTGCCCACAAAACCTTCTTAGACCCTTAGTGTTTAGCTTTCACTCACATCTCTCTAGCTACTGTAATTGCAGCCTGGAATGATTACATTTTCAGCAAAAAACAAGTCACATTCAAAGCCCAAGTGTGATAACCACATGAAAAGCAATCAGTCTCTGTCCTTTGACACACCTTGATATGAAGGCTGTACCTGTGATAAGGTAGTTGTCTCAGCGTATACATTCCCTAGGACAGGAGCTGACCAGCTTGATTGAAGTTTCTCATGAAACTTTCATTCAACAATTATTTGCTAAGTGCCTGGGCTGGGGGACAGGGGCTGTCTGTATGGTGACAGATTAACAGATAAATACAATACCAGGACTGTGAGAGAGGCAAGTGTAAGGAGCTATGGATGCAATGAGTATATGGACCCAGTTCAGATGGGGGCATTAGGGAAGGAGGCCCAGAGGAAGAGAAAGATGAGTAAGAGTTAGATGGGCAATGGAATTTTACACCCACAGATCAGCAGACACCTGACAAAACCAAGTGGGTACAAAAGTCTGGAAAGCAAATCAGCATTAACTAGCAAAGTTGAAGATGCATTTGTGCACCAGTTGAGGTATATGAGCGTGAACTTTGTTGCAACAGCGAAGAATCAAAAACGTAAATGTCCATTGTATTCATTAGCTGCTGCTGCAATAAAGCTGTGTAACAAACAATCCTAAGAATATCATTGGCTTATAATGACAAACATTTATTTCTTGCACACAGGAGTGCAGGTGAGCTGGGGTGAACTCACGTTCACATTGGCTACAAGTAGCTCTCATTTGGGGACTCAGGCTGAAGAGACAACAGCTTACTGGGAACATGCTCTTCTATGGCAAATGGCAGGACCGCAAGATGCCAAACTAAACCATAAAAGCACATTAAAAACCTCCATTTGTGGCCAGGCGCAGTGGCTCACGCCTGTAATCCCAGCACTTTGGGAGGCTGAAGCAGGCAGATTACGAGGTCAGGAGTTCAAGACCAGCCTGGACAACACCGTGAAACCCCTTCTCTACTAAAAATACAAAAATTAGCCAGGTGTGGTGGCACACCTCTGTAGTCCCAGCTACCCAGGAGTCTGAGGCAGGAGAATTGCTTAAACCCGGGAGGCGGAGGTTGCAGTGAGCCGAGTGAGACTCCGTCTCAAAACAACAAGAACAACAAAAAAACTCTCCTTTTGCATCACATTCTTTAGCATTTGCCCGGTTAAATTCCATTAGGCCAAACCCCAAGTCAATGGGATGGGGATATATTCTCCATCTACTCTGTACATCAAAGGGTTTGAGTGTATAGTCCTATATAGTCCTGGAGTAAAGAATTGGGAGTGATAATTCAACCAAACCATGAATAGAAGAATGGATCAATAAACTGTGGTGTAGTCATACAATGAAATATTACACAGCAATGAAAACAAATGGCCTAGATCGGCAAACTATGGCCCATGGACCAAATCCAGCTTGCTGCCTGTTTTTGTAAACGAGGTTGTTTTGGAATGTGGCCACATTCATTCATTTACATATTGTCTGTATCTGCTTTCGCACTGTAATGGCAGAGTTGAGCAGCTGCAACAGACTGTTGGGCCCACAAAGCTTAAAATATGAAAAATCTGTCCCTTTCCAGAAAACTTTACCGAGCTCTGATCTAGATCTACGCATATCAACATGGATAAATCTCACAAACATAATGTTACACGAAAAGACAAGTTGCAGAGGAATGTAAACCAGAGGATCCCATTCACTTAAAGTTCAAAAACATTCAAAATATTCAAAACGGTGCTACATACTGCTTGTCTTAGTCCCTTTGTGCTGCGATAACAGAATACCACAGACTGGGGAATTTAAGAAAAGAAATGTATTGGCTTGCAGTTCTGGAGGCTGGGAAATCCAATATGAAGATGCCAGCAGATTTGGTAGTTCTGATTTCAAGATGGCGCCTTGAATGCTGTGACCTCCAGAGGCGAGGAAGGCTTAGTCTTTGCATGGTGAAAAGCGGAATGGCAAAAGAGAGCCAGAGGGGGTTGAATCTGCCCTTTTATAATGGCATGAACCCACACATGAGGGTGGAGCCCTCATGGCCCAATCACCCCTTAAAGACCCCACCTCTTAATATTGTTACAATGTTAATTAATTTTTCAACATGAGTTTTGGAGGAGACAAATATTCAAACCACAGCACGGCTAACTTTCAAACCTGTGCTGTACTAATGGTAAATATAAAAAGCAAGGTAGTGACGGCCCCAGTTACTGGAGAGACAGATGTGCCTGGGGGAGGTGCCCAGGGGGGCTCTGTTGCATGGGTAATGTTTTCTTTCTTAAGCTGGGTGGAGATGGTAGTGCATGGAAATTAATTTTATTGTTATTTATACCTTTTATGTCGGTCCTAAATATTTATAATATTAATAGAAAAAAAAGTTAGAAGAGGTAGGAGAACACAGAGGTAGGGGAAGGGTGTTCCAGGCCCAGGCTCCAGGTTGCAAGGGTGGAGGCATGAGAAAGACGAGGCATGGTGTGCACAGGGAGGAGGGAATGGAGAGAGGAGACTGGGAGGACAGCTGGGTCTTTGGGCCATTCTAAGGAGTCTGATTTCATACCTTGGCCAAGGGAACCCCTTGGGCAGCTCTGCGCTTTTGCACCATCGTGATCAGATTTGCGTTTGAGAACAGTCAGCCTTGTTGCAATAGGGAGGGTGGTGGGGAGCAGGGCTGCAACACGACCCTAGAGGGAACACCTCCTTAACATTTGTCCCTGAGGTGCCTCACTCTCTCACCCTACTCCTGGCCCTGGCATGCCCTCCCTCCTGAAGCCTACATGGCTCCCTCCATCCCCTCCTTCCAGTCTTCACTCAAAAGTTGCCTTCTCCACGAGGCCCTCCCTGGCTACTGTCTTTAAATTGAATCCCCTCTGAATTTCCCTTATTCCCCTTGCTTTTTCTCGATAGCATTTCCTGTATATTTTGCTTATTTGTTTTGCTTATTGTCTTCCTCTACTAGAATGTAGCTCCTTCTCCTCACTGATGGATCCCCAGGGCCTAGCGTAGTGAAGGATAATAGGAAATGTTCACTAAATATTTGCTGAATGAATGAATTTATAGGAACTCCAGAACTGACAGGAAGGTGTCACTTTCTGTTGCTGATCTCAGCCGCCTGGAGGATGAAAGCAGCTGTCTGGCCTGATTCAGGGATGGGGCTTGGCTCAGAGGAGGCAAAAGAAAGTCACAAGATGGGCGAGGGCTTTGAGAGGCTCCTCTGGGGTGAGGTCTCCATGTCTTTGGTTATCAACACACATGGTGTGGTGTGGAAGAGCATGGACCCCAGGACTTATATCCAGCCCTTCCCGGCCAGCTCTCGCTGGTGGAGAGAGGGCTGCCTCCTGCCCACCTCCCTCCTCTGCCATGTTCCTGCTCCCAGCACCTGCCTTTACCTGGGCGACTCCTGTCATGGAATTCTGACCTCTCCAGTCCTGCTTAGCTAAACTCCCTCCCTCGTCCGACCAATTTCCCCCTTTTTGGGATTCCTATACACTGAAACCTGTACTGTTCCACTCAGCCCAACGATGAATGCAGCCTCATAGAGTTCTCACATTGTTTTGTGTGTGTGTTTTGTCTGCAGCCCCACTTCCGGCCTACAAGAGCAGACCCCCATCTCCTCCTGTGTGCCAAGAAGCCCACAGGGCGAGGGCCCCCACTGATGCTCAGTAAACCCTCATGGGGAGAGGGAAATGTGCTGTCATTTCCATGAGACATGTGCAGCGACTAGCGTTTCTTTTGGGCTTCCCACCAAGTGGCACTTGCCTACCCCCCCAATCCCCGCGTTTCTTCTGATGGGAAACACACGCTTTCACCTGTGCTGTCACATTCCACCCTCCAAGAACCCTGGCAAGTGGGTGCTTTATTGCCGCTTTCCAGATGAGCACACTGCCTCCCCGAGAAAGGCAGGAGCCTGCCTAGAGCTGCACAGTCAGTCGGAGGCACAGCGGGTCAGAGCCGGCGCTGAGTTCCTCGGGGCTGAGGGAGAGAGACCTCCCTCGTACCCTTCTCTGCTAGCTGCGTCTTCCCAGCTAGTTCAGAGCCTTCAACAGCAGAAGCCTCTGCTCCGGAGGGGAAGTCAGAGCCTGAGCTGAGCTGTGTGTATGGCAGTGAACAAAGGCTCAGGGGGCTCTTCCTAAATGTCTCGCTGGAGGCATCGGTGTTTGTTATCAGTGGCCTCCTGTCTCCCTGCCTCCTCTCTTTGAGCTGAGTAAGGAATCAGAGAGCTCTCCTTCCACCTCCTGCCTGCATCCCCTCCACGAGGTCACCTGCTCAGGCCTGGCTTTAGCCAGAACACTGCTCGTCTGCTTTACACGGCTCTGCCTGCGGGGAAAGTTCAGACTTCTTCATCTGACATTCCAAGCACACCTTGATCCTCCGAAGCTCACTCCTCCAGCCTCCTCCCGCCTTTCCTCACTGCTCAGTCCCTCTGCTCTCATTCCTGTAGGGAAGTTGTGTGGAGGTGGGATGTGGTTATCCGTGAGCACCTGAGCAGCCCTGTGGGTAGGGGCCAGGCCTTTGTGGCACAGAGGTCATTTGCAGTGCATCCAGGAAAACTTCCCTTTGTCCCGTCCGACGTGTACTCCCCTTTCCACACCTGGCTCCCCCTCCTTCTTGGCCTGGAATGCTGACTTCTCTGCATCCAAGGGCTCCCTTGTCCTCTGGCTTGCAGCTGGGTTTGGAGGAAGGGAGGAGACTGAGGACAGGGAATTTATTACCCCAGCTCCCTCCCCGCAAGGTCACCACAGGGTGGCTGTGTCCCTCTGACCCTGCTTGCAGCTGCTCTCATGCAGCTACTCTCAGAGGGGGCTCCCCACTCTTGCTAGCCCTAAGGTTCTGAGGCTCCCCATGTTGGTTTCCTTAAACCCTGCCTCCATCTTTGTAGAGACCCTTTATTCAAGTCTCCTCACGTTACTCAGGGTGAGGCTGCCATCACGGTGCTACCAGCACCCTGCATGAATCCAGTGCTGGCCCCTTGAGGAAGAGCCGAATCCCCAGACAGGAAACAGGGACTGAGACAGCAGGCTCTGTGGGTAGGAGGGCACTGCCGCCACTTCCTGGGCATCCTTCTCCTGGAATGGAGGCACCCCTTGGCGAGGTACAGGCAGGAGCTCAGTAAACTCCGCTAACCATCTTGGTGCTTGCTGCTTCCCAGCATGGAACTGAGCGCAAACGCTGAAGGCGGCTCCTTCCACTTCTCCCTTGGGAAGGGGAAGCCCCCTGAACCACCAATGGGGACCATCCAGTGCACTAACAGTCATCTCCAAATACTTGGATCACACACCCCAGTGGGTAGAATATTTTTGAGGATGTGCTGCGTATCAGGTCAGGGTCTCAGCAGGAGACAGATGCCACTTTTAAATTAGGGTAATACGAGCAGATTTCTTCACAAAGGACTCTTTATAAAGGTGCGAGTGCAGGGGAGCCGGGAGGGACAGTGCAGTAAGCAGGGGCTGGCTGCCGCAGGGCTGTGACCACCACGAGGGGAGGGGGTGCTGAGCCAAATTTGGAAGGAGAGAGTCAACTTGTAAGCAGCTTCCAGGAAAGAGTTGCCTGCAGTGCCCTGCAGGGATGGAGCGGTGGAATCAATTCCCCAACTGCACTTTGCCAGTGTCCTCTGATCTCCCGAGCCTCCCCTTAGCCAAATCCTACCTGACACCTGCGGGCAGGGAGCCCGAGTGATGGGGACCACGCAGGGCAGCCTCAGAGCAGGGTGGAGGAGGTGAAGAACCAAGGGTAAGCAGGAGATACTCAGCGTGTATCCCTAGCAAATGTACACTTATTTATTAGTAAATTCTAAATGTGCAATTGTGCTAATATGTGCATTATAAAGTATACAGAAAAAGGGGCGTTGAAAAGCATGTGGTAAAATAGATAGAAGTGGAAGTTCTATTCCATTTCTTCTGCCCCCAATAGATTCTTTCATGCCCCGTGGGGGTGTATTTTTCCTGCTTTGAGGAACACCATGTTCAAAGGCCAGTGCCCTGAAGGAGCACTCTGGGGTGATGGGAACATTATCTTGATCTGCATGGTGATTATATGAGTGTATACACATGTAAAAGGTGCATGTGGCCGTGTCACACTGCACACCGATCTGGGACCAGTGGGTTCCCTTTTCTTCCATTGTTCATCCAGGAGGTGGGGCTGCCTGTAGCTCCAGGGCTACCTCCCTCACTGTCTTTTCTTCTCACTCCTCTTAGCCCATCCCTACAAGGCTGAAGTGGTCCAGCCCAGAGTGCCTGCCTCCCTGGGGAGGCCCAGCCACCTTGTTCGCTGAGAGTAATCATGAGTCACACGTATATAGCTCTTCGTATGTGCTGGGAGCAGCTCTAAGCACTGAATATGCATTCACTCATTTAATCCTCACAACAGCCTTGTGAACACTGGTATTGTCTTTACTTTCATTTTACAAACAAGGACACTGAAGCACAGAGAGGTCAAGTGACTCACCCAAAGCCACACAGCATGTAGAGGAGAGCCAGGACTTGCCCCAGGACCTGTGCTCCAATCCACATTGTGCAGCTTCTTGTCTTCCCCAGGGCCAGAAAGAAAGTTACACTCAGGGCCTGTTCCCTTGAAGCCGATCTCTTTTTTCTCTGTCATTTTCCCCAAATTCCAGTTCTTTTCCTCTCACATGGCAATTGGTGTGGGACTGAGTCCAGGCCAGGGCTATCTTGGCGGCACTGTGGTAATTAATGAGCAGTGCCCTAGGGCAGGCAGCCTGGGAGGCAGACTCAGGGCCTGGGGCTGCGCCTTTCTCCCGGCCAGCCTGGAGGCGGGAGAGGGAGAGGTTTCTGTTTGCCCAGACAACCCCCAGCAGGCTGGCTTCCTTCTCTCTCTCCCTCCCCACCACCTGCAATGAGTTGCTGCCCCAGCCCATGAGATGCACCATAGCCTTCCAGGCCCAGCAAAACCACACTCCGCCTTGTGAATCTGAGAGCCCGGATTCCCTCACTGCAACTCCGGGAAGGCAGGAACCATATCTGTCTTCCTCAGTGTCACCACCTGACACCTTCCTCAAAGGTGCTTTGGGACACAGCATATACCAATGACTGCTAGACTCTGTGGAGGAACGTTAGAATGTTCTCAAAGGTCTTGACAATGTTCTGTGGGCCTAGTGGGTCACCAGAGTTTCCCAGCAGGTGAGTTTCATGGCCAGAATTCTCCAAGCGTCCTGGGGTGTTTGGGGCTGGCTGGCATCTTCCCTTGCTTTTTTTTTTTTTTTTTTTTTTGAGATAGAGTCTCACTCTGTTGCCCAGGCTAGAGTGCCATGGCACGATCTCAGCTCACTGCAACCTCTGCCTCCCAGGTTCAAGCAATTCTCCTGCCTCAGCCTCCCGGGTAGCTGGGACTATAGTGCACACCACCAAGCCCGGCTAATTTTTGTATTTTTAGTAGAGACGGGGTTTTGCCTTGTTGACCAGACTGGTCTCGAACTCCTGGGCTCAAGTGTTCTGCCTGCCTTGGCCTCTCACAGTGCTGGGATTACAGGCGTGAGCCACCATGCCCGGCAGCATCCTCCCTTCTTTCTGCAGTGTTTGCTGAGAGCTCTAGCAGCCTGATGAGCCCCCTCCCTGTGGGCTGGAAAAGAAAGTGTGGACCCTGGCTCATCAGCAGCATGAGATATGGGATGCAGCAGGGTGACGCTTGAGAGGCCTGCTTCCCCAGCTGCTGGGCACCATTCGTGCCCACCCGGTGGGGGAGAGCCTGCGGGTCATGGGCCTAGCGACAGCCTAGCATCAGAAGGCCCTGAGCAGACTGATCTCCGTCGCCTCACAAGACAGGTCACTTCCCTCCTGAGCTTCCAAGCCTTTACCTGAGCTGTTTTCTTGTCCCTTAAGTCTGTTGGTATTGAAGTCTGGGCGGCCTGACAGCCCTGGCAGGCAGCCCAGAGGCCAGCGCCCCAGGCAGACACTCTCTCTGCCTTATTTATGCAGCTTCGCGGCCGCTGCGATTGGGTGGCATTTGTGAGCACAAAAGAGAAGACTCGGGCATTCAGAAGGCCCTTTCAGCAAAGGGCGCCACAGGCCTGCTGGCTGGAAATTCTCCTGAGATCGGTTGGAGTCTATTTGCAGGCATGCAGGCATTTCTGTTTGCTTCCTGACCCTGGCCTCCTGGGCACTGGGGCGGGGAGGGGCAGGCCTCTGCATTCGGGGACAGGAAGGAGGGGGTTGGCACAGAGGTTTCTGCCAGAGCCTCCCTGCCTGGAGGACCTGGCCTTGTGGTCTTCCCCAGGCCCATGTGCCCTGCTTGCCTGCTCTCTCACCAACAGGGTGATGAGGTGGCATCCACTGGGGTCAGTCCTGTGCCACCTGGCCTCCCCCTCCCTGCCTCTGCAGCCCGCTGAGAAGTGAACAGAAGCTGCTGCAGTGTGGCTGGGAGTCAGCTAGGAAGGGCCAACCCCCTTAACTGGTGCCCCACGTGACTGAGGCTCCTTGGTCACATCATGATCTGTGGTACCCAGATCAAAGGTCCTGCCAGCAGTGCACCAAGCCCTCCTCTTGGCAGGAAGCAGCAGACTAGAGCAAGTGAGGGAGAGTCGAAGCTGGCGGGGGGGTTTTCCCAGACAACAGCCTGTCCCGTGCTGCTCCCTGCCAGCCCCAAATCAGGAGTCCCCCCACCCCCGCACCACCGTGTTTCTAGTCCTGAGAGTGATGGGCTGGGGGATGGAGCCTCTGAAAATTCCACGAAGGTATGGTGCCCGGTCCAGGCATGCCCTGTGGCCGTCTGTTGTTGATTTTTAAATCTGTTCACCCGGGAGTCCTAGTTCAGCTCAGCAGACAGCAGTATTTGCTTATTAATTTGTTTATTGATTTACTGGGCTGTACTTGGGGCTTCTCCCGGGAAGGACTCCAGACGCGCTGTGCCGCCCAGCATCCAGCCATCCGTCAGACTCAGGTTTGAGCTTAAGATGCCACAAGGCCTGCAGCGGGCAGACCTAGAGACAGTGCAAAACTCCCGGAGGATGGACTGGGCCATGGGGCACTGGAGAGACTGAGGGCAGTCGGGGAGGAGGGAGGCTGCCTGCAGCAGCTGCAGGACACAGGCACGCGGTACCGTGTGGGAATGGCGCCCCTGGAGTTGTGCAACTGGGCACTCCTGGTTTGGGCCTCTCCCTATAGAGCAAGGGTAACAGATGTCTTCTCAGGAGAGGCCCTTCTCTGTCTCAGATCGTATTTAAGAGGCCTCCTTCCAGAGGCAGGGGATGGAGGAGAAAACCAGTCCAAGGTCTTCGGTGCCCCAGAGGCTCAGATTCATGTCTTCGGATGGGTTTTCCAACGTGCCAGGATTAAGTAAGGCGAGGGGTGTTTCTAGCAACAATTCTCTCAGCTCTTGCATAATAATGCTACATTTTTTTTAAAAACCTCTGAGGACACGTCTGTGGCTTTGTCGCCTTTCTGAGGCATATGCTGACTACAGATTGTGGCAGCAGGATGGAGGGGAGGGGAGGAGAAGCGAGAGGAGGCCGCAGTGTCAGAACAGAATTCTGTCACGGATGTAGAAAGAGCCTTGCCTGAGGACTTGTAAGAGCGAGGTGGCTATGAATGTGGACTTGGCATGAGGCAGACCTGGCGTGAATCCTGGCTCCCTCATTTATGAGCTGGGCAATCTCAGGCAAGTTACTTACCCTTTCTGTGCTTCATCTCATCCATAAAGTGAGAGTCAGCTTGTCAGCCTCATAGGACTGATGTGAGGGTTATAGACGAGACAATGTAAGAAACACATTAGTATATAATTAGTTGCTACCTCCTTATCACACATGTAAGATGGGTGATGTGATGCTTCCTGACGGAACTCTCATCCCTGAAATGAAAAGAGGGCCATGTCTGAGTAAACCCAAGGCTTCCCTTTTCAGATCCGCCTTTCTCTTTGGCTGCTCTGGACTTCCCTGGGCCTCCCTGGTGCTGTTATGTTTCCCTTTCCCTCCATGTCCAATATTAAAACCTCCTGATAGGTCTACAAGCCAGCATGGATGAACAGGAGGCCTTGGAGGATGCTGGGTGTGGACATGGGTGCTCAGGTCAGGAGAGGGAAGGGGCGGTGGGTGCCCTCAAACCCCGCTGCCTTGTGAGAGTGGAGCATGCAGGCTGAGGAGTCCCACTGCCCAGGCTCCACTCCTAGCCCTGCTGGGCACTGCCGTGCATCCTTGAGCAAGCAGCCTAATCTCCCTGTGCCTGGTTTCTGTATCTGTGTAAGGAGGCTATGATAGTACTGCACTTAGCTCGGAGGGTCGTGAGGGTAAGCCAGCTAATGCGTGTTACACACTTAAAATATGAAGCACCCAGTATAGTTCCAAGTCCTCCCCAACATCTGCCATCATTCCTACCCCCTCCCTGAGCACACCACACTCTAGCCATGTCCAGTCGTGGCCTCTTTGCCTTTGCACTTGCTGTTCCTTACCCAGGAACGTTCTTCCTCCCAACCTGTCTAAGTCTTTCTCATCATTCAGAGCTTTGTTCCACTCACTTTGGAAAAATCTTTCTCAGTCCCTTGGGATAAAATTTACCCCCCCCCCCCCCGCCGAACTCCCCAACTCTCTGCATGTATCTATCTCAGTTATAGCACTGTCTTCCCTTTCCCTCCACCTCCCACCAAAGGCCTCCCCATTCTTCGGGACTTGATGTAGATATCACTCCCTCCAGGAAGTCTTCCTAGATCCCCTCCCACTGTTCCCTCCCCTGCGTTTCCTCCCACAATACTCTGTGTCTACACATCCTCACCACACTCTGATGGATGGGTTGGTCTCTTTCTTTGTGTGCCTCCCCCAGCGGATTGTGAGCTTCTAGTGATGCGTCTGTATCAGTTAGCTTTAGCATGAGCTGTAGGTCATGAGTAGTACAACTCCAAATATTGGCTCATGCAATTTAGCAGTTTTATTCTTCTTTCGAAAGTCTGCAGTCTGGGGCTGGTTGGTGGCTTGGTTTGATATGGTCCTCTGAGGCCCAGACTCCTATTGTCTTGTTGTTCTGTGAGGGGTGACTTCCGTCTCCTCACAGTCCAATGTGGCTGCTTTAATTTCAGCCATTTCATCTACTTTTCAGTCACCTGGGGGAAGAGTGAGTGCCAGCCATCCCTTAAGGAGTTTCAGAAGCTAGCACTTGACACTTCGCACTGTATTGGTCTGAATTTAGTGAAAGGGCTATGTCTAGCTGCAAGAGAGGCTGAGAAATCTAGTCTTTATTCTGTATGGCTATGTGCCTGGCCAAGAATTCCAGGAATAGGGAAGAAGGGGAGAGTGGAATGGGGGCAACCAGTAGTCTCTGCCATAGGGCCCTTGCCGCATTCATCCCTATGTTGTGCCCAAGCCACCCCATAGCACATTACCTGGCACATAGTAAACACTCCATGTTTGCAGAAAGAAAGGCCTGTATTGACAGTTATAGCACATGCGTTTGCCTCCTTGACTGGAGTAGGTGTGTGGCGGCTGCTGATTGATCCATGTGTTCGCCTCCCCAGTTCACTCATTCAACAAATATTTGTGCTTCCTATGCACTGGATGTTGTTCTAGATACAGGGATGAAGCCATGAATAAAAGAGGTAGAAGTCTGTACCCTGGGGCTCACATTCCAGTGGCTTCTATAGTGATAGCAAGCACTGCTCGGCCAGGTGAGGTGGCTCACGCCTGTAATCCCAGCACTTTGGGAGGCTGAGGCAGGCAGATCACCGGAGGTCAGGAGTTCGAGACCAGGCTGGCCGACATGACGAAACCCTGTCTCTACTAAAAATACAAAAATTAGCTGGGCGTGGTGGTGGGCACCTGTAATCCCAGCTACTTGGGAGGCTGAGGCAGGAGAATTGCTTGATCCCGGGAGGTGGAGGTTGCAGTGAGTTGAGATCGTGCCATTGCACTCCAGCCTAGGCAACAGAGTGAGACTCGGTCTCAAAAAAAAAAAAAAAAAAAAGCAAGCACTCTTCGCAGTACTTTCTTTCTTCATTAAAAAAAACAAATTGAAACAGGATCTTTCTCTGTTCCCCAGGCTGGAGTGCAGTGGTGCAATCCCAACTCACTGCAACCTTAACCCTCAAGGCTCAAGCGATCCTCCTGCCTCAGCCTCTCGAGTAGCTGGGACCACAGGTGTGCACCACCACACCCGGCTAATTTTTTGATTTTTTTTTTTTTTTTGAGACGGAGTCTTGCTCTGTCGCCCAGGCTGGAGTGCAATGGCGTGATCTCAGCTCACTGCAACCTCTACCTCCCGGGTTCAAGCAATTCTTCTGCCTCAGCCTCCCAAGTATCTGGTACTACAGGCATGTGCCACCACACCCGGCTAATTTTTTGTATTTTTAGTAGAGATGGGGTTTCACCGTGTTAGCCAAGATGGTCTCGATCTTCCGATCTCGTGATCTGCCCGCCTCGGCCTCCCAAAGTGCTGGGATTACAGGCGTGAGCCACTGTGCCCAGCCAATTTTTTTATTTTTTGTAGACATGAAGGTCTCGCCCTCATCTCCACAGGTTGCCCAGGCTGGTCTCGAACTCCTGGGCTCAAGTGATGCTACCGCCTCGGCATCCCAAAGTGCTGGTGTGAACCTTACAGGTGTGAGCCACCGCGCCTGATCCAAATTGCTTCTGAGGACTAACTCGTGCAAGCTGGGTCCCCACATTAGTCACCTCTGTCTTACAGGCGAGGAAACTGAGGTACAGAAAGGTCAAATGACTCACTATGGTCGCACGGCTTATGTGAGGCAGAGCTGGGTTTGACCTGGGTGGTCTGCTGGAGAGCCCACCACTGCCTCTAGCACCCTTGCGCTCCAGTGCCCTCGCTGCACACCTTGCCCTGTGCCCTGCTTTCCTCAGTTAACAGAACCACAGATATTTCCCGTAGTTTCTGTCATCACCATCTGTGGTGGCTCCACAGGGAAGGGCGAAGCAGAGCAGCTGCAGTCTGCAGTAAATGGGGGGAAAGGAGGGGCTTGTGGTTTCCTTGTGGGGTCAATAAGGATTTGTGGGCACTTGCCTGGGTGGGGCCTTTGGTGAATGGAGCCGGGGCCCTCCTGGCCTGGCTATGTTCTCACTGCCCCTCTTTGATTCTCCCCCTGGGGCCTGCCTGCCTCCTCAGGCCCTCTCCGAAGTCCAAAGGGAGGCTGCAGGGCCTCGAGCCCTCCCCACCTCCCTTGTCTTGTCCTGTGACTGACTTCCAGACCTCAGAGATGTCTTTCCACCTCAGCCAGGGGAGGCGTGAGGGTCCCCCACCCACACCCCGTGGAACACATTTGTCTTCCCAAATCTTTTCCCAGCCCCAGGGAAAGGGAAAAAAAAGAGAAGGGGGAAGAAGAGAGCTCTGGGGGAAGGAAAGCTCACCAAAAATGAGATGCTGGGGCTCACGTCTCTGCTACTTCCTGACACCTCACCTTTCCCCAGTGGCCTGCTGTTGTCCTTCAGGGGAGTGGGGCTGCCCCGCACACCTGCTCCATTACTGGGAACGTTACATTGCACAGGGGAGGACGCTGGGGCTTGAGGAGGGCGGGTCCCTGGCTCCACTGGCTAGTCAGTGGAAGGGTAGAGATTAAAATTCTGCCCCTGGTGTGGTGGGTGGGGAAGGAGCAGAACACGGCTGCCTATTTTGCAGATGGGCACATTGAGGGCTAGACATTTAGTTAAGTGACCCTGCCCATAAACCACAGGTTGCACAATGAGTCAGGAATGGAACTTGTGTGTGGGGGACTCTCAGTCCACAGTGGGCCTTTCTGATTTCACCTCTGGCCCCACAAGTTTGGTTTCTGAGACCCCAAGGATCTTAAAGCACCTAAGGTAAACCTGTGGACTTCAGTAAGTGCTTGTGGCCAGGATGGTTCCTGGCAAGCATCGTGTGAAATGCTGTGGAGGACAAAAAAAGAAAGGGCTGGGTGCGGTGGCTCATGCCTGTAATCTCAGCACTTTGGGAGGCTGAGGCAGGTGGATCACAAGGTCAGGAGTTCGAGACTAGCCTGGCCAACATGGAGAAATCTTGTCTCTACTAAAAATACAAAAATTAGCCGGGCATGGTGGCGGGCACCTGTAATCCCAGCTAGTCGGGAGGCCGAGGCAGGAGAATTTCTTGAACCTGGGAGGAAGAGGTTGCAGTGAGCCGAGATTGCGCCACTGCACTCCAGCTTGGGTGACAGAGCAAGACTCTGTCTTGGAAAAAGAAAAAAGAAAAAAGAAAGTCAGATGTGATTCTCATTGATGGTGGTGATGGTGTGTTTCCAATCAGGTTGGTGAGATGAGTACTTGGAAATAGGAAACTCTTCGAACACTGACTATTTCAATATGTGGTAATGCCCCTGAGTGCCTTGAGAGCTGGGATGGATCAGAGCAGTTAAGAAAGCTTCCTGGAGGAGGAGGATTTGAGCTGGACCTTAAGAAGTGCTAGGAACTAAACTCATATCTGGAGGATGAAGATTGGGGGGAGCGTGGGAATGGCAGCTTGAGTCAAGGCACAGAGGTAGGTCTGAGGTGGTGTGTGCCAAGTACGATGCAGAGCTTGGCGTGATTGGGGTGGCCTTGCTGGAGAGGAGTGGGTAATGACTCTGGAGAGGAAATGAGGGGTCAGATGGTGGAGGAGTTTGGTAGAGCAGTAGAGGCATTTAGACTTAGTTCTGTAGTCCAGGGAAGACTGACATTCAGTGTGGGCGGCTGCAATCTCTGCTCCTTCATTCATGGCAGACATGGATCATTGATCACTGCACGCTCCCTGCTGAACCCACACAAGGCCTCAGAGATCTGTTCCACCCAGAGCTCCAGGCAGTCCCCACCTATGGTCTGCCGTTGAGAGGAAACATCATTGTTGTGGGTAATTGGGAGCCACTGCATGTTCTTGAGCAGGAGAATGGGTGTCAGAACAGGTTTTGTGTTCCTGGATCCTGGGTGAACTGCTTGTCTTGATCCCACCAACCTTGACTCAGTTGCATTGGGGGATGGGCCCTCTGAAGACCCCAGGGCAGTGGGGTCTCTGACTTCACCCTGTAAACTCACCTAGTCCAGACCTGTCCCCCTAGGGAGAGGGCCCAGCTTTCTCATCGCAGAAACCGGGCAGAGGCCGGGGGTGGTGGCTCAAGCCTGTACTTCCAGCACTTTGGGAGGCCAAGGTCAGGAGTTTGAGACCAGCCTGGCCAACATGGCAAAACCCTGTCTCTACTAAAAATACAAAAATTGGCTGGGAGTGATTGTGCGTGTCTGTAATCCAAGCTACTCAGGAGGCTGAGGCAGGAGAATCATCTGAACCCGGGAGGTAGAGGTTGCAGTGAGCCGAGATCACGCCACTGCCCCCTAGCCTGGGCAACACAGTGAGAGTCCGTCTCAAAAAAAAAAAAAAAAAAAAGAAACTGAGCAGAGACAGAAGTGGTCACGCCACTCAGGCAAGATTAAATTCTGAATGAGAACCTGGTTGGCTGCCTTCCTGTTGAGGGGAAGAGGAGGCCAGGGTTGGGTGGGCACCGCCACCAATCCAGATTCTAATTTAGTGAGTTTAAATGCACCTTTAAAATGCATACAGGCCCAAACAAAACTCATCTGTCATGGTTTTCAGGGTGAGAAAGATCCATCTATCCACCACCGATATGTATCTGAGTGTGTGTGTGGGGATGTGTGTGTGTGTGTGTGTGTGTGTGTGTGTGTGTATATATATATATTTTAAACGTATATTTTTTTCTTCCCCCAAAGTAAGTATCAATTCTCAGTGACTGTAAACAGGCCATATGAATGGTCTCAGGCATCCCAACTTCTGATTTCAACCATGCAGATAGGACTCTGAAATGACATTCCGCTATGGTTTGGGGCTGGTTCGTCATTGCTGATGTGTGTGTGTATGTGTGTATGTATGTGTGTGTGTGTGTGTGTGTTCTTGTGTGCGTGTTGGAATGGGTCAGTGAGAGGCACAGGTACCGGAAAGGTGGAAATAAAAATGGAGTCTTTCCACCTTCTGGGAGCTGCCATGGCCACAGAGTGAATGTGTGCGTCAGTTGTGGGTCTTGGAGGCTGGCCAGGGGAGAGGGAGCTTCGACTTGCCTGGAGTAGGGAGCTGCAGGGACCCCGCTTTGCAGGCCCCTGGACCCGCACCCCCCCTCCATACTGCAGCTTTGTCCCACCTGGGGAGGCTTGTTGCTAATCCCGCTGCCTGGTGAGTGCTAGGTCCGTGAGCGGCTGAGAGATATGTTTATTTCCTTTTAATATTGTTCAGGGTTCAATTTACCCAGTGGCATGTGAATAAATAAATAAGAAAACCAGACCTTTGACGGGGGAAATATGGAGCTTTCCTCCTATATTTCTGAGTAATATCTCAAAACTTTTGTGACTCATGAGGGCCCGCAGTGTTTGGCTAAGGAAAAGAAAAGAAAACATGGAAAAGAAAAACATCTCGTTTCCTATATTTGTCAACAGTTTTATAGCAAGTGGAGAATATTCCATATAATGTGGCCCCATGTACCATCTGTGCCGACACCAGGTTCCCCGAGGTCTGTGGCTGTGTCTGAACTCAGGGAAGTATAACCTGTATAATTGTATCTCTGTAAAGGGGACTGTTTTCTACTGCCCAGAACCCATTACCCACCAAATCTCCTGACACTAATCTCCTAGGCCTCGAAGATCTAGGCGTGGGGGTGGGGAGTTATTGCACAAAAATCTTTCAAATGCTCTGGCTCAGAACATCGCAGCAGTTAAGAAAAGAAAAAAAAAGGCAAATGAGGGAGAAGCTGTTACAGGCGAATGAGGTAGTCGGAGGCAAGAGCAGTGAGGTGAGGATGACAACTATACATTTGTCATCTGTGTACCTGTAAGACTTTGCTGAGACCCTACTGTGTGCAAGGCATTGAGCAAGGCATGAGGAGAGCAGAGCAGATAGCAATAACAGCAGCAACAATGCCATCATGGTAATAGTCATAATAAAGTGGCTACCTCCTAGGTACTTACTAGGAGCTGGTCGCGGTGCTAGACTGAGTGGCTCAGAGTTGAGCGGCTGAGCTTCTTGTTCTCAGGGAGTTTGCAATCTGGTGGAGGAGGAGGGATTGGGCTCAAGCGCCTGCTGAAAAATCCAAGGAGAGTTCTGGTCTTGAAGGATAGTTTAGACAACCTCAATTAGGGAATTTTTAGAAATTTTGAAATTCAGATTCTGATGAATGCTTGCAATTTCAACACTGTCTTTCTAAGGGACTAAGGGCCAAAGTGACCAGGAACACTGATAATTTAGGCTTTCATGGGGTAATCTGCCAAATTTATCACAGATGGGATGGGCAAAGGAGTGAGGAGAGGAGGGGGCTGGGGAAATATGACTGGGTGAAAAGGGGACATTCAGAGCTCAGAGAAAGGCGGGGGCAGGAAGAGAAGGGGGTGAGGAGACATCTGACCATGTGGCTGTGAAATGAATCAGGCCTGTGGCATGCAGATAACAGAGCTGGGGGATCCCAAGTCCCCCAGCCCAGGGTGCAGTTTTGGGAAAGGAACAGATGGGGGCAGTTGGCTGGCCAGGAGGCGGGTGCAGTGTTAACTGAGGTCTTCTGCATCCTGAAAGGAATCAGTGAAGGTGACTGAGAGTGAAATTGCTCCTTCAGTTGCAGGACAGAGTTTGAGGATGTGCTTCCCAAGGAGGGAGCAGGGAGAGGCAGGGGTCTGAGTGGAAACCAAGCGGTGGGTGGTGGGTGGAGGGAGATGGCGGGGAAATGCTGTCCTCAGGGGGCTCCCTGTCTCAGGCCTGAGTGGTGGATGACAATGAAGAGCCAGTTGGGGAGCTGTCCACACCTCGGGTGCTGAGATGAATTCCTAGAAATAGCCCTTTCTGGTCCATAGAAGTTGAGATCCTCCTACACAGTGGTTCTCAAAGCGCAGTCCCTGGGCCAGCAGCATCAGAACCAGCTAGAAACCTGCTAAAAATGCAAATTCTCAGGCCCACCCCAGGTTTACTGAATCAGAATCTGTGTGGCAGGTGGGGGGAGGTGGTGCACAGCAATCTTTTTTTGTTTTTTGGGTTTTTTTTTGAGACAGAGTCTTGCTCTGTCACAGGCTGGAGTACAGTGACATGATCTCTGCTCACTGCAACCTCCGCCTCCGGGGTTCAAGCAATTCTCCTGTCTCAGCCTCCCGAGTAGCTGGGACTACAGGTGCGCACCACCACGCCCGTCTAATTTTTGTATTTTTAGTAGAGACGGGGTTTCACCATATTGGTCAGGCTGGTCTTGAACTCCTGACCTCAGGTGATCTGCCCGCCTTGGCCTCCCAAAGTGCTGGGATTACAGGTGTGAGCCACCGTGCCCGGCCAGCAATCTGTTTTTAACAAGCCCTTCAGGAGATTCTGATGCCACTCACTTTGGAGAGCCACTGTTCTCAATAGCTCTTCCTGTCCCCAATCCCAGGGCCCCAGTCCTTCCTCTGCAGTGCACACCCTGCTCTGCCAGGCACTCAACCCCTGCTTCTGAAAGCACCAGAAGTTCGTTTTCTCATCCATGCTGAGCTCCACGAGGGAGGGCAATATCTTACTCAACTCTAAACTGCAAGTGCCCAGCACAGACCCTGGCACACAGTAGGTATGCAGGAAATCTTGTTAATAAGCAGATGGAAGGATGGATGGATGAATGCTAGAGCGGCAGCCAATGTGGTCTTTTAAAAACATAAATGAAATCAGGTCACTTTCTGGCTTAAAACTCTCCAAAGTCTCCCAGCATCTTTAGAATGAAATCCAACTCCTTATTATGGCTGATGGCCCTTGGCCTGGACCTTGTGGCCTCGTCACTCTAATTTATCCTGCTGTCCCCCTCAGCTGCTGTTCTTTGTCTCCCAAATACCCCCAAGTTCATTCCCGCCTCAAGCCTTTGCACACTGTACCCTCTTCCTGGAGTGCTCTTTACTCATATTGCCACACAATGGGCTTTTCTCCCTTTTCTCAGGGCTTGACACCTCTTCATAGAGGCCTTCCCTGACTACCCACCTAAAGCATCACCTCCCACCCTGTTCTATTGCCCTGTTGGTTGGGTCAGTTGTTTTCCTCTTCATGGCATGAGTACAGGTGCCAAAAGTGTACTGGGAGGGATGTCCCCCATTTCCATATGTCCCTCCCAATGTCCTTCCACAGAAAAGAAAAATAACCCTTCATATACACAACTGACATTGCCTCAATTTTTGAAAACCTTCCTGTATTTGGATTTTAAGTAGAATCATTGTGTGTACTTAGCAGACTCAGCTTTAAGATGAACTCCCTTCTAATCATCTCGTTGCCTCCGAGTCCCCTTTGGATAGGACTACTGGAACCGTCATGGACCAAGCCCCCTTAATCCTACCATGGTGGGAGTTATGGACCTGGGGTGAGAGATATTGGCCACTTGGAGAGGAAACCAGTTATGGGCCAAGACTAACATGTTCAGAGAAATGAGGGAAGGATGAGTGCTTTGAGACTGGAGTGCAAGTTGCATTCTGGTTAATCAGAGAAGGCATTTACAATGCACTAGGAAGATTTTGAAGGGATGAAGACAACTAAGATAACCATAATAATAGTTATCCTGTATAGTGCTTGACTCCATGCCAAGCACTGTTCTAAAAGCTTTGCTCATATTCATTTAATCATAAGAACCCTCTGAGATGGGTTCTGTTTTCACCCTCATTTTACAGGCATGGAAACTGAGGCACAGAGAGGTGAAGTAGCCTCTGCAAAGCTCCCCACTAGTAAGAGGTTGAGGCAGGATTCCAACCCAGGAAATCTGGTTTGACTCTTCCCCATCACCCTCTACGGCTTCTCGGATAAAGACATCAGCAGTACCCTAAGGTCTTTTCAGTTTCCCAAGCCTGTCCCCATACTCCAGCTGGCTCTCAGTGCCTCTGAGGTGGCCAGGGTAGGCGTTTCATCTCCGTTTCCTTTTTTTTGTTTTGTTTTGAGATGGAGTCTTGCTCTGTTGCCCAGGCTGGAGTGCAGTGGCATAATATCAGCTCACCGCAACCTCCGCCTCCTGGGTTCGAGTGATTCTCCTGCCTCAGCCTCCCAAGTAGCTGGGATTACAGGCACCTGCCACCACGTCCGGCTAATTTTTGTATTTTTAGTAGAGACAGGGTTTCATCATCTTGGCCAGGCTGGTCTTGAACTCCTGACCTTGTGATTCACCCACCTCGGCCTCCCAAAGTGCTGGGATTACAGGCATGAGCCACCGCGCCCAGCTCATCTCCGTTTTCTAGGTGAGGGTGCCAAAGCTGGTTAAGCAAACCACCCGAGGCTCCACAAAGAGGAAGAGGCAGAGTAGGGCACAAAGCCCTGCCACCAAGCCTGCCTGCCTGTAGGAAAGCCTTCGGGGTCCCTGTGCCCCAACCATAGAACCCGTGCCCTGGCCGCAGGAAAATAGAGGACATTTGGGGAATGACAGTGAAAAGCCGGCAGGCAGGCGGCGTCCTGCTGCTCTCCCCCAGCCCACTCTCTCCCAGCCGTAAGATATATATAGTGCCAATGGAGAAACAACACGATTCGGGTGTTTGTCTGTAGCCCCTTCTGCAGATCCATCACAGAGCAGTGCTTGGTGCAAGATTTTGCAAACAGCTTGAGATTACTGAATTAATTAGAATAAAATTAATCAAAACACCCACCACAAAGGAACCTGAGCGTGTGGAGTGTGACTTGGGTGAGGGAGGAGGCACAGCAGAGAGAGGGCATGGCAGGCTGGACTGGCTTCCTGCCTGGAGCCTGCTGGGGCAGGCCAAAAGCCTGAGGGGTGGGACCCAGATTCCTGCCCGCACTCCCACATGTTCCCCAGCCCCCGAGTCTGCACACTGGGTCTCTGTCCAGGCAGTACATTCTGTGGAGACTGAGCTTGGATCCTGGTGGGTGTTGGGCTGAGCCTTTAAGGAGGTGATGAATGGGAGGGGGGTCACCTGGCAGACAGTGCAACAGATTAGAGATCAGAAGACCCAGAACTCTGAGCATCATTATCCAGTTTTCCAGGATGGATAGTTTTGACTTTACTCACCTGCTTGTCCTTGTAAGTTGTACAAAACAGACCAGACATAAAGAGCATGAATCCCGGGCTAGACTGCCTGGGTTCAAAGCTTGGCTCTACTGCCTGCGAGCTATGTGACCTCAAGCACTGACTAGCTGTGTACTCTCTCCGAGTCCTGGTTTCCTCATTTGTCAAATGCAGGTGCTAATAGCACTTCCCTTATGAAAACTGGTATACAGCAGTTGCTATAAAGGTACAAGCTGTTATCATCACATCTAACCAGTCAAGGGGCCTTGTCCGTCTTCCTTCAACTTGTCTTCACATTTCCTTTTCCTTCCTGCTGCCGCTGTCTCAGTCAGGCCTTCATCACTCCATTCCTTCATCCCATAAACATTTATTTATTTATTTATTTATTTATTTATTTATTTATTTATTTACTGAGACGCAGTCTCGCTCTGTCACCCAGGCTGGAGTGCAGTGGCGCGATCTCGGCTCACTGCAAACTCCGCCTCCGGGGTTCACACCATTCTCCTGCCTCAGCCTCCCGAGTAGCTGGGACTACAGGTGCCCGCCACCAAGCCCGGCTAATTTTTTGTATTTTTAGTAGAGACGGGGTTTCACCATGTTAGCCAGGATGGTCTTGATCTCTTGACCTCGTGATCCGCCCACCTTGGCCTCCCAAAGTGCTGGGATTACAGGCATGAGCCACCGCGCCCAGCCCCATAAACATTTATTAAGCTCCCACGATGTGCCTGACACTAGACCAGAGCTTGGGGATGAAAAGCTAAAACCCAGCCCCTGCCTTTGCGGGGATCAGAGTTCAGGGGATGCTTCACAGAGAGCTTTGAGTCGCAGTTCTTGGGGCATGCAAGTCTGGGAAAGGCATTCCAAGCAGGGGGAACGGCATGTACAAAGCATTGCCACCAGAGTGAGTATCCTAAAACCTGAATTTGATCAAGTCACGTAAGTTATGTCCTGGTTCAAGAACCTGGAATCAGCCCTGTTAGCTCACTGTAGTCAATATTGTAGTCAATATAAAGCCCTTTGCTTGGGTTTCAGGCCTCCCAAAATCTGCCTTCCAACACCCTCCTTCAACTGGGGGGCTTAGTGCCAATCTCCTCTCCTGTAAAATGATAGAGTTATCATGGAACTTAAATGGTTATGTGTATACAGCAGGTGCTTGGTAAGTGAGCCCCTCCTCCCCTGCCAACACTCACTAAGGCTGCTTGGTCTGGTTCTCTTTGTTTCAAGTTGTGCAGGAGGCAGCCCCACGCAGAGTTTAGAGCGCTGGTCCTGGAGTGGACAGAGTGATTTCTCATCCTGGCTTTTCCTCCAATGCAGGACTCCTGTGCCTTTTCCAAGGGATCCTCCCTTTATTTCTGCATCTGCAAAACGAAATGTGGAATTTCTCAATAGGGTACTGTGGACAAGTTGGGGGAAGGAATATCCCATGCAGGGTACAACAATTTAGCATCCCAGCAGCCCCACCTCTCCCAAACATCCCAGCAGCCCCACCTCTCCCAAACATCGAGGCAACCACCCCTCGTATTTCCAGCCCCACCCTCCCTGCCCCTTTCATGATCCTTTCCAGCTCTTACCTTCTAGCAATCGCCGACTCCTTGATTCTCGGTCTAATGCCTCCAGGGGACTCTGCTTTGTGCAACCCCTAACCCCTAAACTAGAGGAGTTTGGGGCATACATAAGGCAGGAAGCAGGAAGCCAGTGGATAGACTCCTGGTGGGAGCAGGGAGAGCCCAGGTTCACATTTGGCTCTGCCACTTACCACTGGCTGTGTGACTCTAGGAAAGCTACTTAACCTCTCCGAGCTCCAACACTAGGCTCACCTGTAAAATGAGTGGTGATGGTAAAAGTACCCACCTCATAGTGCTATGGTGAAGGTTAAATAAGATAATAAATGTAAAGCACAGACCCTAGTATGTCATGAAATAATAAAAGGTTTGTTGGTTCTTCCTGGGCAAAATTGAACTCTCTCAATTTTCTCATCAAATAAGGATAATAGTGCTACCCCCCCAGGAATGTAGTGAGACCAAAGTCGATGATGCACACCCATGCCTGGCATGCAGTTGGGTCTCAGCGCAGCACATAACCGGGGGGAGTGTAAATGATTCAGCACCTTGGGAGGTCCGTTTGTCATATCTTTTAAAATTACAAATGTGCATTCCTCTTGTCCCAATAATTCTATCTCTAGCTATTTTTCCTATAGTTTTATTTCCAAGTGTGTAAAATAACTTATGTACAAGATTTATATTAGTACATGATTGGAAATAACTCAAATTTCCATTCACTGAGAACTAGTTAAACCAATTATGGGACATAAATACACTGGAATACTATATAGCTTTAAAAAGGAATTAGGAAGTTCTTTCTGTACCCACACAGAAAGATCTCCAAGACACTTTGTTCTAGAGAAAAAGAAGAATGTGTTTGGAATGACTGCATTTATGTGCCTGTCTGTGCATAGAGTATCTCTGGAAGGACTCATAGCAGATCAGTGACAGCAGCTGTTGTCTTCAGAGAGGGAAGCTGGGGCACAGGAAAAGAGGAAGGCTTTTGTGGATTTGGAACCATGTGCATATAAAAGCTACTGATATGTATAAAGCCAGGAACTGTAATAAGGCCAGGTCTGAAGTGAGCTCTCTGCGCTGAGGGGATGATGTGAGGCTTGGCTCCCCAAGTCTCAGGCATATGGCCTGTTGCTCTTGCCATCAGCACACACTTGCAGGGGCTGAGAGTGGGGCTCAGCTGGGGACCAGGAAGTGCTGTACCCCTTTGGGGCAGGCAGCAGCTCGGTCCAACCCTGGCACGTTGGGAGGCCACTTTCCCTCAAGGGTTTCCACATGTTTGCACGTAAACTGCGGCTGTGGTACCAAGTGCCTGACTGCTCTGCCTGGGACCATGCCACCCAAGGGTTCTATGAGTGTGACTGGAAAAGGAGAAAATATCACAGATGGCCCTAGCCCTGTGCCTCTGCTCTCTGCCTGGAGCAAAGGAGCTGCTGCTGTACCTCTGAAGGAATGAGGTTTCCATTTCTGAAGCAGGATCCAGCCCCTCAGAGGGAAAAGAGGGAGACAGATGGAGATGTAGAGTCTGTGGCATCAGACAGACATGGCTTCAAATCCCAGCTGGGCCACTCACCTGCCATGTGGTCTTGGGCAAGGCATTTACCCTCCATTGGCCTCAGTTTCCACATCTGTAACATGGGCACAATCACACTCACTTCTCAGGTGGTTGTGAAGAGCGAAGGTAGGCTAGACACAGTGGTTCATCCCTGTAATCCCAGCACTTTGGAGGCCGAGGCAGGAGGATTACTTGAGGCCAGGAGTTCGAGAACAACCTGAGCAACATAGTAACACCCCACCTCTACAAAAAATTGTAGCCAAACGTGGTGGCTCATGTCTAGTTCTAGCTACTTGAGGGGCTGAGGTGGAAGGATCTCTTGAGTCCAGGAATTGAAGGCTGTAGTGAGCTGTGACTGCATCACTGCACTCCAGCCTGGGTGACAAAGTGAGATGCTGTCTCGGAAAAAAAAGAAAAAGAAAAAGAAGAACAAAGGTACATTTGTGAAGTGCATTAGCACAGAGTAATAACCGAGGGAAGGATTTGGGTGCAAGCAGTTTATTGGAGAGTGATCCTGAGGAGCACTGGGTGGGGAAGGCAGGGGCAGGAGGGAAGACAATGAAAGGTGTGTGAATGAGCAGTTAGCCTCCTGGGTACAGGGCTCAATCCTGCTGAACCTCTGCGAGGCTGTGCAGAACAAGCCTCAGAGCTATCTCAGAGGGACCACTGGGGTATTTATATGCCAACTCCCTACAGTCATCAGGTTGAGGGCTGCTCTGAGCCATTTACACTCCTTGCACTTTCAGCCTGCGTGGAGCTCAGGGCAAGGACACTGGAGTGATGGGGTAGGGGTGTGGAATCAAAGAAACCTATCAGGCAGGGCACAGAACCACAGGTGCTTGGAGTCCAAGAGCCAGGCATGGGACTAGTGAGTGCCAGGGGTGTAAAGACGGAGCACTGATATCCCTGCCACAAGTTCTTTGACATGTGCCAGGCACTGTTTTAAGCCCTTTAAAAATGTTAACTCACTTAATTCTTACTACAACACAATGAGGTGAATGAAGACAGAGACATAGAAAAGTGGAGAAACTTGCCCAAGTTTACCCACCTAGAAGAAGGAGTCGAGATTTTAACCAAGGAAGTCTGGTTTATTGGGTCTAACGGGACTTAGAGACCATGTAGGTCAATACCTTCATTTCATGGTGAGGAAATCAAAGACCAGAGAGGGCAAGCAATTTATCTAAAGTCACACAGCTAGCTAGCGACAGGACTAGGACTTGAACTTAGATCTCTGTTCCTTCCTTGACACGCCCCCTGCTTAGCCTTAGCCTTTTCTCCTCTGGGTTGCCAGACTCAGGTGGGGCTGGGGTGTGGGAGGTGGCTTTCTGCAGAGCACTGGGTGCTGCAGTGCGGAAGCCAGGAGGCCATTAATCGGCCGGGAAGGCGGGCATAGCACAATCAGATTATGATCTTTAAGATGCATGCTTTGAATCTCAAAATCAGCAAAAGAATCAGGCCCCAGAGGAGGCGTGTGTCGTCTGTCCCTGCTTTTTAACCCCAGGCTGGCATCAAAGAGGAAAAGATGAGCTGGGCTCACTAGGGTGTGAAATTTCCTTTTTGTCTCCTGGGGTGGGGAGGGAGAGATGAGAAATTGCGCTGCATCTCATGTGTAATTATAGGCTCTAGAATTTCTTGAGGATTATGTTGCTCAAAGAGACTCAGTGGGCTCTGTGTGGTATTGCTGGGCCCCGGTGGACATGCCTCTCAGTAAACTAAGGGAGACTAGGAGCGGTGTGTGTGTGTGTGTGTGTGTGTGTGTGTGTGTGTGCGCGCGCGCATGTGTGTGGACGAATGCAAGGAGAAAGCACAACTGACAAAATGTAAATTAACTCTTGCAGCTTCATATTTTTCAGAAAAATCAGAGCAGGGGCTGGCTGTCTTCACCCAGAGATAAACTTCTAGAATCTTTGCCCTTGAGTTACCAAGAGGTGTCCTTGCCAGACTCTTGGCATGTTGCTGCGGACATGTCTGGCGAGACAAAGGTGACCGACTTGTTCCCGTTTTCTAGGTACTGCCCAGTTTTAGCAATGAAAGTCCCACGTCACGGGAAACCTCTGAGTCCTGGACAAATCAAGATGGTAAGTCACCCTAGGTATGACCCTTCAGACCCTACCCTGGCCAAGCCTGGACCAAGAGAAGCCAGCTGTGTCAGAAGACTGGGCTGGCAGTGGCTGGATAAGGTCACAGGCAAGTGCAGGCCATCCAGCCAGGTTCCAAATCCATCTCTAATTCTCATCTTGGGATCCCCTGCCTTTATCTGACTGCTCCCTCAAGTAGGGTCACACCCCAGTCAGGGGCCGTTCCTGCTCTGGGAAGGGGGTGGTCCATTATTCCCTCATGGGTCTGGTTGGTCTGGCTGGCAGAGCTGTGTGCCTGGGGTGAGGAGAGGGCAGGACCAGTGCTGAGGCCAAGCTATAAGTGCTGTGCAACTTGGGAAAGTCCTTTTCCTTCTCTGGGCCTCAGTTTCATAAGCGGTTGCGCTGAGAAATTGCTGTTTTTTTTTTTTTTTTTGGGAGGGGGAAGATTTATGTTTAAATTATGCAAGTAATACAATTGTTAAAAAAATTTAACAGTACATAATGTAAGATGAGAGGTTAAAGTCCCTTTCTGCTTCTCCTTATCCTGTGGGACAACCATTGCTAACAGTCTCTTTTTATCTTTCCAGACATTTTCTATGCATATGCAAGCATGTGAGTATATATAGCCTTTATTTAAAATGTAACACAAATGAGACTATACTTTACATGCTATTCTGCAACTTGCCTTTTCTGTTTAACAATATATCCTGGACATCTTTCCATGTCCCCATACACATAAATCTCCCTCGTTCTTGCTGCAGAATGTTCTGCGGGAAGGATGCACTCTGGTTTGTTTAACTAGAACTGCTGGTTTCCAAGGTCCCTACTAGCTCAGAGCCCACCACCCAGGCAAAAAGAAAAGCTGGAGGGGGCTGTGGAACAGGGCTGGGGAATATCAGCAGATTCTCAGACTAGGAAGGCTGGGTGTCTGCCCCAGCTCTTCAATGAGAGACGTAAAATGATTTAGAGATGGGTGAGGAGGAACCAGTAACTCCTGGGTCCGGGAAATTAGGCATGGGGTGGGGGCAGGGGCTTCTAAAGATACACGGAACACCCTGCCTGGCACCGAGGTAGGGCCGCAGACGCAAGGCTCTCTGCTAATGCAATGTGACGGGCCTGCAGCCCCTAGTAAGTTTTTCCATTTCTTTGTCTTTCCTGAGAGAGGCTCATGATTATCGCCTTCTAGGTCACCAGGAGCAGAGCACAGAGGGACAACACAGCTTTTGCGCTTCCAGCTGGCTCCCATCAAGAAGTTAGAAGGGAGCCTGCAAACACATTTCCTGCTATCATCTCTCCACCCCAGAATGACTTTCCCTGGTAGAGCTGGGGGAGGGGAGGCGGGCAGCAGGCCCCCCAGGAGGCCCTGGGCAGGAATATTAATACTCCAACTTCCCAGCACAAGAGGAGGGAGGAGGAGCGGCCACGGCGCAGTCCGGTCCTGGGGGCCCTGGAAGGTGGTTGCTGAGCAGCCCGTGGGAGGCACGGATCCGCCAGCTCACGGCGGCAGGGGCCGCCCAAGTCCTAATGAAAACACCTAGCTCCTGGCAGGGCGCAGCCGACACATCGCCCTGCCTTCTCGGCCACCTGGGAGAGGATGGGCGCCGCACGCGGATACCCAACCTGCCGGGTTGTGCTCGCAGTGACATCGCTTTTCTCCCGGCAAGTGCATCCATCTCGCTGGGTCTGGATAGATAACACAATCTCTCTGCCCACACCCCATTTGCTGGGAGACAGCCTGGGCTTCTCCATTTTTTATGGGCTCACTTAGCTTGGAGGAAATCCAGAGGTCAAAGCCGGCGCAGACGCTCCAGTCACCTTGCCCGTCCGGGCGCGCAGCCATTCCGAAACGGGCTCACCCACGGGGCCCTAAATTACGGCGATTACACTGCAATTCGCAGCGCGATATTACTTTGATACACTACCTGCTGCAGCTTGGCCCGGGAGGCGTGCATTATTTACCAGGGAGGCTGTCCGTACTGCGCACCAGAGCTGACAGCGCTCCGCGGGGTCCCTCCTGTCCCTACAGCCCCGCCTTCGCCCGCGGTGCGGGGTCTGGAGGCAGTGGGGCGGGGGCAGGGGGTCACTGGAGCAGCCCCGCTCTCTCGGAGTGACCGTTTCCTGAACGCAATATAGCCCGGAGAGGACCCAGTGGCGGAAGCGGCAGCTGGCGATGAGGTTGGGGGTTAGTAGGTGGGAACAAGTGCTGAGCCCGCAGCTCCTCCTGGCTCTTAAGGACACCCAGACCCTCCTTAGCCGGCCTATAAGGGCCCTTGTTGCGCGCGCGCAGGGACCCACACAGGGCCTGCCCAGGGGTGCAAGGCTGGTCCCTGGCCCCTGGCCAACTGTTAAAACGGCTAGCAGCCGGCTAACCCCACCGGCAGGCTCCAGGATTTAGCCTGTGGCGGCTGGTGGCGGAGATGGAGGGAACTCAGGCTACCCTCTTCCTCGGGCCCTGGAAGCTGCGTGCGCCTCAGCTGAGGCCTGATTTCGCCGTGGCTGGGGGCTGGGGCCGGAGTTGGGCCCGGCTTCTCTCCGGCTCCCCCATTACGGTTTGGCATCAGCATCTAGATTGCAGGTTACTTCTGCTTTTATCCAAAGCGGTCCTTAAGGGAGATGGAGTTCTGATTGAAATCCAGTCAATTGGCGCCGTGGCTCAGAGGGCCCAGCGTGAGCACACTTGTAGGGAAATTGCCCTGGGTCTGAGAGGAGGGGCAGGGGTGGGGGAGGGAACAGGACCCGCAGGCCTGCTCTGGAGCCTGTGAACGCGCTGCTGCGAGGACTTTAGCGGATGCGCTCAGGTCGGTATCCGCGGGAGTCCTGGAGGGAAATCCGCTCTCCTTCTCCAGCTCCCTGGGATTGATGGAACCAGAAACCTCAAGCAAGGGATCCCCAGAGGTCACTGCGTCCAGTCTCCAGCCTCAGACAGTGTCTGGGTAGTGGAGGAGGGGCCGAGTCTGTGGGACCGAGCTGTCTGCTTTGGTGGGTGAAGGAGGGTGGACTTCTGGGGTCTGGGTTGAGATGTGGATTAGTTCCAGGACTAGTTCCTGTTACTCGTAGGCGGGGAGAGGTCATGGTCCCTGCTGAACACATCTGGCTGTGTTCAGTCCTGAACTGCCCTGGGCTCCTCAGCAGTGTGCACAGGGGTCTGGCCTCCAAATTTCTTGTTAACAGCCCATCAGGAGCTGGAGGAGCTGGCCTGGCCTTCAAGGTGTGGAGGGGTTCCTGGAAGGAAGCAGATGGGCACACGGAGGAGAAGAATGACAAATCCATGCTTCCCCAATGCTGGGGAGAGAATATGGTGGTGGGGAGGAAGCATGGAGACCAGAAGCATTCCCGGGAATGCTTCTGGAAGTATCCCAGAAATGTCAAGAGCTCATTCTGCCAGCTCTTCCGGGGCCAGCAAAGAACATACATATCATTTCTCCATCCACTTTGGGACCTGCCTGAGATGAACATATGTTTTAAAAGGAATCCCAATTGCTGCAGGAGCAGATGGTGCTACAGGGGCAGGCAAGGGCAGGAGAAAGGATACTGGCTGGCAGTAGGGTAGGAGTCCTGGGCTCTGCCTCGCCCCTTCCTCTTACCAGCCGTGTGAGCTGTGTGGCTGCGGGCAAGTCACTCCCCGGCTCTGTGCTGCCCCATTTTCCTTGTGAAGAATGAGTGGGTCCCCTGTAGCATGCAGGATGAGCTGAGGCCTCACTCCCCTGCGGTGGAGAGGACAGAACACTCTCTCCATCAGCAGGGAAGACAGATTTTCCTATTTATTAGCCTGTTCAGCTGGCAGACACAGGGACTGTCCTCTAGGCCATGGGGTGGGGAAGAGGGGGACAGAGCCCCACACCAGCCCCCGCTGTGTCCATCCTCTGCCTGTGGCTGTTTGCCTGATTGATTTGTTTGGTGGCCTCCCTGGCTGGGATTGGGTCCCTGTGTCCTCCTGCACATTTGCCTCTGGTCCCTCTCTGTGTGGTCAGGAGGGGGAGCTCTAGGTGTAGGGGCGGAAGAGACTGGAACATCTATCCATCACGGACTGACTCTTGGGCTTGGTAAGGATCCTAACAACCACCGGGTCCACCTGCCACCTTGTGCTCCGGGCCCCTCCCCAGAAGCTCCCCCTGCAGTGGGAGGCTCACTGCCTCTCGCTGAGCCACTCCCAGAAAGTTCACCCTTTTCTGGATCCCAAGTCGAGTCCCTTGTGTCATCTCTCATTCATCCTAGCTCTTCTTGTTGGCCTAGGTGTGAACTCCATGCCTACAGGACCACCCTTCAGATATTTCAGGGCAGCGATCTTGTTCATCCCCTACTCCACCTTCTTGGGGCAAAACCTGCCTAGTATCCTCCCTGCTGCTTCCCAGTCCCCTCACACTCTAGCTCTGACAAGAAGTGATTGAGCTTCCAGTCAGATGTCAGAGGCCCTGGTCTCCAGGGAGCTTCTAGTCTGGGAGATAGTCTTCCTAGGACCTAAAGAATGAATAACAAAATCACACAGGCATTTGGGACTGTTGGATTTCCAACTGGTATGGCTGCTGGTCTGGAAACCTCCTCAGAGGTGAGTGGGTTTAGTCGTCTTCCATGTAGAGAAGTCTTCCTGTTCTCTCTGAAACAGCTATGCTCCCCCTCCTCAGAGACTGTGGGACTACTGGGTGCTCCGATGGCGCTGGTGCCTGCTCCGGAGAGAAGTGGGAGAGAATACTTTCCAGTTCTTCCCACCTCCATCCCCATCCATCCTGGTGTGGGTACCACAGAAACCTGAGGTCCAGGGGGAAGCTTTCCACAGTGGGACCACCTCAGTGTCTTCGGTCCCCAGGGCACCTACTTTTTCTCCTGACTTCCAGAAGATGTTCCCAGAGGGGCTGGTCTACGCTGCAAGAGTGGGCCCGCCACATCTAGGCCTCCACCCCGCCCCCAGCTCTTAATTTATTATTAACTCTGGAACTGACTTTGAAATTATGGAAGGCCATGTTGTTTCTTTCCTCTGCATCTCTTATGGTCCCCAAGGGGAGGCGAGCTGAGAGTGCCAGATACACAAATATGCAGCGAAAACCCTGTGGATTTTTGGTTCTAGCAAGGGGAAGGAAATTAGCTGTAATAAGCTGCTGTCGCCTCACTGGAAAGCCTCCAGCACAGACCCTCGGAGGGGCTCCTGGGCCCCCTTCCTCTGCTCTCCCCACTTCCCGGCTGCATGGCTGAAGATCTCTGTCTTCAGCTTCCCCTGCAGGGGAGTGGCCTCCTCCCCACCCAGTCCTGTGACATCACTGATGGAGATGATCAATATCCCGGGCCTGTGAGGAGGAGGAGGAGGAGGAGACTGCAGGCACACAGAGAAGTGGTCTCTGGCCTCTTCCCAAGCCATTAGCTTGAATGGTGGTAGGAGAGGCAGGTGGGAGTCAATTTCCATTCTCCTAGAATTACTGGAAGGCAGAGGGTTATTTGGAAGTTTCTGAAAGGTGTGAGGTATTCATTGGCCCTCACACAAAAGGATCAGTAGGCTCTGGTCTTTCCTTTTTCCTCTCCTGAGGAGAGCCAAGGGCTAAAACCCTTAAGTGACTACCCCACAGCAACAGCTGCACTTAGGCAGAAAATAGCCTGGGCTGTGACTGGAGCCCTGGAAGGAACTAGTTCTAGCCCTTTGCTGGCTAACTTGGCCCATCCTGATCTGGCATTGGGCTTCTCTCTGGCTTCTAATGCAAAGAACATAACTCAATCAAATGGCAGATATGATGTTAAGCATTCATTGAATTGAGTGGTTAAGTTCCCCCATAACTTGCTGTGTGACCTCTGGTGAGTCACCTAACCTCTCTGGGCTTCACATACTTTATATGTAAAAGGAGAGCAGGAGTGAGATGAGTGCACCATTTCTAAGACCCAGGAGTAATCATGCTGGGACACATGTTTTATAACCGTGGCCCAAACGCTCTTTCCTTCATGTCCACCAGCCAAAATGTTGGGCCTCACTTGCCGGTAATGCTATTACATGGAAGGTTTTACGGCCAACAGGACAGTCATGAGCTTTCACTACTAATAATTATCTTTGTGATTTAAAATTTTAGCAATAAGATGGATTCTTACCAATATTACTATGTATTAGTCTGTTTTCACATTGCTGTAAAGAACTACCTGACACTAGGCAGTTAATAAAGAGAAGAGGTTTCATTGACTCACAGTTCAGCGGGCTGTATAGGAAACATGGCTGGGAGGCCTCAGGAAGGTGCATGGGAAGCAAGCACCTCTTTACATGGTGGCAGGAGAGAAAGGGCAAAGGGGAAGTGCCACACACTTTTAACCAACCAGATCTCATGAGCCAGCACTAGGGGGATGGTACTAAACCACTAGAAACCACCCTCATGATCCAATCACCTCCCACCAGGCCCCACCTCCAACACTCGGGATCACGTTTCAACATGAGATTTGGGTGGGGACACAGAGCCAAACCATACCATACCGTATATTTTTACTTTTTAAAAAACTTCCTAAGATTTTTCCCTTGGAGAGACAACAGGCTGTAAGAGTGAAGAGTGTGAGCCCAGGAGTCTGTCTGCCTGGATTTGAATCCTGGCTCTGCCACCTACCAGCTTTGTTATCTTGAGGGTGTCCCTTCACTTCTCTGTGCCTCCGTGTCCTCATCTATAAAGTGAGAAAAATGGCTGGGCGTGGCGGTTCAGGCCTGTAATCCCAGCGCTTTGAGAGGCTGAGACGGGTGGATCACCTGAAGTCAGTTCGAGACCAGCTTGGCCAACATAGTGAAACCCCGTCTCTCCTAAAAATACTGTAGTCCCAGCTACGGGAAGCTGAGGCAGGAGAATTGCTTAAGCCCAGGAGGTGGAGGTTGCAAGGAGCCGAGATTGCGCCACTGCACACCAGCCTGGCTGACAGAGATTCCATCTCAACAACAACAACGACAACAAAAAGCAGCGGGGAAAATAATACAACACAAAGCTGCTGTGGTCTGAAGGGCTTAAAACAGTACCTGGTGCATAGTTAGTGCAAGCTTACTGAGTGTTGAGTGTTATTACTGTCAATGATAATAATAGAATGCCTTTGAACCCTTCTCAGGAGAAGCAGCCTTTTTATTTCCTCATGTTGGCCCCTGCATCTTTGCTAGAGTGATCAATTAGACACATATACTTTCTGAAATTCTGAGGGCACCCAGTGGGATGATCTTTAAGGTATACTTCCAGCCAGAATGTTGGGGGCGGTGTGTGTGTGTGTGTGTGTGTGTGTGTGTGTTTCTGGCTAATAGTATACACTGGTTAACTGAGAATAGCCCATTCCTTTTAGTTTCGTTCTCCTACAGTTGAACATTGATTAGAAATGCACAAATCCTGTCCCTTGCCTTAGCGGAGTTATTAGTATTCCTTTCTGAGGAGGCCATAAGGTATTATCGGCAGGCACCATAGGTAGGCTGTGAGAAGGGCGAGTCAGTTCTGCCTCTTCCCCTGGCTTCCACATCTGTAAAATGGGGGCAATAACACTTAGAGGGCGTGGGGGCTTTCCATCCTCACAAGGAGATCTCAGGTGAGATGATGGCTCCAAGATAACTTTTTAAACTGTAACATGCCGGTCACCCAAAATGGCATATCCTCCTTACCACAGAGCCTCTGCACCCTGGGAACCCTTTTTCAGGACAAGGTGTCACCTTATCCCAGGTCCCTGGGGGGGAGGCCCAGGAGGTAAAGGATTAGGATATTGTTTTGTTCCTTGCATTCTTTTCTGATCTTGTTTTATCTTAAAAGTTAAAACAAAGATCCAGTTAATGGATAGTCCCATGAATTCAGACTTCAGAGGTCGGGTGTGCCTGTGTGTATTGTGGCTTCCCCATGGGCCCGGCTTTGACCAATGCCTTTGTAACAAGCATCTTAGTTCCCAGAGCTCATGTCTGCACAACACTGCACACTTTGTGGATGTAGACATTCATTCGTTTGACAAATATTTATGGAGAAACTGCCAAATGCTGTTCTAGGCACTGGGGAGATAGCCATGAGTGACACAAGGTCCCTGCCCTCGTGGAGCCCATGCCGAGAGGGAGAGAGACTGACAACAAATAGGAAGATACATAAAAAGGATTTTTTTTTTCATGATGATGAGTGCCTTGAAAAAAAGAAACCGGGGGAGTGTGATAGAAAGTGACTTGAAGGGCAAGTGTCCTTCCTTAGGTGTGGTCGGGACAGGACAGATTCTGCTGAATGGGCCACTTTATGTAACAGAGATAGTCCCAAGTCCTTTCTCTTTAATAGAAGTACTACTGCTACCATGCATAAGGACAATGACAGTAATTAACAGTTACTACTTGCTGATGCCACACCCTGTTCTGAATGGTTAGAAGAATCGAATCCTGGCCAGGTGCAGTGCCTCATGCCTGTAATCCCAGCACTTTGGGAGATGGAGGCAGGAAGATCTCCTGAGGCCAGGAATTTGAGACCAGCTTGGGCAACTTAGTGAGACCCAATCTCTAAAAAAAAACTTTAAAAAATTTAGTCAGAAGTGGTGGTGCACACCTGTAGTCCCAGCTACTTGGGAAGCTGAGGTGGGAGGATCCCTTGAGCCCAAGAGTTCGAGGCTGCCGTGAGCCGTGAACGCACCACTGCACTCCAGCCTGGGTGATGGGGAAAGACTCTGCCTCAAAATAAACCACAAAAAGGAATCAAATCCCCCCAACAACCCAGGTGGAGGGTATCATTATTATCCCCACTGTACCAGTGAGGAAACTGAGGCACAGAGAGGTTAAGCAACAATGCACAGCTAACAATGAATGAAACTGGAATTGGAGTGTCCTGATCAGTTTGAGAATATTGGTGCTTTGGGGGTCTATTGTAGGAGTGTTTAACTGCCATTTGAATAGTTGTGCTCCATTAAGTATTCTTCATTCAATTTGACCCATTTTTTAAATGAATTTGGTAATTTGTAAGTTTTATCTCATTTGAGTGAAGAGGGCTTCCTTTGGGAGTTGGGAGGCGGGTGGTTCAGGAAGGTTTGTAGCTTCCAGGATGGTAAAGGTAGAGAAATCTTGAAGTTGTGGAATAGGAGAGCTGCAAAGGCTCCATTTGGGCCTGGTCACTTACTGTGTAGATTGAAACAGAGGGCCCAGAGAGGGACTAGAGTCACCCAAAGCCACATGCCACACGCACTGTGGCCCCCTTCCCTCCAGCCTTCTGCACATTTTGAAGAGCATGTCAGATTCTATTAAGAGTAACCAAGCGCAGTGCTCCAACATGGTTTCGGTCTATTTATCCAGGGACACCACAGCTTTGGAGGCAGCAAACATGCCCATTTGTTACTATTTGCAAAGATGGTGTACACCAAACATGGGCTTTCCGTAAACAAATTAAAAAGTAATAAAGTGGCCCCATCTGCATACTAGAGCAATGTGCTTCCATTTTAATGAAGCTTGCTATAGAAAAGCCATTTGATGGCTTGTCAAAAGCGTGAATGCCTGTGGCTGAACGTGGAAGTATGCTGTGGTGCAAAGACGTAGTCCTTTCTTCCTCCAGTATGCACGGGGCACCTGCCACACCTGCTGCAAGGACCTGGTCCTGCCCCTAGGCCATCTGCTACGCCAAGGAGACCCTGTGTGTGCATACAATACAGTTAAATATCAAGGTCAGTCATCACAAGAGGGTTCACGGGCCAAATGAACAGTAATAATAGCAATACTATTTAATCAGCGCTGGCTGATATCAGTGCTGGAGATCTTCTGTTTGCTCCTCGAAATCCACTCTCCCCCCTCTTCTGCCCTGCACTGTGCCCCGGGAGGCTGACTCAGGATTGCATCCTGGGACCTTCTCTGGGTGGTGTTACCCAATGATGGGAGACTGGAGGGAGGAAGGTGAGTGAGGTTGGGGTAGATATTTTGGGATGGCACTGGCTGCCTCCTCAATGTCCATGGTACCTGTCATGGCCCCTTGCCTATAGCATAGTTTTGTTTTTTTTTTGAGACAGAGTCTCACTGTGTCGCCCAGGCTAAAGTGCAGTGGCACAATCTCGACTCACTGCAACCTCCAGCTCCCAGGTTCAAGTGATTCTCCCACCTCAGCCTCCCGAGTTACAGGTGCCTGCCACCATGCTCAGCTGATTTTTGTATTTTCAGTATCGACAGGGCTTCACCAGCTTGGCCAGGCTGGTCTTGAACTCCTGAACTCAAGTGATCCACCCACCTCAGCCTCCCAAAGTGCTGGGATTACAGGCGTGAGCCACCGCGCCTGGTCTACAGCATAATTTTGTCTCTGGGTTCCTTTGACCACTCCCTCCCCTTTCCTCTCTATCCTTCCTATGGATGGCTAGCTCCCCATCCTGGTTGGCCCAGGTGTTCTGCACTGTTCCTTGTTGCTTTCCTCAACCCAGCCCACACCTATGCAAACGACCCCTTTGGTAAATGCCTGAACAGTTCGAATGACCCATCTGTTTCCTGCCAGGACCCAGGTTAACACAGACTGCCTGAGCCAAGCCTTCACAGAAGTGTTCTCCATCCTCAAAACAACTCTCTGAGGGAGGGGATATTATCAGCCCCATTGGTGGATGAGGAAACTGAGGTTTAACTTGCCCAAGGTCGAGGAAGTGGCAGAATTTGAACCCAGTTCTGTCTGGCAACAGAGAGAAGCTCTTAATCACTGCCTTGCCTGCTGGAGAGGAAGAGTGACTCCAGTCCTGGGTACCTTCAGGCACCTCCAGGAAGGGGATGGCCCATCTGTTTGGCAGTCATTGATTAACAAACATTTATTGAGCACCTATTATGAGCCAGGCACGTGCTAGATGCTAGGATTTAGAGATAAAAGGTAGCTCCCCTTCCTCTGGAGGAGCCTACAGCTTAGACTCCCAGCTTTGCTAGCATGCATGTTAGCATGACCTGGGGAATGAAAAGGAATCAATGCCCTGCTGCCCCACCACCAGCCAATTGAACCAGGGTCTCTGGTGGTGGAGCCTGGGCATTCCTGAATGAGTGACAAGGTTGAGGGCTTGAGTGGAGGCCGGGCTTGAATGCAATGAGGGGACAGAGAGGTTGACACAATGTGCGGCTGGGCTGACTGGGGAACACGGGCTGGCCCTGCGGGGTTTGGGAAGATAGAGGCTGGCAGAGGTGAGTGGTCTAGGCTAGGGGAGGAACTGGCCTGCGAGTTTGCAATTATTTATGCAACAGACACGAAGTGGGCAGCCCCTGAAGCTCAATAAACCCCTGTGTTTTCTGCGTGGAGATGGTCTTTCAGACCCCTACACCACGGGGGCTTCCCTCTGGGGCTCCTAAGAAGGCTGGGCATTGGGGAGCCATCCACACTCCTTCCTGCCCCCTGAAACTGGCGCAAGCTTAAGAAAGCTTCTGGCTGGGGCCAGGGGCAGGACCAGGGAAGAGAGTATGTCCGCAACATAACCTCCATCAGCCCCCACCACCAAGCATGGACTCCATGGCCCTTACCAGGTCTTTCCAGTTTCTACCAGGCCCTTTAATGCTCTATCCTGTGGCCCACCTATTGGCAAGAAGAAAGGAATTTTTGAGTAAATGGAACATCCTTTCCCTCCCTAGAACACCCATGAGGTCAGTCTTGTTCCAGGAGATAAATGAGGTGACTCCCAGGGAGGAGACTCAGCCCCGTCCTCAGGGAGCCGCAGTCTGAGGGGAGCCACAGCCCTGACTCAGGGAGCCCCAGTCTGAGGGGGACACAGCCCTGCCTTCTACAGCAGTGACCACCCTGTCCCAGTGGAGTCCTACGCCAGCCTATCTAGAGGGCTGGAGGCCCTAAAAGAATGGTTGGTGGCCTGAGGCCTGCCCAGGGAGCAGGGTGAAGCCTGACAACGGATCTCTCCATGTCTGTCTCTCCCTCAGGACTGGGGTAGAAAAGGAAGGAAGAATGGAAGGAGGAATAGCGGGAGACAGGACAGCCTCAGCGCAAACTTTCATTTCCTTCCCACCAGAGGTCAGTCCTGACTTTGGCTGTTCTTCTGGGTACCCTCTTCCCTTCCCCCTCACCACCCATGGCCCTTCTCCCCTCATGACAGGTTAGTTACACACCAGGTCCCTCCTCCTCCCCGGGGTGAGGCCTGGAGGCCTTGAGTCAATCCCTTTCCCTGACACCCTGACCCCTCCCCCGCACCCACCGTGTTGCAGGGACTCCAGCAGCTGATGATCATTGAGCCCATAGCCTGTGCCTGGGGCTGTTTGAAACCTTGTCCATGGGATTGTTTAATCCTAACAACAGCACTAGGAGGTGGCTGCTATGATTTTTTTAACAACTAGTAATCAATGAATTAAAATAGTTGACCTAAGCATCTGCAATGGTGACTTCAGCCTTCACTCCTGGGCACATTACTAATGGAAGTAATGAGCTGATAACCTCAGAGGACGGTGCAAGTCAATGAGTCACTTGTGGATTCTTATCTGGAAGACACCCTGCGTCTTAGAACCTGCACCACAAGTTTTTGTTGTTGTTGTTGTTGTTTTTGTTTTGTCTTTTTGTTTTGAGACAAGGTCTTGCTCTGTTGCCCAGGCCGGAGTGCAGTGGCACAATCTCGGCTCACTGCAACCTCCACCTCCTGGGTTCAAGCGATTCTCCCACCTCAGCCTCCTGAGTAGCTGGGACTACAGGTGCGCGCCACCACGCCTGGTTAATTTTTGTATTTTTTTTGTAGAGACGGGGTTTCACCATGTTGGCCAGGCTGGTCTTGAGCTCCTGGGCTCAAGTGGTCCACCCGCCTCGGCCTCCAAAGTGCTAGGATTACAGGCGTGAGTCACAGCGCCCAGCCCACCACAAGTTTTTCTCAGGGTGATTCTCAAAGTCCTGGGAGGCATCAGAATTGGTCCTGTCACTTTTGAGAGTTCTTTCCTTGGGGCCTCTGATCAAGTCAGCACACACCTCCAGGGATTTTTCTTTGCAGCTGGTTAGGGTAATTCTAATTCGGTGATTTGCCACCTCTGGCTCCATGAGTGTTTCTCTGGTGTCCTTAAAAGCCACAGCTGGGCCGGGCGCGGGGGCTCGTGGCTGTAATCCCAGCACTTTGGGAGGCCAAGGTGGGTGGATCACTTGAGGTCAGGGATTCAGGACCAGCCTGGCCAACATGGTGAAACCCTATCTCTACTAAAAATACAAAAATTAGCTGGGCATGTTGGCAGGTGCCTGTAATTCCAGCTACTCAGGAGGCTGAGGCAGGTGAATGGCTTGAAACTGGGAGGTGGAGGTTGCAGTGGGCTGAGATTGTGCCACTGCACTCTGGCCTGGGCAACAGAGCAAGGCTGCGTCTCAAAAAAACAAAACAAAACAAAAAAACACCACAGCTGCAGTGCAGCTTCCTGACCAACTTGTTTCTTGGTGAGTGAACAGCGGTGACTTGCAGCAGGAACTGGCGGACCAGAGCTCCGTAGCACCCATAACCTCATCTTCCTGAAAAAGAGGCTTCTATTATTATCTTCATCGTATAGATGAGGAAACAGAGGCACAGAGAGGCTAAGCGACTTACCCAAGGTTGCAGAGCTGGTAAGCTCTGGAGGTTGAACACAGGCAGTCTGGGCAGAGTGCCTGCTCACTGTCCTGCCTCTCCTTGGAAGTTTGCCAGTTGGATGAGGTGCTGAGGGGAGGCCAAGGCTTGGAGGGATGGAGTTGACGGAAGCAGGAAGGAAGGAACTCGAGCTGGAACTTGTTCTGAGGAGTGTTCGCATATTCTTCTGCTGGAGACTGAGGGGTTGGGGGTTGAGGCTGCTCTGGCCTGGTGTGGACAAGCAGCAGCACAGGTTGTAAATTAACCACCCTCTGAGGCTGGTGGGTCCAACCAGCCTTGCACAGATGGCAGCCCACGATCAGGGCAGAAAAATCTAGCTCAGCTGCATCTGGAGCCAGGGTTAGCCTCCCTTCTGCCCCTCTCCTGGAGGGGAAGACGAGTCATACTGGCTTCAAGTTGCCCTGGGATGGGCCAAGAGGAGTGGACTAATCCTCCTCAGACAGCTCTCTGGCCATTCACCTAGCCCCTACCCCACAGCTGAGTCTGTAGGAGACTAAACCGCCACCCACCCAGATGCCACCATTAGCATCTAGCTAATTTTCATGTACTAGTTTATTTAATCCTCACAACAGCCCTCTGTGGTGGGGACTGTTTTTATCCTTGTTCTACTATAGGTTCAGAGAGGTTGAGTCACTTGTCCAAGGTCACACAGCTCCAGCTAACTCTGGAACCAGTGTTCCTGACCACTAGGCACTTACCTCTGCATCCCGCAGCCTTGTCGAGCCAGTTCACGCAGCTGGGATTGGGCCTCAGGTTTTTCTCTTGAGTCTCCTGGCCCACGTGGGAACAGAGCGCTGAGTTTGGGGTCCTGGCTTTGTGTCCAGCTCTGCACCCTGCTCCCCATCTTGCTCCCCTCAGGGACTGGTTGTGGTGTGTCCTCAGATGTCTGCATCTGGGTCTGCAGGTGCCTGAAACAGCCTGGCATGGTGGTTCAGAGCTTGGGCACTGGACTGCCCATATACCAGCCCTGCTATGTGGTCCTGGGCAAGTTACCTAGCCTCTCTGGGCTTCAGTTTCCATTCCTGCCAGGTGGGGATAATAATCTCTGATGGGGCGGCCCAGGTGTCTGAATTTTTTAATCAGCACCCTAGGTGGATCTGATATCCATGAAAGTCTGAAACCTCTACGGAGGGGAGGGTCATAGAATTTTCTGGATGCTGGTCAGGGGGGAGCAGATCTACTAACCCTAAGATTCTCTGACCTCTCACCCTCTATCCTCAACAGGGCACTAGGATCCCCCTCTCCCCACTGCAGTGCTGGCCTGTGAGTTGAACTTTCCACAATTGCCCAAACCTCTCCTATATGACAAGGAGCCCTCAGCCATTCTGGCCACAGCACCCAGTCCCTCTCCTTAGGAAGCAGGTACAATCCGTCTAACACAGCCTTGCAGGAGGGTGAGTGGGCGTGGGTGTGCGTGTGCATCTCTGTATGTGGGGGTCTGTTTCTGCGTGTGTATCTCTGTGTCTCTGCACCTGTGTGTGTCCCTGTATCTGTGCACACGCCCTCTCAGCAGCAGCGTCTGGTGATGAAGCAGTTGGGGCTGGTGCTTCTGCTGGGAGTGGCGGCAGCTCCCTTCCACAGCTCAGAGCCCTCTTGGCCCCCTGGCTCCCCACATCCCAGGGGCCTGCACACCTGGTTTCTGGCTTCTGAGCCCTCCTAAGCTGAGGCTGCTTTCCCTTAATTATTTCCTGCCTGAGTCCTGGAGCAGCATCTTTAACTATTTACTGCACAGAGTGCAGGCTGAGGCGGCAGAGCTGGGAGCCGCAGAGGCCACTCGAGCGGGCTGAGGTCCTGGAGCAGAGTGGAAGGACCACAGAGTCCACATTTGGGACCTGCCTCCTGTCTGGTATGAGCTGTGTGACTTTGGGGCCCTCCTTGAGCTTCAGTATCATCGTCTTTAAAATGGGGACATTAATAACTATGTCATGGGTTGTTATGAGGAAATGAGAGTTCAGAGCCCATGGTCTCATCGGGGAGATCAAATCATCAAATTATAACACAACGTGCAGTGAGGGCCAAACTGTTAATAATAATCATAAGCGACTTTTACTGAGGGTTTCCTCAGCGTCACACACTGGGCTAAGCACATTACAAGCCCTCACTTGATCCCCGCATCGACCCCATGAGTTGGCCTCTATTATTTCTCTGTTTTACAGATGATGCCACCAAGACCCTGATATGTGAGATGACTTGCCCAAGGTCCCACAGCCAGTAATTTGAATGCAGGCAGTCAAACCAAGGAGGAAGCAGGGAGCAGCTGTGCCTGGATGGGCGAGGGTGGAGGACTGCACAGGTCAGGGAGCTCGTTCTGGCTCCTGCCAGGGGAGTCGGGTGAGAGCAAAGGTCCAGAGACTGTGGGGTAGGGGTGGCCCCGCGTCCCAGTGGGGTGGGCTGTGGCTCCTCATCAGGAGAGACTGGTTGTGGTCCTGAGCATCCCTCGTTGCTGAGGGTAATAAACCTGCCTCTTTACCCCCTCCAAAGAGGCTGTTTTGTTACTCCTCGGTTCTCCCAGCACCATAGCGCTAATAAGCCCCATCTTTATGGCCAACAGCAGACACATTGAGCTGGTTAGGGATGCTCCCTCGCCTGGTGTTTGCCCAGCATCTAAGAGGAGGCCTGGGCCCTATTCTTACTCCTCTGTAGCGGAGCTGAGCGCCTTCTTTCTTTTTTAATAGTTCCACTCCAGGAGCCGAGTCCCCTAGTCTCTTTTCCAATCTTTGGTTACAACACTTTATTAATTCTACAGCCATGCAGTGTGTGAAAGGTCTCCTGGTTCCTGGGAGTGTTGGCTGTGATGACATCATCCTAGAAGTCACTGACTGGATTGGCAATGGGGCTGATGCTGAGTGCCTGGCACGCTATGTGCTGGGCACTGGGCTACACAACGGACACTGAATACTTTCCATAGACAACCCTGCACGATGCATGACCTTGGGCAAGTTACTTGACCTTTGTGGGCCTCAGTTGCCTTGTCAGTAAATTGGGGATAATAATAGGACTCACTTCCCAGGAATAAATGACTTTCTCCAAGTAAAGCAACTTAAAGTATTGATATCTCCACAGACCAAGCCCTATAGAGGCGATGGGGATAAGGCTTGGGGGCTAGAGATCCTGCCCAGGTTTTAGCCACGATTTAAATCCAGGCCTCTCTGGCTCCTAAACTCATCCTTATTTCACCACATTTTGTTGGCATCCAATCCAAGGTCTTCCTTCTCTGGGAAAGGCAAAACCCAGCCCGGAGGGGTGCAAAGCAAAGGCAAAACTCAGCCCGGAGCCACTTCCCCAAGAGCACACAGCAGCAAGCTAGGAGGCCGTGTGGGACAGTGCCCTGCATGGGGAACAGCCACTTCCCCTCTATGGGTCTCAGTTTCCTCACCTGTAGAATGGGTGAAGGGGTTGGTTGGACTTGAAGGGCTCTAAGGCACTGCTGGTTCCATATTTGAGTGGTAGAGCCTGAACTTAAATAACAGAGATTTGTCATGGTAGAAGGAGCCATAAAGCTCAGCCCATTGAAACTGCTGGTCCCAGAGCTCTGCACACTCCACAGACCCACTGTGTTTGGCTTGCAGAGCATTTTTAGAATTTACATTTGAATTTGTTTACACAGGCTGCTGTCTCCGGGTTCCACAGCTGGCTCTGCTCCCTAAAGCCTCACACCAGGTCTCCTTACACCCTTCGCACCCTTATCTCCTTGGTCCCTGATCTGGTTCAAAACTCCTCATTGCTCAGAAACTAATAATTGTTATTGTTATGGAGCTCTTCCTGTGGGTCAGACGCTGTTCTAAGCCCATTCATATGATCTGACTCATCTAACCCTCATAGCATGCCTCTATGCAGGTATCATTATGAGCCCATTTTACAGATGAGGAACACAAGGCTCGGGGCAGTTAAGCAATTTGCCTAACACCCTAGGGCAGGACCAAGGCCAGAGAAGGAGCATAATTTACCAAATTGGCAAAATAGATTATCCTGATTCACTGTGCAGTGCTCTGTGCATAAAACAGCCTCAGCCAGGGCAGGCATTTTTGGGGGGCTCCCTCTGGCCCTGCCCTTTGGGGTATGGTAGAAGGAAGGAGAAGAAAAGTTGTGTCCCCCAGTTCCACACTCTTTCCACCAGACAATAACCACCCTCTACCCCGCCCAGTCTCTCTGGGAGTCCGATATCCTAGCGGCTGCAGAGGATCAAAACAGCGAGTTAAAAGCGAAAACCCGCAGCATTTTCTTCACATTTCCCTCTGCCTCTTGAGGAAGAAGGCGCAAGTGTTTGCAGGAGCTTTCAAGTTCTCAGGAACAGAAATGAAATGCTCTCATGGCTCTTCCTCTACGTTTGAGGCCCTCGGTGCAAAGTGCTATTATTAGCATTGCCTTCAACTATCTTCCAAACAGGCTTCCCCTGGAAGAAGTAATTAAATGCATTATTCTATGCAAAATAAAAGCACGTATCCACATTTGCAGCCTCTGACACCATCCCAAACATTTTGTGATTTTTACAGTTGGGAGGCTTTTCGGTTGCATCCCATCCAAAGAGGGCAATTCGCCCTGGCACAGGGCCCACGGAGGGTAGAGGGCAGGCCCTGGTGAGAGCCTAGCAGTTGGATGAGGTGGTTTGTTTATGAATTTTGAGGCTGGAGATTGGGGCCATGTGAGAAATGGAAGGATTGAAGTATCTGAGCCAGGCAGGGCTGAGCCAAATCCCTTCAGACCAGATGGAGAATGAGGATTGGAGGGGTTGGCCACCAGCCCCCAGGTGACCCAGCCTTGGGAGATGCCCTGTCTCCTCTGAGCTGGGCGATTCCTAGCAAGAAGCCTCCTGTCTGAATCTTGCCTACTGGAGCCAGAAACTGACCTCTCTTCCCTCCCTCCCTCCATCCCTCCCTCCCTCCCTCCCTCCCTTCCTTCCTTCCTTCCTTTCTGACAGAGTTTCACTCTTGTTGCCCAGGCTGGAGTGCAATGGCACGATCTCGGCTCACGGCAACTTCCACCTCCAAGGTTCAAGTGATTCTCCTGCCTCAGCCTCCCGAGTAGCTGGGATTACAGGCATGCGCCACTATGCCCGGCTAATTTTTGTATTTTTAGTAGAGATGGGGTTTCTCCATGTTGGTCAGGGTGGTCTCAAACTCCCAACTTCGGGTGATCCACCTGCCTCGGCCTCCCAAAGTGCTGGGATTACAGGCGTGAGCCACTGTGCCCGGCCTGAACTCCTTTCTTAATTCCTCCCTCTCCTTTAGCCTCCATAGCAAATCTGTTTCCTAGCCTTGCTTGTTTGATTTACTCAACAGTTTCAAATGCATCTGCTTTTCTCCCTGGACGCCAGGGCCTTAGTGTGGTCCCACTGTAACAGGAGAGCAGTGGCTAAGGGCACAAGGCTGTGGGGTAGGAGCTGGGGTCTGAATCTTGGCTTTACTGTTACTTGCACTGTGACCTTGGACTAGGGTTGCTAGATTCAGGAAGTCAAAAATATAAGATGCCCATTTGAATTTAATATGCAGTGTTTGGGATATATTTATGCTTTAAAAAATTCCTTGCTTATCTGAAATTCAAATGTAACTGCTCATTCTGTATTTTATCTGGCAACCCTACCTTGGACAAATTCTTTAACTTCTCAGTTCCCATGTCTATAAAATAGGGATAATAATAGCACCTACTTCAAAGGTGGTTCTGAGGGTTAAATGAGTTAAAAATATAAAATGCTTAGAACAGGATGATAATGACCATCTCACTTAATTAGTGTATTAAGAAGTGCTTCATACTTGAAAAATGCCTTGCAAATGCTATTGATGTGTTATTTTTGCTGTATCTTTCCTCTCCCCTGACTTCATCAGAGGCAGCAAACCAGCAAAGTGTGGGTGAGGGAGAAAGAGGTTAGACCTAAGGGGAATTTCCTGGCAGGAAGGATCAGTCACATCCCTCCTGCACAGGAGCCCCAAAACTTGAAGATGCTGCAGCTGGTGACATGTGGGCTGGGGAGATGGGTGGCAGGGCTGTAGCATGCAGACAGTGACAAGCTCTCTAGGACAATGAGAATGAATGAACTGTGACTACCCGAGCCACAGAGATGAGTCACACAAACACCTCCAGGCTGGCTGAAAGAAGCCAGATACGAAAGAATGCGTACATGGGACTCTATTTTTTTTTTTTTTTTTCGCTCTGTCTCCCAGGCTGGAGTTCAATGGTGCAATCTCGGCTCACTGCAACCTCCGCCTCCTGGGTTCAAGCGATTCTCCTGCCTCAGCCTCACGAGTAGCTGGGACTACAGGTGCGTGCCACCACACCTGGCTAATTTTTGTATTTTTAGTAGAGACGGGGTTTCACTGTGTTGGTGAGGCTGGTCTCAAACTCCTGACCTCGTGATCCACCCACCTTGGCCCCCTAAAGTGTTGGGATTACAGGCATGAGCCACCGCATCCTGCAGGACTCTATTTATATAAAGTTCAGAAACAGGGAAAACTGAAGCACGTTGTTGAGGGAACACACAGAGAAAGGTAGGAAGCGACTGCCTGGGACCTCTGGGGAAGAGAAGGTCAACGGGAAGGGATCCGCAAGCTGCTGGGTGCTGGTGAGGTTCTGGTCTGTGACTGAGGTGGTGGCTACTCTGCTTTGAAATAATGTGTTAATGAAACATTTGTTTCATGCCCTTTTCTGGACGTGAGATTTATTCCACAATGCTAAAAGGTTACAGGAGAGGGAAGAGGGTCACGCTTGGGAAGCACCTAAAGCTCACTTTCTTCCTGGAAGGCACCTGAAGTTCTACCTTCTTCTAGAGAAGGGCCTCCAGGGAAGAGGTGGAAGCCGACCTTTCCGTGCCCCCAAAGTTAGAAAATGAAGCTAGACAGCGGGGCAGCCTGCGTGATGCCGGCCTGAGTCAGACTCATTAAGATTCCTTCTCAATCTACCCTGGGGTCCACAGGGCAAAGAGAAACCTGTGAACCATGCAGGCAACTGGGTTGAGAGAGAAAGATTGGCAGGGAGGGGGGAGAGAGGTGGAGGTGGGGAGGAAGACAGGTGGGGTGGCGGGGAGATGGAATGGGGAAGAGAGAGGGGGAGAGAGGCTGAGGACCCCAGGCCAGTGCGCCAGGTCTGGATTCTTTAGCCAGTCCATTCTAATGACAGCTCTTCAGTGCGCCCCTCCCTGCTTCCCCCCAGGAGCAAGGATAATTACTGGAGATAATGATCACTTAGGGGGCAGGGGGCACTTTTCATTAACCCCAGACCTGGTATCCAACTGCCCTTCCCGAGGAGTCTGCCCCTCACCCCATCCTGCAGGGCCCACTCCTGCTAGCCCCCACCTTGGGCCGTGCCACTGGCAAGTCCCTGTGCCTGTCTTCACCTTAATTCCTGGGTGAGTGACATTTAAGGGCAAGCTCTTCATTGGGCCATAACAATTTACAAGCCAGGCAGTGGTGGGTTGTTCTGAGGCCCGCGGGGAGCGGTGGCCCTTTATCATCTGCCGGGGCGAGGGGGCCAAGTGATGCATGGCTCCTCATTAAAGCCCCACCAACAACACCGGGGAAGTAAAACATTTTAGCAACCCATTCACTTTTCATTTCCCAAGCCACCCTCCGTGTCAGGAAAGCCACTCCTGACTTAGGGCAGCTGGGAAGCACAGAGGCCTTTACGTGTCTTATTTATATCTTCCCGTCCCTCCCTCGGGGCACTGTCTAGGGCAGGAAGCCAGCAGGGCTTCACGCCGCCATCCCCTTCATGCTCCCTGAGCTGCTCCCCATCTCGCCCCTGAGAACAGGCAACCCAGAACCATCTCTTGCTGGGGTTTACAAAGTGCTTTCATTCACCCACCGCATCTTCACTGAGCTCCTCAATCGCTCAAGGTCTGTCAGTAGTAAGTGCAGAGGCTGGATTTGAACTTGGGTATCTGGGGCACATTTAAAGCCAGACCTTCCCACAAAGAGGTGAGACCAAGCAGGGGGAGCTCAGGGGAGGTGACCTAGGGTTGGCCCTGAAGCCAGCAGGGGTGTGGAACGGGGATGCCCAGTGGCCCTCCCTGGGAGACAAGTCATTTTTGCAGGAGAAGGTGGGGTGGGTGGGGAGACGGAGTCACCGTTCTTTCTCATCTCAAGCTTCACTACTGTGAGGCTCTGAGATTTTCTCTTTCCATTTGTGCCTCTCTCTGGCTTGTCCTCTCTCCCCTGTCTTTTCTTTCTCTCCCTCACCACGCCCCTACTTCCTCCTTTTTGTCTGTCTCCATCTCTCGGGCATTTTCTAGAGAAACAACCCGGTGAGCTGGGAAGAGAAAGTGACGTGGCCTTGGCCTGCGAGCACCCAGCTTCACAGCCAGCTGTGCCACCGCCGGCTGAGTCTGGACATCTCTGAGCTTCTTCCGTTTCTCACGTGTAAAATGGGTCTAGGCCTGGCGTGGTGGCTCACGCCTGTAATCTCAGCACTCTCAAATGAGTATGGGACCCTGGAAAGTCCTGGAAGTCTCCTTCTTCTCGAGAACTTTTAACATCAAGAAAAGCCCTGGCTGGGCGCGGTGGCTCACACCTGTAATCCCAGCACTTAGGGAGGCCGAGGCGGGTGGATCACGTGGTCAAGAGATCGAGACCATCCTGGCTAACATGGTGAAACCCCGTCTCTACTAACAATACAAAAATTAGCTGGGTGTGGTGGCGAGTGCCTGTAATCCCAGCTACTCGGGAGGCTGACGCAGGAGAATCGCTTGAACCCGGGAGGCGGAGGTTGCAGTAAACTGAGACTGTGCCACTGCACTCCAGCCTCGGTGACAAGAGCGAAACTCTATCCCCAAAAACATAAAACATAAAAAATAGCTGTCTTTCATTTTCAACAGTGGCTGCAAAGATGAGAAGCCCAGCCCAGAAGAGGTATACAGTGGATGCTGGTACCGGAGGCAGACCTGGCCCACAGTCCGTTACAAATCCAGGCTCCTCTTTCCTCGGTGTGGAGTGTCTGGCTGAGAAGTAGCTGCCCAGCCAGGAACCCCATTTTTCAGAACCCTTTGTGTATATGTGGGGCCGAATTTCTAGTTCTCCCCTATGGACTCTGTGCAAGGCGTGGTGTGCTGCTTTCAGATGGAAGGATGAAGAATTGGTCTTTCCCTGTCTGGCGGCTGCACAAGGAGAAGTCAGAGGTCTTCAAGGGGGCAGAGCCAGAGGAGGGAGGGAGCCAGGGGAGGCCACCCTGACAGCAGTGCTGGCGCTGGACTGTGACTGAGCAGGAAATGAACTTTCACAGGCTGAGCCACTGAGATGGGGCTAGCCTCTTACAGCAGTGGCTTTACCTCTTCTTTTTTCCATCCCTCCCTGGCAACTGTCTTGATCCCCGTCCGGCTGTCCAGGCCTCATGATCTGGAGGGAGGGCGTCCCGTTCCCTCTGACCTAGGCCCTTGCCCTGACTCCACGGTGGGCCAGATGCGACCATCTTGGCCATCAGGCTCAGGGCAGACTGGGGCCTTCTTTCCAGGTGCCAAGCGCAGTCCCCACCTCAGTGGATGCTGACAGGACGCTCTGGTGGCCCAGGAGGTCTTGCTTAGTCATACGATCCTCTGTGGATTAGTGTATGGGGACCCAAGCCACATGGGACTTTAGAAATCCCCCTTTCCCTCAGGAGCACCCGGGGAAAGAGAAGCTACCATCCGTCAGTGCAGTTAGCCTCGGCCCCACATCCTCTCTGACCCTGGCTTTTGTCTTCCGGGGGCTCTGTGGGCCTCCTTGTGCAGCCTCCCCATGGTGCTGGGCTGGGGCCTCCTGCATTTTCATGGTTTCTGTGACCCTGCCTTCTCCCAAGGCCTCCCTTAACCTCTGCCTTGCTTCCCCTGACCTTTCCCTACCTCTCCCTGACTTCTCAGCTCTGTTCCCTGCAGCCCGCTCCAGGTCCTCCCTAGGGGATGCTGTGGCACAGACGCCTATGTCTTCCTCCGAATAGAAGCACAGCCAGAGACTCAAAGAGGTCATCTCCAGGGGTGAGCTTTCTCTTTGCCTCTGTCTTAGCAGAACATGAAGTCCCTGGAGGGAGACCATGGCAAATCGGATAAAAATCTCTCTGTGGCAGATTCACTTTCCTGGGATTAGCCCGACTCTCACGCTGGCCCTCCCCAGATGGACTCTGCCCTGAGTCATTGGTACCTGATGGCAGAGTGGGCGGCAGCTTTCCTCCCCTGATCTTCTCTCCCAGTCCCTGCCTCATCACCCTGAGTCCTCAGCACACTCTCTACCCCTGAGCCCACCCTCTCCCAACTTGAAGCTCCCGATCCTCTGCCACCAAACCATGACCCTGCCCTTCCTTCTGAACTCTGAGTGGCATTAATTGCCTCAAAACATTTCTTAGGCTAATCTCCCAGACTCTGGTCCCTGTACTCTTCTTTTGACAAGGCGAGGGCTCAGCTCCAATTATCCTGAGGCGGTGTTGAGGGGGTGGACATTGGAACAACTCTTCTGCCTCTAATCAGCTACCTGAGCAGCACAGGTGAGTGATTCACCTGAAGATTCTAAGCCAGCAGCATAGCCTCTGCTCTAAGGGACCTCATGCAGGAAACAGACAGACAAGGGCCGTGAAGTATTCTGGTACATGTGGTACTGTGAGGCCCAAAGGAGAATGGCCAGTTTCACTGGGGAGGGGCCGGGCTCAGCAAAAACCTCACTAAGAAGAGGGAGCATGGAGCTAAGTCTTGAAGGATGGCTAGGTGTTCAGTAAATGGAGGAGACAGCGGTGGGGAGGGTGTTTCAGACAGACGGCACAGCCACTGCAAGGCCCTGGAGGGAGCATTGAGTCCCACACATGGAAGGGCCAGAGGGAGGAGATGGGGAACAGACAGGGTGAGAGGGCCTTGCCTCCCTGCTGAGGGGTCTGGCCTTTATCCTGAGGGTGGTGGGAGCTGCTGAGGGAGTTAACCCAAGGAGTGACCTGATCAGATTCGTTGGTTTCCTCTGCCCCGAGGTCTTCTTACTTCTATCCCAACAACTGAGCTAGCCTCCCGCCCCCAGCTCGGGCCGGCACACCGTAGGTGCCCAGCATGAGTGCGTGGACACCACTCGTGTCTCTCACCATTGTCCCTAAAATCAAGCCCACAGTCCATGGAGGCTTGCCCTGCCAGCTCCTGAACAGCCGGCTGACCCACTCCGACGCCGCGGGCTCACCTTGGAGTAGTGCCCAAGCTGGGTGTCGCTTTATGAATTGGGCTGTTTTTGCCACCTGGGCTGGTGTCCCCACTCCCCACCCCATGCCACCCCCACTTTTCCTCTTACCTGGCTCTTTCTCATCTGGAAGGTCTTGGCCACAGTATCACCTACTTGGAGAGACTTTCCTGAGTGTAAAGAAGCCCCCACCGCCAAGATTCTCCCACGATGACGCCCTTTTACTTTGTAGCACCGAACCTGGTTTGTTGTTATATAATTGTGGTTTGTTTGTGGTCTGTCTCCTCCATTAGGCTAAAACCTACAGGGCACATGGCTTTTGTCTTCCACTGTGTCTTGGGGCCTGGCACAGGGTAGGGTACCAGGACCATGTGTTGAAGGAATGAATGAGGCTCAAACCTCTGCTCAGACTCAGGGCTCCTTAAAGATAGGAATCTACCTCCGTTTTCAGCCTGGGCCCCCTTCATCCCCTGCACAGGGCAGGGACTGCTTCCGCCCCTCTCCCCTTTCTCCTAGGGTCCCTTTGCTGCAGGCAGAGCTGGAGCTGGAGCAGAAGTGTGGCTGAGGCCACTGAGGAAGCATTCACAGCTCAGACCTGCAGCCTCCTCCGACCACAGAGCTAATGCTGTGGAGCTGACCACTTGGCACCAGAGATCTCCAGGGAAACCCTGCCAGCGCCCTGAGCTTATGGCCTGGCCTTAAACCTGCACCACTGGCTTCAAAAGTGCCACATCCTCTCCCTATCTTTAAAGATAGCACAGCACCTGCCTTCATGAATCCATTTCAGTGAAAGCGGGGCTTAAAAACCAGAGCTGTACAGCAACATACACACACACCCTAAACACATCCCCACTTCTACCTTCCATCTTTTCTCTTTCTGCATTCATTCCTCTGGCCCAGTCTCTGTGTCTCTGTTCCACTTATTTCTGTCTCTGTCAATCTGTGTCTCTTTCCATCTGCCTCTGTCCCTCGCTGCGTCTCTGCTTCTCTCTGCCACATTTTGTGTTTCTTTTCTGTCTCTGTCCGCTTGTGAGTGTTATTCTACATCTCATGCCCTCTCTGAGTTTTTGTTCATGTCTGCCTTCTCCTGTCACCCCCAAGGGCCCTGAGGTCCCCCCTCCCCTCATTCCTCCCTTCCCCCGTAGCAGCCACCTCTCTGGGTGCCACTAGCTCACGCTTAGCTCTTCAGGCAATCGTAGAAAGAAGAAAGGGAGGAGGATGCTAGCGGGGAGCTTGAAGCAAGTGGTGGGGCAGCAGTGAGAAGTAGAAGTAGCACTGAATAAATACGCAGCTGTCTCTTTTATCTCTTCTTGGCAGGAGGCAGAAGCTGGGGCAGGGGAGGCTCAGACGAATGGGCAGGGAGGGAGATGGATGATGGGGCCCAGAGTGAGACGGGGAGACTCAGGGCAGCCGACAGGACTGAAATGAAGGGGGATGTAAGTTTCCACAACCTCTGGCTCCTGGCAGGAGACTTTCCACCCTGATTACTAGGGACAGGGAATTGTTTAGGAGTCCAGGACACAAAAGGATAAAATAAGGAGACCGTGGGAAGAGCAGTAAGTGTGTGTGTGTGTGTGTGTGTGTGTGTGTGTGTGTGTGCGTGCGCACGCGCGCGCCCTACTCACTAGTCGCTAGTGCTATTTGCTAAATATTTCTGGGTCTCCTCTTCCGAATTGCACTCCCTGGCCCCCTTGTGGTTGGATGGGGCCATATGACCAGTTCTGGCCAATGGGCAGAAGAGAAAGTGTCACTTCCCGGCAGAAGAATGTAATTGCCAATGCAACATCTTCCAGAGGTCTTTCTTTCCCTCTGGCACTATGACCAGCAAGCTTTGAGCTAGTGGCTTCTCCATCAGTCTGGGCCTTGGGGTGATATGATGTGCAGAAGCTGTGACTGGCATGTCGCGTGAGCAAGAAGCAAGCCCTTTGGTTTTAAGCAGTAGAGGTTTTGGAGTTATTTGTTAATGAAGCATAGCCTTGCCTATCCTGACTGATGCAGTATACATGCCTGTGATTGTGTAGGTGTCTGTATGGAGTGTAAAGTGTCCAGGGATGTGTGTTTAAGCATGTGTATGTGCCAATATTTATTTAATACATATAGAAGCACGTGTGTTTAGAGGTTGTGTGTGTGAATACAAGTCTTGGTATTTTTGGTCCACACCCAGCAAATGGTGAAGAAGGAAAGTTTCCCTCTGCTGCTGTCTTACCTCCTGTTTGAGGTAGACACACAAAGGGCCAGATCTTGGGTCCCGCTTGCCTCCTAACCACCCGCCCAGCTTTAATCTCCACGTCTTCTCTTCTTCCTGGCAGCTGCTACCCTCTTCCCTGAGTGTTCCTGGGGTGGCTACTGCTTTTGGCTGCCTGGCACAATTTCCCTCTCTCCTAGCCCCAGGCAGAGTGACTGGTTCTGGGTTAGGTGTGTGGCCAGGGCCAGACCACTCAGACACCTTCCCCAGGATTTTGCTGCTGGAGCAAGCAGGGAAGTGGAGCGCACCTTCCCTTTGGGGTGATAGACACAGGAAGGGGTGAGATGTGCAGCTGTCCTTGCCATGGAGGGATGAGTGGCCAGGCCGAAAGAAGCAGAGCTGAGAGAAAGGAACAAGATGTTTTAGATCCAGTGCCACCTGGTCTCAATAATGACATGGGCCAGTGTGTTTGCTTGCTCTCCAAGGCTGTGGTGGACTTGTCTCTGGGAGGAGGGACAGAAGGGACTTGATCGGGAGGACAGAGGCCCATCCTCTGCTTCCTCCCGAAAAGGCTGCAGAACAGCCTAAAGCCAGGGGGTGGGTCTTTCAGGCCCAGAAAGGGGAGTGTCTCTCTGCCAAGGACCAGGGCAACAGTCCAAAACAGAGACACACAGCCCAGCCCAGGCCTGAGTGGTGGCTGGAGGGTATGGAGGTGTGAGAAGAGACCCCCATAGTCAGAGAGAAGATTCAGAAGCAGTTTCTGGAATGGACTGGGATCCCACCACTGGGGCCGTCCCAAATCTCCCTTAGCCAAAGTTTGGAGCCCAGCAGCCTGGGCTGCAATCTTGCTAAGTGATGTGAGCACCTTATTTAATCCCTGTGCCTCTGTCTCCTCTGTGATGATACTAGTGTAAATTTCACAGCATACTTCTGAGAATTAAATGAACGGATTCACATTAGTGCTCAGAACAGTGCCTAGTATATAGTGAGCAGCTGACATCGGCTATTATGATTTCCTAAACCAATGTGAATTGGGTTTTTGTTACTGGCAACTGAAATGGTCCTGGTTATTAATAATTCTCTCTTCCCAGGCTGATCAGCCAAGAAGCACCTGGTTTCACTACTTCTTTTTCTTCTGGTTCAGAAACAGAAGCAGAAATCCCCTTTAGATTTTCACCGAGTCTTTTGTCCTTCAATGGTAACTTTTACAGAGGGCGGTAAAACAACGCAATGGGAATTCCACTCAAGCAGAAACAACTGCAGAAAGCCTGGGTTGGGGCTTTCTGGGACTTCTATTAGGTGAGAATGTCCCAGGCCAGCTCTCCCCTACCCCTCCCAACCTGGGGTGGTTCTAGGAGGGTGCTGGGGGTCAGGCAGGCCTGGGTGGGAATCCTGGCACTTCTGACTGGCTGTGGGACCCCATGTAAACATACAATCTTATAGAGCCTCAGTTTTCTAATCTATAAAATGGGACTAATAATAATAATAGCTGCTCCATGAGATTTTTCATGACATTGAAGTTAATCTGTATAAAGCTTTCGTCACTGGCACATACTGAAGTTCTCCATAGATGCTGTGGTTGCTAAATCATCCTGGTAAGAGACTCCTCTAGTACGTGCTTTAGAAAGCAGCTCTTCTGGATAGGCGTGGTGGCTCACGCCTGTAATCCCAGCACTTTGGGAGTCCGAAGTAGGCAGATCACTTGAGCTCAGGAGTTCGAGACTAGCCTGGCCAACATGGTGAAACCCTGTCTCTACTAAAAATACAAAAAGTTTAGCCAGGTGTGGTGGCGTGTGCCTGTAGTCCCAGCTACTCTAGAGGCTGAGGCAGGAGAATCACTTGAACCCAGGAGGTGGAGGTTGCAGTGAGCTGAGATCCTGCCACTGCACTCCAGCCTGGGCGATAGAGCGAGACTCCTTCTCAAAAAAAAAAAAAGGGAGAAGAGCAGCTTTTCTAATTGCTACCTGGGCTGAATGTGAGCTTCAGTTCCTCAAACTGGCTAAGGGAGATTTGGGACGGCCCCAGTGGTGGGATCCCAGTCCATTCCAGAAACTGCTTCTGAATCTTCTCTCTGACTATGGGGGTCTTTTCTCACACCTCCATACCCTCCAGCCACCACTCAGGCCTGGGCTGGGCTGTGTGTCTCTGTTTTGGACCGTTGCCCTGGTCCTTGGCAGAGAGACACTCCCCTTTCTGGGCCTGAAAGACCCACCCCCTGGCTTTAGGCTGTTCTGCAGCCTTTTCGGGAGGAAGCAGAGGATGGGCCTCTGTCCTCCCAATCAAGTCCCTTCTGTCCCTCCTCCCAGAGAGCCCTCCACTGCCCCCACACCCCCACCCGCCTCCTCCTCAGCCGGCCTCCAACTCTCACCTCCCTTTCCTCCAGTGTGTCTGCATTCCTTTTCCTGTGTCAAAATCTACTCAAATACTTCCTATCCTAAAAAAGTTCTCCCTCGCCAGGCACAGTGGCTTGCACCTATAATCTCAGCTACTTGGGAGGCTGAGGCAGGAGGCTCGCTTGGGCCCAGGCGTTTGAGGCTACAGTGAGCTATGATTATGATTGTGCCACTGCACTCCAGCCTGGGCAACATAGTGAGATCCTGTCTCTAACAAAACAAACAAAACAAAAAACACTCTCCCTGGGTCCCAGGCATCCAAGTCTTCATATCCTCTCCTGTCTGTCCTATTCTGAGTTCTCAACAGCAAAGCTTCTGTGACCTCCAAGCCCTGAATATGCTCTTGATAAGCTGCCAATGACTAGGCAGGCTTCTCTGTCTTGGAATCCTCCTCCACCAGCACTGTGCTCCCAGGCCGACCTCTGTGACCAGCATGGCCCAGGCTCCCTGTGCCAGGGAGGGCCAACAAAGGGAGAGCCTCACAGAAGATCAGAGAGAGGAGAGTGAAGCCAAGATCTTTATTTTCCTGATGTGCTCCCTGCGGGACTTCAGGGGGCTGGCTCTTTGCTGTGTCTCTCCACACAAGGTTACAGCTCCCGTCCAGCAGGCCCTCCCCATGGCTCTGTCCATGTCCCTTTGGGCCCAGCTCCCCTGTTCCAAGCCCTGGGGCTTCAGCATCTCCTGCTGATGTCCCTGCACCCTGCCCACACCTTTGCACCTGGCCTAAACCTTCATTAAACTCTCTTTGAATCACTCAGTTTAAATATACCTTGAGTTTACTGCCAGACTGGAATTGTTAATAGAGGGTCCAGCACCAAATCCGTGGGAAACACCTGTGTTTTTCTCATTGGTGCTTTCTGCTGTATCTGATCGGCCTCCCTCCTTCAAGAGCCCCTCTATCCTGACCCCACCGCGACACAGTGCTCCACCAGCTTCCTTCTCTCTCTGACAGTTCCTTCTTCGTCTTTCTCTGACCTAGGCCCTTGCTCTATTCTCTCTCCTGGGCAGTCGCCTCTATAGCCCTTGGGATTTCCGCCACTGTGTACATTGCTAGTCCAGCCTTCACCTGTGGAGCTCAGGACAGAATATTCAATTACCTCCTGGAAGTCGATATGGACACCCTCAGGTACCTCAAACGCAGCGTGTTCCAAACTGGGCTTCTTCCCCTAAGCCTGCTCCTCCTCCCATGTAACCTTTCAGAGGGTGGCACTGCAGTTCACCCACACCCAGGCCAGGTACCCAGAAGTCGGCCTTGACTGTGATTTTGCTCACTCTGTCTTCATCCTTTTGGGTGCTGATGCTTGGATGTCCAGAATATTTATTGACTCTCCCTTTCCCCCAACCCAATCCTTACTACTCTGACATGGTTGGTTCCCCATCATCCCACCCCGTGTTCCCCTCCCTGGACTGTGGCAGAAGCTTCCTAACTGACATCCCAGTCTCTGACACCCACTCCAATACATCTCCACATTACAAATCTGAACTGGTGACTCCCCTGCTCAAAACTCTTCAGTGGCTCCCTGTTGCAAGCTTGTTGGATGGTGAACAAGACGCTATGATCTGAGCCCTGCCTCTTTCTCTTGCACCTTCGCCCTGGGACTATAGAGCTGTCTCCACTCCCCTCACACTCCGTGCCTCTCTGCCTTTGCTACACTGTCCCTTCTGCTTGGAATTCTCTCTCTGCCCCCTCCAACCACTGGCCAATCCTGGACAACTTTCACTGCTTCTTAAAGTGGTGTCACTTCTTCCAGACAGAGGCACAGTAGCCAGGTTTTATTTTTGGTTTGTTTGTTTTTAATCTCAAGGGGAATCCGGTATGTGAAGCAGAGGACGGGACTTGGCCATTGTTTGGAGGGGAATCCGGTACCTAAAAAACACCCCCTCCCCACAACACTTACACTACCTTCTCTGCATGCCTTGCGTTCCTCCTTCCTTGCTGTTTTCCCTAACTCTTCAGGACTGAGAATCCCCTGGGTCTGATGGTGGCTACAGCCTTGCAGCTGCCAGACTGGTGTGCTGAGCTAGTCACTTCACCTCTCTGTGCCTCTCTGGCTGGGCTATCTGATTTTCTGTTTCCAGAGGCCCTGGGGTAGGGTAATAAGTGGTTACTAAAAAGAACTGTGAAGGCAAATCTCTGAGGCAGCAGCGCCTGTCTCCGTTGGAGGGCTTGAGTCTGTGTGTCTGGCTTCCAGTGGACACAATGAAACCTTGGGCTTAAGCAAGAGATCTTTTGTTCCTGTCGTGACAGCTCCACCTCCAGACCCCAGCCCTCCCTGAGGCTGCTGCTGCCGGGGCTTGTGCTCCTGCTGTCTCCTCCGCAGCTGTGCGCCACCTGCCTGGGAGATGGAGCTGAGCTGGAGCTGAGGGAGGGGTGCATCTGCCTATGGCGGGGGCTGGGGAGGGGCTGCCGAGCTGTGTCAGGCTGCGACAGGCCCCTCACCCCAGCTGGGCTGGGCAGGTCCCTTGGAGGGCTGCTGGGAGCAGCAGCAGCTTCCTCTGAGAGAGGGTCTTATCTGCTCCAGCACCCGCCACCCCGCCCAGCCCCCATGCTTCCAGGAGTTAGCCTTGCCCTTTCCAGAATAATAGCTTCCCTCCCCGTCTCTCCGCTCCATACCAGCTGGCTCTGGAAAGAAGCTGGCGTCGGGAAGACCCTGAGGATTGGGGGCGGTGGGTGGTGACAGGGAAACGATTTAAAACAGGGCAAGAGGGACAAGCAGAGGGAGTGACGGAGAAGGCGCACACTGGCTCCTGCAGCTCTGGGAGGCGGCCGGGCTTCAAAGACTTGCTCCGATGCTAGGCAAAGCAGCCCAGCAAGAAGCCTTTTTTCTGCCCTTCCTTGGGGAGCAGTTTTCAACCAGGGACTTTATTTAGGAAGGGAAAGAGAGAAGGGGAGTGGGGAGGGGTCACGTGGGCTCCGCTGTCATGGAAACAAACTCTAGGAGGGTGCCGGACAGGCTGCAGCCTGCACCCCCTCCTCGCCCCTCTGCGCCATGCCCCGGCTGTGGGCGCCCCCGCGCGGCCACCATCAGAGCAGCACGCCACCGCCCCGGCTGCACCCAGGGGCCTGGAAGCCCAGCCCTGGGCAGAGGGAGGTCAGGGAAGTGAGGACCCTGATCAATGGGCCCAGCCATTCCTCATCTCTCCACACATCCATCACCCATCCACGCACCGGGGCTCCTTCAGCTTACCCCCTCCATCCTGCCACCTACCAGGGACACTGTCAGTGGTCAGTGGAAGCCTCTGGGTGTCCATCCATTGACGGTTACTTTTCCTCTAGCCCCTTGTGCCCAGGAACCCCTCTTGGCGTACATCCCTCTGTCTTATCTCATTAGGTGCCTGTCCTGCCTCTCCTCTCCTTGCCTATTTAGTAGCGATGCATCTATCAGAACTCCGGAATCAGTCCTTCCAGCTGCCCCTGTGTCTGTTGTCTCTGAAACTCTCTCCCTCCATCAATCTATATGTACCTACCCATCTATTACTCTGGCAGCCACCTATACATCATGCGGGCCCCATTATCCATCATTTATCTGCATATGTATCATTCATGCTTCCACCTATCTATTATCCATAACCTCTCTTGCAGCCTCTTTGATGTCCTGCACTCTGCCATCAGGGTTAACGCTGTCAGGCCTGCTTTCCCCAGCCCCAGAGAACAAAGAGATCAAAGGGACGTGGAAGGAACAGAGAGGCCACTGGGGGATGGTTAAGAGAGCTAGGGGCTCAGAGTTGAAAAGAGAGTGGAAAGACCCAGAGATGTGTCAGATGAAGCTGTTTTGCTGAGAATTCCATTCATTATCTCATTGTCCCTCTTCCCCCACCTCCCAAAAGATCAAGAGGACCTGAGTTTGATTTGCAGCAGGAGAGACACAAGTGGTACTTGTTGGCCGAAAAGGTGGTGCTCTTTGGAGGAAAGGCTGCTTGTGGCTGCAGTGTCTGTATGGAGATGGTCCAGGCTTAGCGAGTCATGGGGCCAGGTAAAGATGGAGATGGAGCTGTAGACTGAGGCCAAGAAGGCCCCCACCACCATGTGCACACGCGCACACACACACACACACACACACATACACTTCCGTGCGCGCTCATGCACGCATGCATTTCTGGGATCACAGAAATTTGCAGTCAGAAACGCTTTCCTTTGACTGAGGAATTCTTACTTAGCCACGGCAGCACAAATCCCTTGTGGGGTTGGTGTCTCGTGTTGCTTTTCTAAGCATCACTCCTCATGTTGTTGCTGATATTGTATAGTTTCCCCTGAGCACGGTTTCCTGGAGGAACTGGTAGACCGTGGCTCCTTTGTGCCTCTGGTTTCCCCACATCCCGTTTCCTGAGTGGAAACCTCTCTCCACGGCCCCCTTCTCTCCCCATGCCCTGCTCATGCTCGCACAAAAGCAGAAGGGCCTGGGGACACACTGGGCATGGCTCTGTCGTGTCCATTTCTGTATCCCAATTATTAGCACAACAGCCAGCAGGAAGGAGGCCTTGTATGAGGCCAGATACAGGGCGGAAACTTCACTCACAGTTCTGCCCTGTCCAAAAGAGACCCGGCAGGGGTCAGATAGCTCCAGCAGTGCCACCTTATCCTCAGGGCACTGCCCTTAGCTCCAGACTCCTGAATGGGCCTATGAAAGATGCTGTCACTTTTGCAACTTTCCTCAAAGGTTCTGGGCAAGGGGACACCTCAGGGCTGTGTTTCCAGGGGAGGCTGATGTGAGGGCCAGGTATTCTGGGGATGGTTTCTCAGCCCACTAACTTCAGACAAGGAGGAGAACACACCTGTTCTTCCTACTGGACAGGAAACCAAACAACTCTGCTTCCTAAGTTGCCTTGGTTTCTGGGGTTATTGGCATCCGAGTTTGCCAGGAGTGGAAGGCCTGGGACAGGAGAGGCAGGGGCTGGCAGGCCTCCCTCTTCACAGCTCCAAGGGTTAAAAAGCACTTAGCAGCAGCATATAATAAAAGCAAATGTAAGAGAAAGAATATCCTAAGGATTTAATAAACTGCAAACAAAATTATCACGATTCTTTTCCTAGCCAGTTGAGTTTTCAGTGATTAAGAAAATACAATTTCCTGTAATTAAATCTTAACAAGAAATGTTATTAAAAACACTCTGTCCCAGCTCCTGTCATAATTGCATGCTCCCCTAGAACAGTAAACAGAATTAGACTTTGCAGCGTACATGCTAATCCATGTGTCATTTTGATCAAATTTGTACTAATAACCTGTCTTCTTATTCTGAGATGAGGAAGGCAGGGAAGAGGGAGCCAGGCCCAGAGGGCAAAACTGAGCCCTGGCTGGGGAGTGGGAGCTGCGAGTGTTGGGTTTGGCCCCCAGGATGATAAGTGTTGAACTTACTGAGCACATATGCACACTGGGCTCTGTGCTAAACAGGTTACACATATAACTTCACATATTCCTTACACAACCTCACATAATGTTGTTATGCTCATTTTACAGACGAGAAGACTGAGGCTCAGAGAGGTTTGGTAACTTGCCCAAGGTCACTCAGAGTCATCTAGATCTAAGGCCCCAGAGTGTGGCTATGGGGCTATTCTAGGGCACGGGCTGTCAGGTGAGAACATTCTCTGTCCTGGAGAACTGGACTGGCCTGACGGTAGCTGGCAGGAAGAACTTCCCTCTGCCAGGATGTGCTGGCCACAGAAGCAAGGGAGACTGTGGCATCCACTTTGAGAAGTTTCTTTTCCTTTGAAAAAAGCCACAGGGTGGGAGAGGACATTGTGGAGGGGCTGAGGGTGAGAGCAGAGGGCTGGGGTTTGTATGGTGCAGGGTTCTGTTCATGGCCCTGGGGTAGACCTGAGATGAGCATTCTAGCACAGTTAAGAGGGATCGGCGTGGGTGTGGAGCCCTGGAGTTCAAAACTGCTGCCCCCACACATGCGTGTGTATGTCAGTGTGTGTGTGAATGTATGTGAGTGCATGAGTATATGTGTGAGCATGTAGGCAAGTGTGTGAGTTCACCACTGACCCTGTGTATGAGTGTGTAAGTGCATGAATGTGTGTGAGTCATTGTGAGCATGTGTGTGAATGCAGGCATAGGAGTGTGTGAATGTGTCTGTGACTGAGTGTGTATGTGAGCACATAACTGGGTGATGTGGTTGTATGCGGATGTCTGTGTGAGTGTGTGACTATGTGTAAAGGTGTGAGAGTGGAAGTGTATGAATTGGGTACATGTCAATGTGTGCATGTGCATGAGTGTGTGACTATAAGGGTGAGCATGTGAGCATGGATGTTAGCATGGGTGTGCCCCTGGAGCCCCAGTCTGCTGGCGCTGATGGAGGGGCAGAGCCAGGCCAGCATGCGGGCCCTGGCTGTTTTCCTACTCACAGCAGCCCCCTCCCCACAGCTTCATTCCCTGCGGAAAGTGAGCCTGAAATTATCCTCAGCTCGCACGCTCCTGCACGCACACAGGCGCCAGTGCCTCCATCTCCCACTCCCGGTCCACTAATTAGCTCTTCTAATTAAATCCCTGCTGGGTTGGACAGGGAGGGCCTTCTCTTTTCCGGATCCTCTGAGGACCAGGTCATGCTGACCTAGAAGGCTCCACCCACTATCCCCATTCCCATTCCACAGCCCCTGCTCCTGCTCAGAGGAGCCTGGATCCAGGGAAGAGACAGAGGAGGAGGGGACCCCTATGGGTAGGAGTCCTGTTCAGCAAACACAAAACACCTACTATGTGCCCAGTACTGTGCAAAGCTTTCTGGGGAAGGAGGTGGAGATGACAAATGGGCAAGACCCAGGGGCTCCCCATTCTGAGCTTCCTTCTCCCAATCACTCTGGCTCCGAACCTTGATCTCATCCTCCACTCTTGTCCCTTCTGGTACCCCCAGGCAGCAACCTGCCGCCTCCACCTTATCTCCTCGCTTCTCTACAGAGAGTTCCTCTTTGACCAGACGGCCTATGCATTGGGCCAGCTGAGCCCTAGATCATTCCTCCTTTATCAAAGTTTTAATCCTCTCTGAGGTCCCGTGCACTCACCTCGCAGCTCTCTTGGGAGCCCTTCCTGACTGCTGCGTTTCCTCCCGTCTGCTGGGGCCAGCTCCGGGCCTTGGCGTATGCCGCCTGCTTCCCTTTTTATAGGCTCCACCTGCCTCACTAAACATCTTTAAGCCTCTGAAATCAGAGGCCGTGTCTTGTGCCTCTTAACCCTTTACTGAGCCCAGCACATTGTGAGTACTCTAAGAATGTCTACGGAGTGACTGACGAACCAGGAAGATGGAGGAGATGGGTTCCTGCACTCCCTGTGCTCGCCCCTGGAGAGCTCCTGTGATATGGAAGAGAATCCCAGGCTCCTGGATCTCAGCGTGGACAAGACTTAGCTGTCACCTTGTCTAACTTCTCCCTTCGAGCAGAGCCTGCCACGGGAATTCTTTGCAAGTGACTTATTGTCTCTCAGTGTGCCTCTTATTGTGTAAGAGTGAAGGGGTCAGGATAGGCCGGGGGCAAGCTGAGCGAGGACGAGGCCTGAGCCGGCGGGAGGCTCTGGACCATGGACAGCATCACAGAGTCGGCCCCTGGAGGCAAGAGGGCGGCTTCTTATTCCCCGCATCAGGCAGTCACCGGCTGCCAGGAGCCGGGGTCGGGGAGGAGCGGAGCCTCTCCAGAATCAGGGCAAGGTGGCTGAGAGCAGTTCTCTAGAAAAGGGGGCTGCTGTGAGCTGTTAGCAGCAGATGCCGATTTTGGGGCCTGGTAAGGGGGTGTGGGCGAGCCCCAAGAGCATCCACCACATCCCCACCCAGAATGTACTTTGTACTAGTCGTGGTTCCTGAGCCTGTCCGAGAAGAGCGGGGAAGAAGGATAGAAGGGTCTCTTGTCTTCAGTGCCAGCCCATGGGGCACCACAAGATGCCACTCAGGAGAGGTTTCGCCTCAATCTTGCACTGAATTATCATCTGTCAAATGCGTGAACACATCCTGTGGCTTAGTCTGTAAGGCTGCTATAATAAAAATCCCATAAACTGGGTAGCTCAATAAGCAACAGAAATTTATTTCTCACAGTCTTGGATGCTGGGAAGTTCAAGATTAAGGCGCCAGCAAATTTGATGTCTGGTGAGGGCCCTCTTCCTCATAGATGGCACCTTCTAGCTATGTCCCCAACTGGAAGAAGGGGCTAGCTAGCTCTCTGGGGTCTCTTTTATAAGGGTACTAATCCCATTTATAAGCGCTCTGCCCTCATGAGCTAATCATCTCCCAAAGACCCCCCCCCTTCTAATACTATCACACTGGCGATTAGCTCTCGACGTATGAATTTAGGGGGGCATACAGACATTCAGACCATAGCACCCTGCTTTCATCATGTTGATATTCACATCTGGGTCAATTCTGTCCCATCACATTGCCTGGCTTCATTTGCCCTCCTCTGACCTTGCATTGGCCCTCATAAAAACGTCCTCCCACCTCCATCCAGCCCCTGCTGCCCTTGCACCATCTGTGCTCACCGTCGCACCTCCCAGCCTCAGCTGCCAGAGGAAGGGTGGCCCCTGACCCCAAGACAGCCAGTTCAGACCTGTGACCTGAGCACATAGACTAGGCAATTGGGTTTCCTCTTTTGAGAGTTTGAATGAAGGATTCCAGAGGAAAGTTGCTGATGGTGGCAGGCTTTGCCCTGACACAGGCTGAGAAGGGCTGGAGACGCTGAAGCTTTGGGGAGGAGAGGCCATGAGTAGGCAGAGTGGAGAGAAGCAATGCTTGGCCTGAGAGAGGAGATCATGGGGTGCAGAGAGGCTGGTGGGCCAGGGGAGCTGTTGCCCACCCAGGGTCTCCGCTGGTTCTAGTGCCCTGAGCACAGCTGCAGGACATCCCTCGGTCCCTGTGAGATGCCCGGAACTTCCTGGAAGAAAGGAACAAAACTTTTGGCTGATATAGCTGATTACCTACCTAGTTACCAATCTAGCGCCATCCCTCCTTCTGCCTTAGCATGCTCTATGAAGAGGACCAATACTCTGGCCTCAGGAGATGAAACTATTGGCTTAAATCAACCAAGGTACTCCCGTCTACCTTTACTAGTGATTGGTTCAAGGGTGGGCATGTGACCCAGTTCCAGCCAATGAGATGCAGGGGGGAACACTGCTGGAGACAGGGAGCCTTCTGGGAATGATTCTCTTCTGTTTCTTTTCTTTTCTTTCTTTCTTTATTTTGAGACAGGGTCTCACTCTGTGGCCTAGGCAGGAGTGCAGTGGCATGATCTCAACTTACTGCAGCCTCGACCTCCTGGGTTCAGGTGATCCTCCCACCTCAGCCTCCCAAGTAGCTGGGACTACAGGCCTGGGCCACCACACCCAGCTAATTTTTGTATTTTTTGTAGAGACAGGGTTTCCCCATGTTGCCCAGGCTGGTCTTGAACTCCTGGGCTAAAGCAATCTGCCTGCCTCGGCCTCCGAAAGTGCTAGGATTACAGGCATGAGCCACCACGCCCGGCCTGCCAGGTACTTCTTATATGATGCCCAGAACAAAACACAACGTGTGAGCTGGGTTCTTACCACATAGGGACTATCACCTACTTTGGTCCAGCAGTTTTATTTCTTTTAATATAATCTAACATTGAGCAAGCTTTTATGCCTATCATATCAAATGGTTAGCAACATCGAATTTATGATCAGTTCAAATCAGGTCTTTTTCACACAAAATTGTGTTGCACCTTATATCCTCACCCCTTTCTGTTTCTGTTTTTCCATTTTTTGTTTGTTTTTGTGTCAGGGTCTTGCTCTGTCACCCAGGCTGGGGTGCAGCAGCATAATCATAGCTTACTGCATCCTCAAACCCCTGGGCTCCAGCGATCTACCCGCCTCAGCCCCCAAGTAGCTGGGTGTGCAGGTGCCTGCCACCATGCCTGGCTCTGTTTCCGAATGTATGCAGATATTGAACACAAGATTATTTTTTTCCCAATCTTTTTCATCTTTTTATGCTACAGCCTGTCAAGTCTTTTCAAAACCAGAACCTGCCAGCTCTCAGTCACTAGTTGGACAACCACCCTTAAATAAGACATTGTGTATCTAAGGGATGTGATGAACCACGGTGCAATTTTGAAAAAAAAATGTGTCCCACAGTCTCTTTTAAATTTATTCAGTGGGGATTATCTTTCCTTGACCTAACTGAAAACATCAGCAGGCCGAAGACTTTTCTACTCTCTCCCGCATAAGTGATGATTCTGCAGTCACTTAAAAAAACAAACAAACAAACAAAAAACAAAAAAAACCCCAGCTTTATTGAGATATAATTCACACACCATAAAATCTGCCATTTTAAAATGCGCAATTCAGTGTTGTTTTAGTGTATTCGAAGAGTCATGCGACCATTACTACAATCAGTTTTAGAACATTTTCATCACCCCAAAAAGAAACTCTATACACATTAGCAGTCCCTCCCCATCCCCCCATCCCCCACCACTCCCTGGCCCTAGGCAATTCATTCAGCTACTTTCTGTCTTTAGAGATTTGCCTTCTCTGGACTTTTCATAAAAACAGAATTGGTGGCTCACGCCTGTAATCCCAGCACTTTGGGAGGCCGAGGCGGGCGGGCAGATCACCTGAGTTCAGGAGTTCGAGACCAGCATGACCAACATGGAGAAACTCCGTCTCTACTAAAAATACAAAATTTGCTAGGTATGGTGGCGCCTGCCTGTAATCCCAGCTACTCAGGAGGCTGAGGCAGGAGAATCGCTTGAACCCAGGAGGCGGAGGTTGCGGTGAGCCGAGATCACGCCATTGCATTCCAGCCTGGACAACAAGAGCGAAACTTTGTCTCAAAAAAAAAAAAAAAAAAAAAAAAGGAAAGAGAAAAAAGAAACAGAATCAAACAATGTGTTGACGTTTGTGACTGGCTTCTTTTTTTTTTTGAGAGGGAGTCTCACTCTGTCACCCAGGCTGGAGTGCAATGCCTCAATCTCGGCTCACTGCAACCTCTGCCTCCTGGGTTCAAGCGATTCTCCTGCCTCAGCCTCCCCAGTAGCTGGGATTACAGGTGTGCACCACCACGCTCAGCTAATTAAAAAAAAAATTTATTTTGTAGAGATGGGGCTTCACCATATTGGCCAGGCTGGTCTTGACTCCTGACCTTAGGTGATCCGCCCACCTTGGCCCCCCAAAGTGCTGGGATTATAGGCCTGAGCCACGGTGCCTGGCCTGTTACTGGCTTCTTTCACTTAATGTTTAATTCTCGATGCATGGTGTTTTCAAGGTTCATCCATGTTGTAGCATGTATCAGTAATCATTCCTTTTTGTGGCTGAATGATCCATCGTACGAATAGATCGTATTTTGTTATAGTGATGGACTTTTGGGTTGTTTCCACTTTTAGAATACTGTGACTTCATGCTGCTGTGAACACTCATGTACAAGTTTTTGTGTGGACACATGTTTTCATTTCTCTTGGGTATTTACCCAGAAGTAGAGTTCCTGGGTAACTAACTTTCTGAGGAACTGCCAGATAGTTTTCTTCTGCCGCATATGAGGGTTCCAATTCTTCCGCTTCCTCATCAACGCTTGTTACGATGTGTCTTTTTTATTACAGGCATGTTGGTGGGTGTGAGATGGGATCCACGGCATAGCAAGGGCTCTCTCTAGAGTAATCTTTTCACCAGTCCTCTTTTCCACTATCCACCCTCTTTATATTTCTTTGGCTTGGCTGAGGGTGCTCTGAGTTATGCACCTCGTTCTTGAACATTTCCCTGGTAAATTCTGTGTATAAGATCTGACTTTGAAATTTCACCTCTATTGTATGTCGATGACTTTGAAACCTCCATTTTAATATCTTGGTAGGTGCACAGTGCCAACATATGACAGGCACTTTATAATAATCTCTTTTCTTCCCTCAGTTTTCCACCAGCCACTGAAAAGCACCGTTAGCCAGACAGAGGACAGCTCCCCAGGGCCCACACTCTCACCTGCCTTGCTTCCGTTCAGGAGAAGGGACATCTGGAAAGGCTGTGTCAAGGCCTTGCCACAGGCAGGATGGGTGTCTCTGGCCTATCTAATAACAGATGTGCTTGTGGTGACAGAATAAAATAGAATAGCAGTCAGGACTTTGTTCAGGCTCTGCCACTAACTCACCATGGGACCTGAAAAAGCGACTTTCCCCCTCTGTGCTTCTGTTGTCATATTTACAAAACATTCTGGGAGGGTTGGATCTGATGAGTAATACAATTTTAGCTCTAGAATAGGATCTATTGTACTTAGAGTTCAAAAGAAATGAAGATAAACTTGCCCCTTGCTTCTGGGGAGTGGCTGGGCTTATAAGAAAGGCTGGACACAAATTTGGTGCAGGAGTGAGGTTTTGGGGACAGGGCTGCAGATACAAGGACAGAGAAGGGGTAGGGATGGAATGACCAGAGCACAGCTTCCAGGGCTCCTGGGGCTTAGCCCTGTCCCTGTGGGGGCCATTGTGTCACTCAGGGCCTCAGAGGGTGAGAATGGGAAGGAATATTCCACACATGGGTGGGATGTAGGAGAAGGAAGGTGGCCTAGACTTGGGCCTGTTGGGGATAGTGACCACACTCCTTCTTCTTTGTCTGTTTTCTGGGTCTCAGCTCTGCAAAGGAGGAGCATGTGTGGGGATCAGAAAAGCGGGGAGCAGGGCTGGGCCAGGCTGGGGCTGGGCCAGGCTGAGGCTGGAGAAGGGGCTGAACAAGGGCTGTGTTCCTTCCCTGACAACTTCCAGCCCCACCTGGGCTCCACCAGGCACATGAAGGCTGCCCGCCCCACTGAGGAGCCGCTTTCCCAACCTGGAAGTGATTTTCAATGTTTCCTCACTGGGCAGTGCCATTCAGCTACTGGTAGGTAAGGTGCAGGAACCATGGGGCGTTCGTGTGTGGGTGCCTGTATGTGTGTGCATGTGTATTCGTGTGTGTGCGTGTGTGTACATTCATGTGTGTGCCTGTGCGTGTGTGTACATGTGCGCATGTGTGTTCGTGTGTGTGCACATTTATGGACATGTATGTGTGTGTGCATGTGTGTGCATGTTCAAGTGTGTGTGTGTGTGTGTGTGTGTGTGTGTTTTGCTTCCACCCTTCCTCCCAGTCTTATTCATCCTAAGCCTCATCCTATTGCCCTCTGGGAGATGTCCTGATGGCCTCAGAATGCCCCTCCTTTATGTCCTCAGCACTCCCTGAAGCTTAAATGACACATTTCTGACTCATCACACTCAAAGCTATGCGGTGTCTGCTCAGCTGCTCAGGAGGGATCTTGAGGCCCAAACTGTATCCAGATAGGTGAGAGGGGTCACAAACGGCCCGCAGGCTGGAGACTGAGATGAAACTAACGTTTCTCGTATCACTGCTGTGTGCTGGCTGTTGCGCAGGTTGCTTCTCATCTTTCGTCTCATTTAATCCCTGCGGCAATTTCATAGAAAGATATAATTCATACCATTTCTCCAGGAGGAGAAATTGGGCTCAGAGAGAGCTGAGGATTTTTCCCGAGGTCTTGCAGCAGGGCAGGGGCTGAGCTCAGATGTGTCTCTAAAGCTTGGGTGTTTCTCCTATGCCTCACTGGTCCAAAAGTCTATCCCAGATGAGCACAGAAGCCCATATCTCCAGTTGGGTTCTTCCAGAAGCTGACCCTGCCATATATATCATTTATATTCACATATGATATATTACTGGAATGCCCCCTTGAGAATCTGGCAAGACAGCGGGTAAAGCAGGATAAGAAAGAGGAAGAAGCCAAGCAAGGGGAGATTGCAGGTGAGGTCCCAACCTCAGCCTGACTCCACAGGGATGGCTGGAAGGTAAATCACACCTCGGGATTGGTCCTGCTTCAAGCTACCGTTGCTGATCTTTTTACTCTCCTACTGGTTCCTGCCTACAGGTTGCCTGGAAGTGATTGGAGGGGAAGGAATGCCAATTCTCAGACATTTCCAGCTCTCCTTACAGGCGAGGCAGCTGGCTCCAATAGCCCAAGGGAAACTGCTGGAAAAGGTAACAATGCCACATGTCAGCTACAAAGCCCCCTGAAGCTGGGGGTGAGCACACAAACCACTTAAAGGGATTGGAGGCCGGGCACAGTGGCTCACGCCTGTAATCCCAGCACTTTGGGAGGCCAAGGCAGGTGGATTGTCTGAGCTCAGGCATTCGAGACCAGCCTGGGCAACACGGTGAAACCCCGTTTCTACTAAAATACAAAAAATTAGCTGGGCGTGACTGCTTGTGCTTGTAATCCCAGCTACTCGGAAGGCTGAGACAGGAGAATTGCTTGAACCCGGGAGGCGGAGGTTGCAGTGAGCCAAGATTGCGCCATTGCACTCCAGCCTGGGCAACAAGAGTGAGACTCCGTCTAAAAAAAAAAAAAGTGATTGGAGGAGATCTCAGTGGGGCCCGAACGCCATCTGCCGCACTCAGCTTTATCAAACCTGGAGGGGCTTAAGGAGCACTGGACTGCGTGTCTGGAGGTGTTTGGTCTGCTCCTGGATCCTGCTGCTAACTTTTTCTGTTAGCTCAAGGACACTGCCTCCACTGTGTGAAACGAGGGGCTGGACTACATTCATTCATTCATTCCATGAATATGCCCTGCGCACTTACTGTGCATCAGGAAACAAGAGACAAATATCTCTGCCTCATGGAGCTCACATTTTAGCAGAGAAAAGCTGATAGGACAAAGGAAATAATCAAATTCTATAGTATATTAAAGGGCATGCGTGCTATTGACAATACAGCAGGGATGGAGGGTGGGAAGTGCTGGTGGGGGGAGCGTGACAGCTTTAAATAGTGCCATAGGGGTGACAGTGGAGCACAGACCTGAAGGAGGTGAGGGAGTCAGCTCTGCAGACGCCTGGGGGAAGAGCGCTCCAGGCAGAGGCAGCAGCCGGAGCAAAGGCCCTGGGGTAGGAGAGTGCCCGGGATTCGAGGAGCCATCAGGGAGGCAGGGGCAGCGGGAGTGGAGTGAACCGGGGGAGAGTGGCAGGACGGAAAGTCAGGGAGATCACGAGGGGCCAGATTGTAGGCAGCTGGTAGTCCATGGTGAGGGCTTGCACCTTTACTCCGAGTGAAATGAGCAGCCCTGCCGAGCAGAGGAGGGACATGACATGACCTCGCTTATGTTTTTAAAAAATCTCTGGCCGGGCGTGGTGCTTCATGCCTGGAATCCCAGCACTTTGGGAGGCCGAGGCGGGCAGATCATGAGATCAGGAGATAGAGACCATCCTGGCTAACACAGTGAAACCCCGTCTCTACTAAAAAAAATACAAAAAGTTAGCCGGGCATGGTCGCGGGCACCTGTAGTCCCAGCTACTCGGGAGGCTGAGGCAGGAGAATGGCATGAACCCGGGAGGTGGAGCTTGCAGTGAGCTGAGATCTCACCACTGCACTCCAGCCTAGGCAACAGAGCGAGACACCGTCTCAAAAAAAAAAAAAAAAAAAATCTCTGTAGCTGCTGTGTTGAGAAGAGACCATAGGAGCGTCAGGGGAACACTCTCTCCTGCGAGAATTGAGAATGGGCGGGGGCCAGGCCTTCTAGTAGCAGGCCTGAGGAGGCCTCCCCTCCTGGGCTCCAGATTACTCCACTGTCCCTGTCACCACAGGAGAAGCACCTCCGGCCGCATCCTACCTCCCTGGGGTGAGGTAAGAGTGACCCTGCCTCATCCTAATACTCAGTCCTCACCAGCACACCCAAAATAGACTGTGCATGTTTACCCTCAGCCCGAACTCAAGACAGACACAGTGGTAGCACAGTGCAAACACAGGCAGGAAGACAAGACCCTGGCTCCAGCCTGCCCCTCTCCAGACCCCCCATCCCTGACCTCTGCCACCTTCCCTAGGCCCCGTGGATCTCCCCTGTCTTCCCCACCTTCCTACCCCATCCTCCTCAGTTGTCCTAGCACTGATTATTGTACTTTCCATCAAGAGCTGGAAGGGTCTTGGAGAGGGTCTGCTCCACCCTTCCTACTCTGCATCTGGGGAAAGTGAGGCCCAGGGAAAGGAAGCAGCTTGCACAAAGCCATGGGGGTTAATTAGTCAAAACAAACCTCACCTAGGGAGGCCCACAATTTCCCATCCAGTGCTTTCTTACTGCATTTCAGCCTCCATCATATACCTCCTTTATCCTTTAAACACGCTGTTTGTAGGAGCACTGGGCTAGGAGTCCAAGCTAGGGTGCAGTACTGCCTCTGTCATAACTGCATGTGACGTCATCCTTAGGGCCTCAGTTTTCTCAGCTCTAAAATGGGCATTAAAGATTTCCTTCCAGTTGGAAAAAAAAAAAAGTTAATATGTGAGAAAATGTAGTTGGGAAACCAGTCCTGGGCCCAAATCTCAGCTGACTGCCAGTGAATAACATGAAAACGAAAACATCCTTAAACAACACACATGTTAAATTAATTAAAAGAGATGAAAATAGTACGAGGCAATGTTGGCCCAGCTGGGAGGAAACGGGAACATTGGCTCCTAAATTCTCCACAGCTCTATTGTTTGGGCTATAGCAAAATGTAACAGCAGCAGCTACTGCCGGAGAGAACAACTCATGCCCTTCGGCTTGGCAGGTTATCACACATTTGGAAATAAATCTCAAAGAAATAACACAAATGGAGAAAAGCAATTTGCACTAATATGATTATCTGGAATGTGAAAAAAACTAGAAAGGTCCAAACTGGTCATTAAGCCATGGAATTTATACGTGAAGGAATAACAGCTCACACTGTGGCAGCAGCTGCCGGTTGCCTCCCTGGATCCATCTCTCTTCCACCCTTAGAAAAAACTTTAGCAGGGTACATGGCTGCCCAGAAGAGATATTCCATTTCCCAATATCCCTTGCAACTAGGTGTGGCCTTGTGACCAAGTTCTGGCCAAAGGGATATAAACAGAACAGTCATCTGTGACACATGTCATTACAGAGAGGAGCATGCCCCTCCTGGAGCTTTCTTCCTTCCCGCTGGCCGGAATGCAGTTGTGATCATTTGAGTTTCAGCAGCCACCTTGGGCCATTTGGAGGAAGGCATCTGCTGTGCATGGCAGAGTCACGTGAAAGAAGGAAGCTGATTCATTATCACCAGGTCACCGTGTCAGCCCTGGACTGCCTACTTCTGAACTTTTTACTTGAGGGATTAAAGTAACCCTGGGTGTTTAATCATTGTTAATTTGGATTTTCTGCCATTAATAACCAAATCAAGTTCTAACTGATAGAAACACGCAGGGAAAAAACGTTGAATGGAAAAGTAGGCACAAAAGTGGATGTTCTTCATGGATCCCAGCTATTTAAGTTATAGATTGGTACAGAGATGGTGATTGAATGGTGAGTCATCAATAATAGTGTGATGGTGTTGATTGGATTTTTCCCTCTGTAAACAAGTTTAGTTGCTGAATCGGTCAGGAGAGGCTAGGTTATGCTGAGGTGACAAGCAACTCCTAAATTTCAGGGCCGTAAGACAACTCAATTTAATTCTTACTCTCCATGTTCGTCGTGGGTCAGCAGGAGGCTGTGCTCATGGCAGTCACTCAGAGCACTGGCTGACAGAGACGCTGTGACAGAGGGCAAGAGAGAACGCTGGAAGGTCTCGCTCTCACCAGGAATTAAATGCCACGGCCTGAAAGTGACACTTTCATGGTGCTCACAACTCATTGGCCAGGACCAGTCCTAGAACCTGGCCCACCCACATGGAGGCAACGAGTGCAACTCTGCCACCTGCCCAGAAGGCGGCGAGCTGGAGAGACTTGGCAGATTGCACCAGTGATGATCACAGATACATCATGAAGAAAACGTAAGAGCACAAACATTTGTGAAATAATTTTTAGAAGTCCTTCCAGAAAAAGTAAAGTTTTATGTTTCTATAAGCCTTTATTTTATTTTATTTTATTTTATTTTATTTTATTTTATTTTATTTTATTTTATTTTATTTTATTTTATTGATGGAGTTTCTCCATCTGTCGCCCAGGCTGGAGTGCAGTGGCGTGATCTCAGCTCACTGCAACCTCTGCCTCCCAGGTTTAAGTGATTCTCTCACCTCAGCCTCTAGAGTAGCTGGGATTACAGGCGTGTCCCACCATGCCCGGCTAATTTTTGTATTTTTAGTAAACATGGGGGTTTCACCATATTGGCCAGGCTAGTCTCAAACTCCTGGCCTCCATTGATAGAACCATCTCGGCCTCCCAAAGTGCTGTGATTATAGGCATGAGCCACCATGCCCGGCTGAGCCTTTGTATTCCTGATGCAAGTCTGAATTCCTTGAGCACAAGAAATGCCCTGCCTTCTTCGGTAGTTGCCACAGGCCTATCCCAGGGCTGGGCCCATGGGAAGCGTTAGAGAAGGAACTGCAATCAGAATGATGGTAGGTGACATGCTCGCCATGTGCTGGGCACTGCACATTCCATCCGGAGCCCTTATGGACGTGCCAGACATGCTTCTCTGCACCTTAGATGGATTAACTCATCGAATCCTTACAAAAAACCTTTGAGGGTAGTACTGTTATTATCCCCATTTTACACAGAAAGAAACTGAGGCACAGATGGGTTAAGTGACTTGCCAAGGATCACCACTAGGAAGAGGCAGAGCCAGGAATGAATGCAGGTGGCTCCAGAGCCCGTGCAATCCTGTGACTTTGCCCAAGCTCTAGAAGGCAGGAACAGCAGTGAGAAAAGACAGAGTTCTGTCCTCACGGGGCTGCAGCAGTCTACCCTGTGTGGAGCCCCTGTGATAGGTGGAATACGGCCACCATCAAGAAGTCCACGTCCTAATCCCTGCAGCCTGTGTATGCTATCTTATTCCTTATTCCTTATAGAAAAGGAACTTTGTAGGTATGATTAAATTAAGGATCTTGAGAAGGAGAGATTATCCTGGGTTACTGGGGTGGGCCCAGTGTCATCACAAGGGTCCCCATAAATGGAAGAGGCAGGAGAGTCAGAGATATGGTGGTAGACACAGAGACTGGAGTGATGTCGCCGCCAAATCAAAAAATGCTGGCAGCGTCTAGAAACTGGAAGAGGCCAACAATGAAGCCCCTCCCCCGCCCTGGGCCGGAGCCTCTGAAAGGAATGCAGTCCTGCCAACACCTTGATTTTAGCCCCAGAAGATTTATTTATTTATTTATTTATGAGCTAGGATATCACTCTGTTTCCCAGGCCAGAGTGCTGTGGCATGATCTCAGCTTACAGCAACCTCTGCCTCCTAAGTAGCTGGGACCACAGGCATGCACTACCACACCCGGCTAATTTTTTGTATTTTATGTAGAGATGGGTTTTCACCATGTTGCCCAGGCTGGTCTCAAACTCCTGGGTTCAAGCAATCCATCCACCTCAGCTTCCCAAAGTGCTGGAATTACAGGGGTGAGCCACTCCTCTCAGCCCTTATAAGATTCATTTTGGACTCTTGACTCCTAGAACTATAAGAAAATAAATGTGTGTTGCTTTAAGCCACAAGGGTTGTAGTAATTTGTGAAAGCTGCAACAAGGAAACTAATACACGCCACCCCTCCATTTTGCTCTTCAGAGACCCACTGGGTAGACAGAAACTCTTGTACACCCTTCGCCCCAGCCCCTTGCGTCTCCTTGAGATGGAGGCTGAGAAAGAGCTGGGAAGGAGCTGGGAAGGGTCGTTCTATCCTGGTTACCTTGGGAAATGGTGAGCATTGCTTACCCTGTTCCTGGGGTCCCGGGCAAATCCTGGCTCTGCCTGTAGAACAGGACTCCCCTCCCACAGCCTTCTCCACCACCCTTTCCCAGAGCTGGGATAGCCTTTCTCCTGGGCATGAATGAGGGGTCTTTAAGGCCTTAATGCCTCTCACTCCTGCACCCAGACTGGGCCCCACCACTCTCCTGCACTAGTACATTACCCACACCCATGAGCCAGGCCGGCTTCATCTCTGCTGAACCATCAGGGGAGGTGGAGGGCATGCCAGCCAAGGGAACAGAGTCTCGGAGAGACCAGCCCAGAGAGAAGCGGGCAGAGACAGGCAGAAGGGGAATTGGCATGAGCAGAACACAGAGACTCAGAGGTGGGGAAGGGGAAGCAGAAAGAGGAAACAGAGCCAGAGACATACGGTGAGCATGCCGGTGGCTTTCTCCCTGAACTGCTCCAGTGGTGTGTAGCCGCTCGGGTGCAGTCGATAGCTGGGTTTACCAGGGTAGCTAATTCCTGGTCCTGTCAGCTGTGGCAATGACCAAGGGCTTCACTTCATAACACAAAACCCACACTCCTTTCCATGACTGCAAGGCCCGACTGACTTTGGCCCCTGGATCCACTTGGACTTTGTTTCCCACGATGCTTCAGGCACTGTGGCCTCCCCGAATACCCCAGGGACATCCTCTCCTTGCACACAAGTCTCTGCACAGGTCACCTTTTTACAAGACCCTTCCTTGACCACCCTTTCTAGAACAGCAGCCGGCTACATCCCTCTAACTCAGTTTTTCTCCATAGCATTTATCACAACCTGACACTAGACCAATGGGTATTGGTTGAATGTCTGTCTCTCCAACATCAACACTGTACCCCAGTGTGTCCATACTCTGCTGCCCACACAGTAGCTATGAGGCCCTGGTGGCTACTTAACATTTGCATTTGTATTAATTAAAATGTAATACAGGTGGGCCGGGCACGGTGGCTCACGCCTGTAATCCCAGCACTTTGGGGGGCCGAGGCCATTGGATCACCTGAGGTCAGGAGTTTGAGACCAGACTGGCCAACGTGGTAAAACCCTGTCTCTACTAAAAATAGAAAAATTAGCTAACATGGTGGTGCACGCCTGTAATTCCAGCTACTGGGGAGGCTGAGGCAGGAGAATCACTTGAAACCTGGAAGTGGAGGTTGCAGTGAGCTGAGATTATGCCATTGCACTCTAGCCTGGGTGACAAGAGTGAAACTCCGTCCCAAAAAAAAAAAAAAAAAGTAATACAGCTGGAAGCTCAGCTCCTCAGCATCCTCACCATATTTCTGGTGCTCAGAACCCACATGCGGGTTAACAGTACCCGACTGAAGAGCCCAGAATGCATTTCCATCATCCTAACTTTGTGCCAAGAATCAAACTCATAATCAACTCATATAAAGCAGGTGGACACACAGCAGAAGGAATCCCAGCAGCTCCACACTGAACAGGTGTAATTATGCTGCCCCAGCACCCCTCCTGGCCTCCAGGTGCCCCTTGAACTCCCCTCCTGCCTCTCTCCCTGGCCTCTCCCCTGGGGCTCACTGCTGCGTCTTCCTCCCTTGGTGGGGTCGGCGCCTCCTCCTGCCGACCCTGTGCTCACCCTCTCCAACTGCATTAGCTGGGTTGTCGTTGCTAATCTGTGTGCCTCCCCACGAGCTGGGGGCGGCCAGGGAGCTTGGATGGACCTTTCACCTCTGCCACCATGACAGCACAAAGAGCCTTGGAAAATGCTGGCTCCCAGTGGGCTTTCCCCCTTCTCCCTTCTCTGTGCTCCTGGTGTCCAGTTTCACACTCTCCATCGCCACACCCAGGGCAGAGGGCCCCAGCCTCCCCGAGCTGCTGGAGCCACGTACCCAGCAGCCGGGGTGGGGATGGGACAGGATGGGCCCTGTGGTTGCTGAGGGAGCAGGCCAGAGAAAGGCGCCCTTTCTGACACTCGGCGTTGCCTCTCTTGGTTTCATCTTCTCATACAGCCATAGCAACATGGCAGGTCAACAGGGTACCTTTAAAATTATGGGAAAGGCTCATGCTTTTTTGGTGAATGAGTTCAGGGAAGCCTATGCTGTCCCGTGGCACATTCCCCTGCCTCCCCTGCCCGCCTCCTGCCATGTAGGGCAGGCCCCTTGGAGACCCCCTGCCACCTTCCCTCCCCACCTTCCTCTCTGGGATCCTGGCCCAGGCCAGGCAGCAGGGCTCCAGGTGGGCAGGGGGGCAGGGAGAGAGCAGGGCCCAGGGCCATGTGAATGTAGGAGAGGAGGCCCCAGGTGTGTGTGTGTGTCCCCAGCCCTGCCCCCAGCCCTGCCTCCTCTGCCAGGATTCTGAGCCGTCTCGCTGTTGTCATCTTGTCTGATCTCTCAGACCGTGCAGAAAGCCACACTGTCACTGTTCCCCTTGCCTTCAGCCTCCCCAGACCCCCTGGGATGTGGGCTCCTCCCACCGCCTCTCAAGACCCCCATTCACCCACATGATGCCAGGGGGAGAGCAAGCTCTTCAGACAAGGAAAGGGCTGGAAGAGGTGCTTAAAGTGGTGAGGGGATCAAGGTGTCATAGTGGCTCAGAGGAAGGGAGAGAAGCTCGGATGCACACTCATGTACATCCAGGACCTAGAAGCTATCCCTCCCTGCTGCTCTGCACACAAGCTGTAGGAATCAGGAATTGCATTTTTCCAGGGAGGATGTCATCCACAAGCCTGGACACTGAGAGTTGGGGTATGTGAAGCCCAGCGCTGAGCTTGTTAAATACTCCTGATTCAAGATCCCCACTGCCCTGGAGCCTGGGGTCTCAGAGGATACAATCCCCTTTGGGTCCAGGCCTGGGAAACCCACTGTACCTCCCATCCCCAGGCTCCCAGAGTCCCATCCTCGCACTGGCAAACAGGAGGGGAATCACCCACGCTGCACTCCTACTCTCTGGAGGGGGAGTGTCCTTACTTTGGCCTGAGTCTCCTCTTTGGCATAAGAGTGCTTCTCATCGGGAGGACCTGTGGAGTCTCCCTGCGACATGTGGTCATTCACCCACCCACTGCAGTCCAGGACAGTGGTATGGACTTACCCAGGCTTCCTAAGAGCCAGTTCAATTCGTTGTGGTGCCTCAGTGCTCACTATGCCAGAGCTGGACAGCACCGTCGAGAAGCCCCGCATTCCACAGAGGAGACAACTTGGCCCAGAGGGGAGAGGGATTTATCCAAGATCATGCAGTAAGTTAGGGCCAAAGTCCAGATGCAACCTCAGGTCCCCTGATGACCAGACTGATGCTGGGGGGCTGCGTGAACATGCATCAGAGCCTGAGCATGTGCACCTGCTCTGGCATGGTGATCACGTTCCCCTCTGTCCACTGGGTAGGAAACTTGCTCTTGCTCCTCCCCTTCAGGAGCTGCTGGTCGGACTGAAGGGGTGGCCATCGCAGTGGGGTCGGGGGCCATTTCCTCAGAAGCTCCCAAGGACCCAAAGGCGCCTTGGGGGAAGTGGGTATCTGCCCATCTGCTGGCTGCCCTGTATCCAAGCTCCCTCCCTCTTAGCAGAATTTCCCACAGTGTGAATCTGGATGGCAGAGACCCAACTCATTCTGAAAGCCAAAGGGGTGCAGAGGCAGAGGTTACAGTGAGCCGAGACTGTGGCAGCGTCTCCCTTCCCTGACCTGGCAACTCGTCTGTGGGCACACAAACTACTGTGGCCAGTAGGGCGTTTTTGTCCAGGATTTTATTTTTTAAATTAACATAGAGCAAAATTGATGTAATTATTTTGGTGTATAGTTTTGTGGTTTTCTATTTTTATATTTAAAAATTGTTTACATAATAGAGACAGAGTCTCACTATGTTGCTCAGGCTGGTTTCAAACTCCTGGGCTCAAGCAATCCTCTTGCCTCAACCTCCCGAAGGGCTGAGATTACTGGTGTGAGCCACTGGGCATGGCTGTTTTATGAATTTCTAGCACAAGCATAGATTCATGTCACCACCACCACAATCAGGACACAGAACAGTTCCCAAAAAACTCCTTCCTACTATCCCTTTGTCTGGGATCTTGACCTGGAGAGAGTGGGATGCAAAAGTGGGACCGTCACAAATTGCTCATGATGTACCAGTGTCCAGATGAGCTGGGTGTCCTCAGGTGGCCGGTGTCCAGAGGCGGCAATGTCCCCTGCCCTAGCTGGGCTGTCTCTGGCCATGACTGCCTGCCTCCCCTTCAACCAGCCTATTTTGCTTCTGGCCAGTTTTCCAAGCCTGCTTCTCAACTTCCCATCAATTCAAGGAGCTGCTTTTTTTTCTTTTCTTTTTTTTTTTCCAAGTCGGAGTCTGCGTCTGTTGCCCAGGCTGGAGTGTAGTGGCGCAATCTTGGCTCACTGCAACCTCCACCTCCCTGGTTCAAGCAGTTCGCCTATCTCAGCCTCCCAAGTAGCTGGGATTACAGGCACACGCCACCACGCCCAGTCAATTTTTGTATTTTTGGTAGAGGTGGGGTTTCACCATGTTGGCCAGGCTGGTCTCAAACTCCTGACCTCAAGTGATCTGCCTGCCTTGGCCTCCCAAAGTGCTAGGATTACAGGCGTGGGCCACCTTGCCCGGTCGCAAGGAGCTACTTGATGTGTCCTCCCGGTAAATTCCTTTCTGACTTGAGTGGGCCAGAGGTGCTTTTTTGTTTTGTTTTGTTGTTTTTATAGTCGAAGCCACAGTCCCTCATGAAATCAGGTGGGACTGGGGGCTAGGAATGGGACTTCCCCAGAGATGGACAGGGCCAGAGATAAACAGGCATCCTTGGGGATTTCCTGGGAAGGAGAGATCCTGCCCCTGGGCCCTTCCCTGGCCAGTCACTCCCGGGATGGTGCTGACCGAAGACAGAGCTTGCCCCAGCCGCAGCCCCGCTTCCCTCTTGCCTGGGTCTTAGTGATCTCACTTATAGGCCTGAGCAGCAGAGACAAAACCAGCTGCCTTCCCCTCTGCGAAGCGGAGCCCCTGCTGGGAAAATCTGGGGGAGGGGGATTATTTTCAACTTGGGGCCCCCTGCAGGCTGGAGCCAGGGAGGTATCGGGGTGGTGGGGGCAGGGGCGGCTGCCCAGCTCCTCCTTCCCTGAGGTTGGTGGGAAGGTTTCCATGGAAACAGCAGCTCCAGCATCTCCAGAGATTTGGGGGAAAACTGGCTTTAAAAAATCACCATCTTCGTTTCTTGGGGGAGCGACAGCATAGCTCTGCGAAGAGGGCAGAGAATAGCATCAGGGAGAGAGGGTCCTGTTCAGAAATGCTGGGCCACCAGGGACCCCATCCCTCCCTAAGCCCCCTGGAGGTCTCTCTTTCTGCATCTCCTTCTGTCCTAGAGAGAGAGGTGCCTTCTTGACTACAATACCTCCCCACATGTATCACCAAGTAACCCCCTCCCCGCCCCACATTATCTACCTACTCATCTTCCCTATCTCCCCATGGTAGGGGCAGAAGCCCTTTCCCTCCTCCCACTCCTCTTCTCAGTCGCCTCCACCCCTGCAGGCCCCAGCTTCACTCCACCCATCCCCCAGCCCTCAGCTCACTGCCCCCCATTACAGCTTTGGGAGAGAAGGAGACACAGGCGTGGGGACTCTTGCTGGGGAGTTAATCAAAGTGTCTGCAACTACTCATGTTCCTGTGCCCTCCCTGGGGAGTTGAGAAGGGGTGGGGGCTGTTCTGCATGTGACCGATGGAGGGGCAGCATCAAACATGCCAGCCTCAAGGCGTGCACAGACACGAAATCAACTGGAACACTTGCTTTTAAAATGATTTTTCCAGCAGTTTTCCTTCCTGGCCAGGGCCTCCCATCTGTGCCAAGAGTCTTCCTAAATTCCTGGTCCTGCAGTGGCCCTTGCTGGCCTGTTCCAGGAAAAAGAACTCACCTCTGTCCTTTCCACATCCAGGCTTTGTCCCACACAAATAGTCATTCATTCATTCATTCATTCATTCACTCATTCAATAACAATGACCTCTGCACTTATTTTGTGCCAGGCACAGTTCTAAGCACTGCAGACACAGGTGGAATGCAGGGGCTGGGTGCTGGAGGGTGAGACGGACGAAAATCCCAGCCCCTTGTGGAGCTTATGCTCTGTAAGAGAAAAAGAGACAGAGAATAAACAAATATGTAAAATACATCATATATGAAATGTGATGAAGTGTTCTGGAGAAAAATAAAACAGGAAGAGAGAGAGATGGTTTGTTTTGGGGTCCCCACCAGAATTTTGAAAGAAATGCTCAGCGTGGGTCTCCCTGAAACCTGGTGCTTGAGAATGACCTGCAGGAAGTGATAGAGCCACTCAGCTCTCCCAGGAAAGAGCACTTCAAGCAGAAGGAACAGCACATTCAAAGGCCCTGGGGCAGGTGTGTATCCAGCAGGTACAGCGAGTAGCAAAGAGATCTGTGTGATTGGAGTGGAATAAGCAATATTGGGACCCATCAGAGATGACGTGAGAGGTAAAAGGCCAGGGGTGAGGGCTGGGGCTGGGACAGATGCTCTGGGCCTTGCAGGTCTTCGTAAGGGCTTTCTGCTAGAGTATCAAAGACCCTCTACCATGCCACCGTATTTTTGGCCTGCTGTGGGCCTCTGAAGCTCAGGTGGGAAGGACCATAAGGACATCTTCAGCCCTCCTACAGTCTGATCACCCCAGCTAAGGAAGCAGGGGCCTGCACCTGTGTACCTATGACCTTAATTCTGCAGATCCCCTCCTCACGTGGAGGTGGGCTCCGCAAGCTCCATGTGGGTGTGTCTGTCCAACACAATTCAGAGAGGCCCAAAGGGTATCCTAAGACCACACAGTCAGGTCTCCCTCCTGGGACTTCTGCCCTTTCCTTCTCTTCCCACCCCCCACAGGCACCTGCGGCGTTGTGATGCTGGGCGATGCAGCAGCGTCTGTATAATTACGGTGATGATTTCACAACATGCGGTTTTCCCTTCTCTTATCGCCTCCCAGTGCGAAATAAACCGTTCAATAATTAATTGACAAAGATGAACTTGTTGTCCTCAGCCAGGCTGGGAGGGTGGGGGTTGGACACCGCCTCCGCAGACAAATGATGTGAGAAGTAATTGCCCTAGGAGAGGAGGCGAGAGGTATTAAGATCAGATTTGCAAGGTCCCTTCCAAGAGCCCGTGGGTACCAGGCGACGGCAACTGCTGGGATTTGCATTGCTAATTCATCACTAATTAATGTTCCAAATTGGGCCTGACAGGAGGAGAAATCAACGTGGAGGCATCTGCAGAGGTAGAGAGACAAAGACTGGGAACGGAGAAGGACAAACAGGGGAAAGGACACATAGTGCAAACCTTAAGAGGCAGAGAGAGATGCTGGGGCAAGAGCACAGGAGCAGGGTCTGAACAGACACCCCAGGTCTATGATCCCAACCGAGTGTGTGGCCGATGGGTCTCTTCCCCTCACTGGGCTTCAGTTTTGTCATCTAGAAAATGGGGATGGGAAAGGATTTCTAGGGTTCTTTCTAGAGGTGATAATGATATCAGTCCTGACTCCAACGTAGATCTGGAATGATTAAGAGAGTGTGTGTGTGTGTCTGTGTGTATTCTTTCTAGAGGTGATAATGATATCAGTCCTGACTTCAACATAGGTTTGGAATGATTAAGAGTGTCTGTGCATGTGTATCTGTGTGTCTATGTGTGTGTCTGTGTGTGTTTGTGTGTCTGTGTGTGTGTTTGTGTGTCGTGTTTGTGTATCGTGTGAGTGAGTGTGTGTCTGTGTGGGCACTCACATATACGCCTGTTGCCACCACCTGGCCTGGGCCACCGCTGGCCTGGGCAATTGCACCTGCTTCTACCCTTGTACCCCTATAGTCTATTCTCATCACAGCCAGAGGGATCTTTTAAAACAAGGCAACTGAGGCCCCACACTGGTGCAAACCTTTGCATCTCACCCAGCATAAAAGCCAAGGCTACTAGGCAGGTCCAGAAGCCCTGCACCATGTGGTCCCTGGTCCCTCCCCAATACTGGCCACACCAGCCTCTGTGCTATTTCCCAATGCCAGCCTTTCCGGAGTCAGGGCCTTTGCACTTGCTGTTCTCTTGGCCTGGAAAGCTCTTCCTGACATGTCTACATGGTTCACTCCTTCTCTTTGTTCAGCTCTCTGCTCCTCTCCCCAGAGAGGCCTCCCAGTACCACCCCATTTAGATCACCAGCTTCTCCTCTGGTCACCACAGCACTGGTGGCCACCTGCCATATCATTCTTTCCCATCTTGCCACCCTGGAAAGTCAGCTCCATGAGCAGGAAGGTTGTCTCTTTGGGGCATGGCTGAATCCCCAGCGCCTGGTTCGGTGCTGGCTTGGTGAATATTACCCAGAGGGTTCTGGGATTCTGCTTCCAGGAAAGATTAAAAGAAGTAAGAAGCGGGGCAGACAAGAAAGTGGGGAATCAGAGCAGGGCAGGCCAGGGTGGGGGCAGGCCATGTGGAAGCAAGGTCTTTCCTCCTTCAAAGGGGTCCGCAAAGGTGGGCCAGGGCTGAGGACAGGACTAGAGGGTGACTGGGGACAGGGTGATACCTACTGAGTCCCGGGGAGAGACCCAGGCCTGTCCCCAAGCCTCCCTACAGCTGTCCTGCTGCTGCTAGTGGCACACAAACGTTCTTTCAAGGCTCCTTCGGAATGCAGAGACACCACAGCGCGGGCGTCCTTGGCACCTCCCCTTAGTTTAGGAGAGGATGAGAAACCTTCCAATTGCTACACAATAGGGGCCAGTTAAGTAAAATGGAGTCTGTCAATAGAGTGGAAAATTAGGCAGGCATTTAGCAGGCTGAGATGAGAATTCTGTCGATACTTGGAGCTGTGTGTGAAATGTTGTTATGAGAGCCAAGGAGGCCTCATCAGAAGCACAAGTGGGTTCTCTCTTCCCACCTGCATCTATGGAGCCCCTGCTGCGTGTTCAACATCCTTCTGGGCCCCAGGGCACTGAGACCTGGCTGCCCAGCTCCTCCTGCCTGGTGGGGCACACACAGCTGGGCCGGGGATAGATGTGCACACCTGCACCAAACTGCAATAGGGTGTCTATCTATAGGAGACAGGAGGTCCTATGTCAGATCCTGGCCCTGCCTCTTTATGGCTAGGAGCCTGGGCAAGCCCCTGAGGCCATGGGAGGGAGGATTTCTTTCTCCCTCGGTTGCTGTGGGAATCACCAAGCACTGAGGTCAGAGCCTGGAGGGATTCTGTAGGTCTTCCTTCCATCATCATCATCATTGTCATCGTCGTCATCATCATCATCATCATCGTCGTCGTCGTCATCATCATCATCCAAGGACATAGAGGCTAGTGGTTAAGAACACGAGCTCTGGAGTCAGACTGCCTGCGTCCTCGTCTTGGTTCTACCATTTAACAGCGCTAGGTTTCAGTTTCCCAAAGTGTACATGAGGGTAACAGGCACCTAGCTCACAGCACCCAGGAATGCATTAGCTCACCCTGGTGAGGAGCTGAGTATTAGCCTGTGCAGACTAAGTGCTCACTGAGAGCACTAGTTTGCTAGGGCTGGCCTAACAAAGTACCACGGACCAGGTGACCTAAACAGCAGAAGTTTATTTTCTCATAGTTCTGGAGGCTTGAAGTTAAACACCAACGTGTGGGCAGGGCTGGCTCCCTCTGAGGACTGTGAGGGAGAATTTTTCCAGGCCTCTTTCCTCGCTTCTGGTGGTTTGCTGGCAAACTGTGGTTTTCCTTGTATTTGGGGGTTTTGCATTATTCCCTCTTCACATGGCTATTTTAAAAATAAGGAGTCAGTCTTATTGGATTTGGGGCCCACCCTAGTCCAGTATGACTTCATCTTAACTCATCACATCTGCAATGACCCTATTTCCAAATAAGATCACATTCTGAGATACTGAGAGTTGAGATGTCAATATAGAAATTTGGGGCTGGGTACAGTGGTTCACGCCTATAATCCCAGCACTTTGGGAGGCCGAGGCGGGCGGATCACGAGGTCAAGAGATCGAGACCGTCCTGGCCAACACGGTGAAACCCTGTCTCTACTAAAAATACAGAAAATTAGCTGGGTAAGCTGGGCATGGCGGCGCACGCCTGTAGTCCCAGCTACTCGGGAGACTGAGGAAGGAGAATCGCTTGAACCCGGGAGGCGGAGGTTGTAGTAAGCTGAGATCGCGCCACTGCACTCCAGCCTAGGCAACAGAATGAGACTCCATCTCAAAAAAAAAAAAAAAAAGAAAAAAGAAAAGAAATTTGCTGGGGGCGGGTAGGGCACAGTAATGAACCCATGGCACTGAGCGTCAGCAGGCGTTCCTGGGTGGGAGAGGTGGCACCTCTCCCTTGGGAGGATGGTGGAGGCACCCTAAAGGGGGTGGTTCCTGGGGGAGGGTTGGAGCATGCAGAGGATGACCTGCAAGGCAGAGGAGCAGGGGAAGTGGAGGCCGTGCAGGCTGAGGGTGTGTGGAGTAGAGAGAGCCCTGTTGAAAGCTAGCTGTCAGGGCTGGACATACGTCAGGACTGTTATAAATGCTTACAAAGGTTATTTTAGTGCATAAAAATTATTTTTGTGCAGTCTAAAAGTCAGACAGACATTTGAGTAGCTTGTGGAGAGCTTGTACACGGCTGTCATGTGAGTCTGAATTCGTCTTTCTTGGCATCTAACAGCTTACCGTGGCCTCGAGAGTTTGAGGAGAGGGGAAGTTCAGGTGAGAAGAGAGAGGGCGGGGCAGACTGGGTGGTCTGGGGGACATCAGAGATGGGAGATAGGCAGGACCCTGCCTAAGAGGTTCTGTGAACTCTGCCCTCCCCTCGCCCCCTGCTGCAGTCCCTAAAGTTGGAAACTCCTTGGGCAGTGGCCTGGTGATGATACTGTGATTGGCTGTGACTCTGTCAGTCCAGGCTTGGGGCAAGAGGCAGTATTGAGATGAAAGAGGGTGTGGAGTCTGCTTGCCCTCCTTCCTGAGTAGCATTGAGCTGGGACCCTAGAGCTTGACCTTCTGGGGGTGGGATGGGGCAGCCCTGGGGGAAAGGCTCCCAGCCTGCCCCCTCCCTGCTATGCCCTGCTTCCATCCCATACCAGGGTGTGAAACTTGGGTTCAAGGTAGAGGTCAGGAGACCTGGGTGGAGCCAAGTCTCTGAGCCTAATGTGTTGGTGATGTTGAACAGGTCACTGAATGCCTCAGATGGCCCATTTGCACAGCTGTGCAACGGGGCAGCCCTTCGCAGGAGGAGCTGCAGAGGGGGAAGGCTGGGCCACGCACAGGCATGAACATGAGGAAGGGCTCTCTATCCCTTTCCCCCTCCTTTTCTATGTCTGGGCTTAGATTTGCCTTTGAGGAGGTAACCTGGGTGGGACGGAGAAAGAATCCTCTAGAGAGGAAGGAAGGAAAGAAAGTTTCCCATCCCCACTCCTACCTGACTTGGGGTCCATTTCCTTTAGCAACTGCCAGCTTCACCTCATGAGGAACCACCCTTCCAGCTCCAATGGAAAGCTCCAAGGATCCAAACACACCAAAAGGAGAGGATCTTGGGACCACTTTTAGGACCCTCCCCACATGGTGCGGGTTCACAAGGCCTGGAACCTCTGGCTGCAAACTCCATCGTGTGTGCTTTCCTACAGCCCCCCCCACCTCCTTCCCCCGGTCCCACTGTGGGCATCCACTGGCCCCAGTCTTCACATGTGCTGTGAACCAGGCTGACCCTGCCTCAGCCACACCAGCTGTGCCATCCTGGGCAAACAGCCCCCTCCCAGCCCAGCTCCCCAGCTGCCTGTCACACAGGGGTACCGAAAAATCCTGTGACCATCTGTACAAAAGCACTCTAGCCTTGGTCAGGTGGAAGGGATCCATTCAGCACAGTTATTGCATGCCTGCTGCATACATAGCGTTTTGTGCAGTCCCTTGAAAATATGTTGAAATCTACCCAATTTATAAGCATATATACATTGGTTCTTTGATTTCCTAACTAGGAATTTACCCTACAAGCTGACTTTCTGTCTTTGATTGGATTCCCTGGAAACAATCTCTGAGGCAGAGATTTGCATACAGGAGGTTTACTGGGGAATGTTCTTGGGAACAACACCTGCAGGGGAGTGAGGGAGGCAGGATGAGCAGAGGGAGAGGTTTCTGCAATGCAGATCCCACAGGAGCTCCAGGTGGGGACAGCCCTGCAGGGACATCCCAAACTCAGGCAAGGGCCCCTTCTAGACCCCTCAGTGGATGTCTATGCCCCAGGGAGGGACATGGCCCTGATTAAGAGTCAGTGAAGGGCAGTTCCTGAAGAGGTTTGCAGCTGTGAGCTTTCAGCAGCTAACGCCCTGCTCCTAGGAGTTGGGGGAATGAGAGTTCTGGTTCTTAAGGGAGTCTGAGCAGGGCATCGTAACATTCACTCCACTCGCCTCCAGGAGAAAGGACATAGGTGTAAGGGTGTTTGCTGTAGCGTTTTTAAAATGAAAACGTTGGGCAATCTAATGTCCATCAGTAGGGATCTAGTTGAAAAAATGATGGTACATTCATACAATGGAGTCTACGCAGTCATAAAGAAAGCAGAGGCTGGGCGCGGTGGCTCACGCCTGTAATCCCAGCACTTTGGGAGGCCGAGGTGGGCGGATTATCTGAGGTCGGGAGTTCGAGACCAGCCTGACCAACATGGAGAAATCCCGTCTCTACTAAAAACACAAAATTAGCCGGGCGTGGTGGCCACCTGTAGTCCCAGTTACTCGGGAGGCTGAGGCAGGAGAATCGCTTGAACCCAGGAGGCGGAGGTTGTGGTGAGCCAAGATTGTGCCATTGCACTCCAGCCTGGGCAACAAGAGCAAAACTCCATCTCAAAAAAAAAAGAAAGAAAGCAGAAGCTGTTAGAGGGTGCTGATGGGGAAAAATCCTACAGACACAGTCTGATGTGATAAAAGTAGAATGTAGAAAGTATAAAGAGAATGCTAGCATTTGCATAAAGTGGGGCTGAGAACATCATGTAAACATTTTTGCGTGTGGATAAAATATCTCTGGTAGGATTCATAAAACACTGGTAACAGTGGTTGTTTTCAGGTTGGGGAACTATGTGGTTAGGGGTCAGCAGAGAGGGAGATTTCACTTCTATATACTCTTTCATATCTTCTAATATTGAAACATACAATGGTATTACCTATTCAAATAAAGTATGTTACCTAATTAAATACATTAAGCTAAATATTGTAAAAGAAATCCACTGATGGCCGGGTGCAGTGGCTCACACCTATAATCCCAGCACTTTGGGAGGCTGAGGCAGGTGGATTGCTTGAGGTCAGGAGTTCGAGACCAGCCTGGCCAAAATGGTGAAACCCCCATCTCTACTAAAATACAAAAATTAGCTGGGCGTGGTGGCGGGTGCTTGTAATCCAAGCTATTCGGGAGGCTGAGGCAGGAGCATCACTTGAACCTGGGTGGTGGGGGTTGCAGTGAGCCAGGACCGTGCCACTGCACTCCAGCCTGGGCAACAGAGCAAGACTCCGTCTCAGAAACAAAAAACAAAACAAAAAAACCCCCAAAAATCCACTGAACAGGTTTAAAAGAAGAAGGTGGGGTCTTTAAGAACCCAGGCACCAGGAAGAGTAGGGTATTTTGGAGGCCAGTGGAGGCCCAGGAGTAGATCTTCTTTTTGCCCAGAACAGGTAGGTAGGTCCGTGGGCCCAGGGAGAAGAGGCAATGAGCAGCTGTCTTTGAATCTGTGAAGGGAAAGATGTCTGCTGTGAAGAGTCTGACAAAAACGAGCCCCTCACTGGCTGTATGACCTTGGGCAAGGTCAACTAGTCTCTCTGAGCCTTGGTCACCTCACCTGTGAAGTGTGAAATGTGGGGATGGGGAGGCATCTCCCCTTGGACTAGAAGCTCCCTGAAGGCAGGCTCTGTGCCTCCATCCTCACACTGGGGGCTCCCTGCCATTCTCTCTTACATTCAGTCCGCAGGAGTTGAGTGGATCTAAATGCACTGGGAGCATAAAACTGTCCTGCTGCTCCGGGGATGCTATGCACACTATGAAATGGCAAACAGCAATGAAAAGCCACCTGCTATATGTACTGACAGATACAGGGATAGGTATTAAAAACAGAGTGTTGAAGAGGAAAAACAGAAAAAGAATGAAGGTCCATAGCACAATATCATTGATGGAAATTATAAACACGTCTTCCCTCAAACCAACACAACACATTTAACAAGGATAGGCAGACGTATTCAAGGACACCTATCAAGTACATCGGAATGTGTGCTGGTGTCAGGGAGAGAGTGAGAGTGGTAGCTAGCAAGGAAGAAGGGGAAAGAAATTAAGATAGAGGGAGGCTTGCACAGGCACTTGAAAGTACAGCGTGAGCTGAGGGGAAGATGTTCTCACACCTTGGCCCCAGAGGCCCCCTCTCCAGATGATGGCCACTTTCCAGGGGTGTTTTGAGGGCTCCACGAGAGGATGTGTAAGGAATGTCTGAACACAGAGTGGGAACTTAAGTGAATAGTTTAAACACCAGAATCTTTACCTGGGTGTTTTCTCATGTTGCTCTTCATTCTTTTTAACTTCGACATAAACAACACACACCAATGACCTAGCATCAGCACCAGGAAAGCAAAAATGACCACAGCGAGTTAGTAGTAGAGCCAGAGTTTATCCCAGGTCTGCCCTACTCCAAAAACAACACTCTTTTTGACCATATCGCAACATGCCCCTCAACCCTTTGACCAGGGAGAAACCTGAGGCTCGGAGGGTGAGTGATGCACCTGAAGGCACACAGATGACGGAGGCCTGGGTGTGAAGGGACTTCAGTCTGGCTGGAGAGACTGGGCATGCTCCTATGCAAGGAACTGACACGGAAGCATGGCATGAGATCTGTTTTCTCTCCAGTTCCTTTGAGGATGTCCTCTTTTTGTTGATGTTCTGCACAGTGAATTTCTCTTAATAGCCAAGGCCTATCTTCAGGATACAAGTTAGGACCTACTGGGCCCTGAACCCATGAAATTCAGGCGGCCTCACTAGGTGGTCTAGATGAGCCTTGTTAACGTATCCTGCTTTTCATGGTGCTTCCTGTCTCTATGAGTCCACATGTTTCATCAAAATTGGAAAATTTCCAGCCATTTTCAATTATTTCATTTTCTCCATCCTCACTCGTCTTCCGAGACTCTAGCTTCCATTTCTCTTAACCCCTTTTTCATACTGCATTTCCTTGACTTGCTGTGCTGTAATCAAAGTCTCCAATAATTCTTCAGGTACGTTGAATCCCCGTTTGACCCATCTGTTGACTTGATTTTTATTACCAGGTATATTCAGTTCTTTAAAAATCTTCCTCGTTATTTTTGAGAGTCTTTTGTTGCATGATCATCTTTGCCATTCCATCTTTTGTTTCTTTAAATGTTTTATGCATGATTATTTTGTAATCACTGTCTGATAACCCTAGTATCTGAACTCCTTGGGAATTGAAATCTGGCGTTTATGATTTCTGCTGGCTCTCACTTCTGGTGGCTCATTTTCTTTTTTCTTTTTTTTTTAAGGTTTAATTGACTTTTAATTGTCTTATCTCCTCATTCCATTTCTTTTCTTTTTTTAAATTATACTTCAAGTTCTGAGATACATGTGCAGAACGTGCAGGTTTGTTAACAGGTATACATGTGTCATGGTGGTTTGCTGCACCCATCATCCCATCATCTACATTAGGTATTTCTCCTAATGTTATCCTTCCCCTAGCACCCCCATTCCCTGACAGGCCCCGGTGTGTGATGTTACCCTCCCTGTGTCCATGTGTTCTCATTGTTCAACTCCCACTTACGAGTGAGAACATGTGGTGTTTGGTTTTCTGTTCTTGTGTCAGTTTGCTGAGAATGATGGTTTCCAGCTTCATCCATGTCCCTGCAAAGGACATGAACTCATTCTTTTTTATGTCTGCATAGTATTCCGTGGTGTGTACGTGCCACATTTTCTTAATCCAGTCTATCATTGATGGGCATTTGGGTTGGTTACAAGTCCTTGCTATTGTGAGTAGTGCTGCAGTAAACATACATGTGCATGTGTCTTTAAGGTAGAATGATTTATAATCCTTTGGGTATATACCTAGTAAGGGGATTGCTGGGTCAAGTGGTATTTCTAGTTCTAGATCCTTGAGGAATCACCACACTGTCTTCCACAATGGTTGAACTAATTTACACTCCCACCAACAGTGTAAAAGCATTCCTATTTCTCCACATCCTCTCCAGAATTTGGTGAACTTTGATAGTGAATTTGTTTCACTTAATCCTCACCTGTGGGAATCTTGGGGAACTAAATTGAAATGTTTTCCTCCAGAGATGATTTGCAATAGCTTTTGCTGGAAGCCAGGGTACACCAGCCACTTGAGTTCCTGCCTTAGAACAGGAGTCTCAGGTCAGTTTCCTTGCCTTCCCTACAGTTAGCCTCACGTAGAGCCCATGTCAGCATTTTCCTTCAAGGCAGCCTTGAAGATTTCCCTGACTTCTCCCAAGCCCCATGTCATTCAATATGGTTTATGAAGGATTTGGTGTTTTATAGAGAGAGGGCTTTCGGAGTGTCTAGCCCATCGTGTCCATCATGTGATATATCCAGGTGAGAGGTCCTGGCCCGAGTGCTACAGGAGTTCAGAGCAGGACAGTGAGTTACCAAGGGCTGGGCTGCGGAGCATGATGGGGTCAGGGTTGTTAAATGAGCAAACTCGCAGACCCACTCCTGGGAGTCTGAGCCAATAGGTCTCACACCCCCTCCTCCCCCACCACCTGCCGTGCGTTTTATGTGATTATGATGCCAATGGTGCAAGTCCGCTTGGAGAAACTCTGGACTATGGCAATCAAAGCAGGCTTCATGGAGGAAGCTGGATTTGCTGAGTCTTAAATGAGCTCAGCTGAAAAAGGCAAAGACAAGGATATGGAATAGACAGCCCAGTTCGTCCAGAATGTGAAGTCCTGTCAGTGCAGGGAAGTAGGGAGGGCCCAGGTTGGGGAGGTTCCAAAATCTCAGACCCAGGATTTGGGGCTTCATCCTCGGTGATCTTGGGAGCCATTGAAAGCCCTTGGGGAAGGGAACGCAGTGACAAGGGCCAAGTGGGATTTTAGGAAACTCAACCAGGCAGCAGGGAGCTGAATGAATTGTCTTCCTATAGTTACTCACTTACAATTGAGAATAATTAACAACATCACACTGTTATTTTAATAGAGTTGTGTTTTTCAGAAAGAGGACAGTGACTACCTAATGCTCAGTATTCTGGACTGTCAGCTCCTGGGGCCTGGGGGAGGGGACTGAGCAGGTGAATTGACTGCCCTCCACAAGCCCCAGGACCCACCTGGTGGGGCTGCTTGAATTTTGGAGGTATGGGGCCCAGTGGGTCTTAAATGGTTTCCTGAGGATGGGCCTTGGCTATTAAGAGGAGCCTGTGTGTTAAGGCCTGTGCTTCTGCCTGAGACTGTGCGATCCCAGAGGGCAGGCAGTGTCACGTTACCCTGACAGGAGATACTGGATGCTGTCACCATAGTAAGGTACATGATCACAATTAAACTGTTGTGATAGCCCATTCTGCTTAGGGGATGATTTACAACCTAACAGCTGCTTTCACTGACAGCATCACATTTAACCCACAATAGTCCCAGGTGCTGGCCTCTCTTCTCCCTGTGATGGATGAGGTGCCTGAGACTCAGAGAGGCTCAGGGCAAGTCCGGGTCACACAGTGAATCAGAAACAGAGCTAGGAAGTGTACCCAGGCCTCCTGACGGCAGCCTAGAAGTCTGGCCATTGTGCTGCTGATGGTGGAGGAAATGGGGAGGGGGCTTCTCAGTTGGGGTGCTGTTGATGAGGACTACAGCCTTCAGGGAAGTGGGGAAGGTTCTGTTTTCCTGAACACCTGGGCAGGGGTTCTTGCTAGATCCTGTCTGTTCTCAAGAACTGCACTTCCAAAGCTTCCTCAAGAAGCTTTGAAAGGTGATCTCCCCTCCCCCAAACCCCATTGTATAAGTCCATTTTCACACCGCTATAAAGAACTTTCCTGAGACTAGGTAATTTATAAAGGAAGAAATTTAATTGACTCACAGTTCTGTATGGTTGGGGAGGCCTTAGGAAACTTACAGTGGCAGAAGGCAAAGGGGAAGCAGGCACCTTTCTTCACAAGGCGGTAGGAGAGAGACAGAAAGAGTGAAGGGGAAGAGCCCCTTATAAAACCATCATCTCTCATGAGAACTCACTCACTATCATAAGAAAAAAGTGTGGGGGAAACTGCCCCCATGATCCAGTCATCTCTCACGGGGTCCCTCCCTCAACACATGGGGATTACAATTTGAGATGAGATTAAGATGGGGACACAGGGCCAAACCATATCACCCACCAATGCTGCATCACACCTGAGCCTCAGGGGTAAGTGTCCAAACAATGTGGGGATGGGGAGGAAGATCCTTCCCTGTACCAAACCCCACCTACACTGGTGCCCTCACTTCTCGTGGGTAGGAGGAGGTCCTTCCTGCTATCTGCTTCCAGTTCTCCTGCTATTTCAGTCCATTACCAGCAAAAGCAAAAAATCAAAGTTTTTTACATGCCACAATAATCTCCACAGACTTTCAGTCTGGAATCAGAGAGCTTTCATATCCTAACCTCTTCTGCCCCTACCTCGTGCGGAACTGCCAGCCAGCCAAAGTGAGAGCTCCCCTCAGACCAGGCGTGATCTGAGAACAGGAGCTTTGCCTCCTCCCTCAGACAGGTGACTCCCTGAGAGTAGGGGCTCTGCCTCTCTCTCTAAATCAGTGACTCCCTGAGGGCAGGGGTAGTTCATCTCCCCTTGGACTAGAAGCTCCCTGAAGGCAGGCTTTGTGCCTCCATCCACAGACTGGGGCTCCCTGCCATTCTCTCCTACATTCAGCCCACAGGAGTTAGTAGATCTGAATGCACTTGGAGCAGAAAACTGTTCTGCCGCTGTCCCTTGCTCCTGGGGCCTGGGCTCCTTGGCCTTTCTTCTTATCTAAGCTTTAGACTCTGATGGGGGCAGCTGGGCCAAGAGTGAGCAGGGGGAGATTGCTTCTCATCTACAAGGGGGCTGCCAAGTGACTTAACTATGGAGGTGTGTGTGTGAACACAAGAGCCCTCCCTCTCGCCTGTAGCAGGTGGGCTGAGCCTGGGATGACATGGGGCTGTGGGAGCTGAGAGGCCATCTCTAGGCTACTTCATCCTCCCCTTCTTCCTGGCCAGGTGCCCTAGACATGGTGTCTTGGTGCAGAGAGAGCTTTCTGCCCTGTTCTGGAGGTAGGGAAGGGCTCCCCAGCCCAGGCGGCTCTCCCACCACTGGGCCTGCCCCTGCCCCAGCAGCATGTGCTTGTCTGCAGTCTCAGCTCAAGCATCCAGCGGGGGCTCCCAGCTTGTCTCCCTTGGTGTGGGCAGCTATCCAAGAGGAATGTAGTGCCCATCCAGGGCTGTGCAGGGTGGGTCAGAGCAAGGCCTGCATTCTAATCCTCTGCATCCCGGAGTCCATCCATTTGCCTCCCTTGGCCCCTGAGCTTGAAGCAATGGATAAGAGCCTTTCTCCTCAAAGTGGGGCTCACCAACCAGCTGTGTCGACATCACCCGGGGCTGGCTAGAGATGCAGAATTTCAGGTCTTACTCACTGGGTAAGAATCTGCATTTTAACAAAATCCCAGGAAATTCATGTGCACATTCAAGTAGGCAAAGCCCTGGATTCCACTGTCCTGAGGTCTCTCTCACCTCTGCTGTTAGAAGGTTCCGGAAGCTGGCTTCAGGGATTATAATGAAAAAGCCCCCCATATTTCTTCATCTGGCCTCAGACAATCCTCATTTTGCTGGGGAGAGTGCCCTAAGTTGGAAGCAGCAGCAGTCTGAGCTCAGAGACAGGCCTGATTCTGGATAGCGGGGAGATTCCCCAGTCCAAAATGTTCCCAAGATAGGTGGGCTGCCAGGCAGCGGCTGTGTCTTCCAGCTCCTGCAGCTCCCTCCTTCCCACATGCTCACTGGCTGCTTGGCTCTGAGGCAGCTTCCCCCACCACCCAGTCCTGACTCAGCTCCCACTTCACAGCCTAGCACCAGCAGACAGGCAGAGAAGGTGGCCAGAGACCCAGGTGGCCTGAGAAGTTGTCCATGATCTGGGCCAGCCTAGGATGACCCGGCCTCCCTGTGGCAGCAGGAGGCTGAAATGAGTGCATGCGTGTGTGTGTGGAGGGGGGGCGGGGGTCACGTGTGTGTAGGCGGACATTGCCCTCCTGGGGGAGAGGCCACAGTCCCCATTCCAGCAGGCCTATCAGCATCATTACCAGCAGCTGTGGCTTCTCCTCTCCTCAAACCACCAAGCCAGCTCTTTACCGCCCTGTCCCCTGCTCATTCCAGGAGACCAGGCTCTGGAAGAAGTCTGTGGACTCAGAGGTTCCCCTGGGGAAAGGACACAAGAAGAGGGCACCTTCATTTGTGCTCTCCATCACCCCTCCAGGCCACTTCTATCCCCTGCCCCCATTATGTTTGCCTGCCCTTCCCAAGGACCCATGGGAACCAGTGACGTAGGCAGTGAGGCAGATGCCTTAGCAGGAGCAGACCAAAGACCATGTCCCAGGAGCAAAGGGAAGGAAGGCAGGACCCTTCCCTAGATCCCCATGAGACCCTCCATCCCCCTTCACTAACTCCTGCAATAACCACATGTTGAGTTCCTACTGTGTGTGCCCAACCTACTATTGGACACCTCAAATATGTAAGACAGGGCTGCAGCCATCTGGGAGACAGGATGACTGAAGAAGAAAGCTAAACATCGATGCAAGAGCACTGGAAACAACCTAAATATACATAAATTGTGTGATATTTACATAAAGTGTGATACGTCCATGTTCTAGTTATCTATTGCCGTGAAATAAACCACCTCAAAACATAATGGCTTAATACAACAATTATTTATTTTTCCCATGTAGCTGCAATTTGGGCAGGGCTCAGCAAGGCAGCCCTGTGCTCTCTGTGGCATCAGTTGGGACAGCTTGATTTGGGCTGGATGAGTCACTTAAGGGCAAGTCTCTTACATGGCTGGCAAGTTGGTACTGGCTGGACTGGGGGCTCAGCTGGGGCCGTGGACCAGGGGTCTCTGCTCCTCTCCACAGGACCCTCCTCATGACTGCGTGGGCTTCCTCACTGCATGGTGGTTGGGTTCCAAATACAGGTATTCCAAGAGGACAAGGCAGGATTTTTTTTTTTAACCTAGCTTCTGGATCACATGGTGTTTAGTAGTCAAGATAGTCACAAAGGTCAGCCCAGGGGAGGGGAAACAGACCTTGCTTATTGATGGAGAATGGCAAGTTTCTAGAGGAGCTTGTGAGATGGGAGGTTCTGTTGCAGTCATCTCTGGAAAATACAATCTGCCACAGTTCATAATATGAAACACCATGCAATCATTAAGAGATTTTAATGTATCTTATCAAATGAAAAAAAGACCAAGTCATGAAACATTTATGAAAAAGAGAAGCGCACGTGCATATTTATGAGAAAAAATGCCAGAAGGATAATACCCAAATGCTAGCAGTAGTTTTCTGTGATTTTTACTTTGTTTTTGTACTCTTATGCATTATCAAACTTTTTTTGGTAATGGATCATTTTTCTAAATTGGTTAAAGAAACAATACAAACTATATCTATATTAAAAAACAAATAACACTAAGGACCCAATTAGGAAATGAACAGTAGGAAAGAGGTGAAGGGGGTCCTCAGCAGAAGGAGATGAGCTTCTTGAATGCTGAACTTCTTGAAGCCTTTGAAATTCTGATGGGCACTGGGATTTACAAGACAGGATTCAGGGTTAAAACTTTTTCCACTCTTGTTTGACCAGGAAACAGTGAGAGCAGTGTGTGTGCACATGTACATTTGAGGTGTGCGCATGTGTAGAATGTGTATCACTGTGTGCACAGGTGTGTGTGCTTTCGATACATGTGTATTTGTGCATACGGTGTGTGTGCTCACTTACCCAGGTGTTGTGTATTGCTGTGCGTGTATGTTTGGCATTGCAGGGGACCTGTGATAGGCTCGCGCACACTTTGGGTCATGTTGGTCCAGAGAGAAAAGCTCTTGAGCTCTGCAGAGAAAGAGGCCCTTTTCCTCACCTGTGTGCCCCTTTCCTTCTATTAAGATTTCTGCCTCTTCTTTACCCTCCTAGTGGCCTCACACCCTTTCCTCGGCCCTGCTCATTTGCAACCTGCAGCCCCTCATCATGGTGGAGGCTGGGGTGGGGGTTCTCTCTTCCCTCCTGCTTCCTGGTGTCTTCTCTTCTTCTTCTTTTTTTGAGACAGACTCTTGCTCTGTCACCCAGGCTGGAGTGCAGTGGTGCAATCTCAGCTCACTGCAACCTCCACCTCCTAGGTTCAAGCAATTCTCCTGCCCCAGCCTCCTGAGTAGCTGGGACTATAAGCGTGAGCCACCATGCCCGGCTAATTTTTGTGTATTTTTAGTAGAGACGGGGTTTCACCATGTTGGCCAGGCTGGTCTCGAACTCCTGACTTCAGGTGATCCATCCACCTCGGCCTCCCAAAGTGCTGGGATTACAGGCGTGAGCCACCGCACCCGGCCATGATGTCTTCACTTGAGCCCTTGCCACAAGTTGTGGGAGCTTGGTGGGGAACGTGAGTGAGAAAGAAGCTGCATAGATAAGGCAGAAGATGAGAGGGAGGCAGAGATTCCCAGGGGGTGGAACACGAAATCAACAGCATCGATATCCCCTTCCAGTGGAGACACTATCATGAACTAAGTACCTCAAGTACTTAGTTCAGGGACACAGAGCTCAGTGACCTGTGGTCATTGCCATTTGTTGTTATGTTATTAATTTTTCTTCCCAGCCTTCATAAACCACATGCACACCCCATAACTTGTGATCACTTCATACAGAGAAAAGACATCTTAATACCCAAAGGATTAGAGGGAGCTTTCCCTTTCCCTAGAGAAATTCCCACACATTTACACACAGAGACATGTGCAAGAAGGTTTCCAGCAACACTGTAAATGCAACAAATTTGGAAACAAATGAAACGTCCATCAATAGAAGAATGAATAAATGTAGCGCAATCCTACAGTAGGATGCATGAACAAGATCTACACACATAACATGGATGAACCTCACAATACAATATTAAGAGAAAAACAAGGAGCAGAAGAATCACATACAATGCAATATTATTTATTTATTATTTTTTTGAGACGGAGTTTCGCTCTTGTTGCCCAGGCTGGAGTGCAATGGCGTGATCTCGGCTCACTGCAACCTCTGCCTCCTGGGTTCAAGCGATTCTCCTGCCTCAGCCTCATGAGTAGCTAGGAATACAGGCATGCACCACCACACCTGGCTAATTTTTGTATTTTTAGTAGAGATGAGGTTTCTCTATGTTGGCCAGGCTGGTCTTGAACTCCTGACCTCAGGTGATCCGTCCACCTCGGCCTCCCAAAGTGCTGGGATTACAGGTGTGAGCCACTGCACCCGGCCCAATGCAATATCATTTATACAAACTTTTAAAACATGTAAAATATATCAAGTATCATCCAGGGATTTGTGCATATGGAGTAAAATATAAAGAAACAGATGGAAAAGATAAATAGCACATTCAGGCCAGCAGTTACCCCTGGGGAGTGAGATGGTGGGGCAGGAATAGGTGAGGAAGAGAGGGGACATCAGTTGTGTTGTGTTAATTATCTGTAGCTGAGTATCAGATTCTCACACATCTCAGCAGCTTAAAACCACAGACAGGTATTATCTCAGTTTGATATGACAATGTGGATTTTTCTTCTTTGCTCTGTTAATATGATGGATTACACTGATTGACTTTTGAATATTGAATCAGTCCGACATTCCTGGGACATGTTCCGCTTGGTCATGGCATACTATTCTTTTTCTGTGTTGCTGTATTCAGTTTTCTAGTATTTTATTTAAGGTTTTTGTTTCCATGTTCACGAGAGATGTTAGTCTGCAGTTTCTTCTATCTTCATCTGGTTTGGGTATTAGGATAATGTTAACCTCATAAAATGAATTGGAAAATGTTCCCCTCTGTTTTCTGCAAGAGATTATGTAGAATTGGTGTTATTTCTTATTTAAATGTTTGGTAGAATTCATCAGCGAAAACATGCAGGCCAGGAGCTTTCTTTTTTAAAGAAGGTGTTAAACTATAAATTTAATTTCTTTAATAGATACAGGATTATTCTGGCTTTTTATTTCTTCTGGGCATACTTCGGTAGTCTGTGTTTTTTAAGGACTTGGTCAATTTCATCTAAGTCAAAGGCCATCAGACTTTTTCAGTAAGGGAGCAGATAGACAACAGTGCAGGTTTGGGGGGTTATTCAGGTTCTGTTGCAACTATTCAGCCCTGCCATTGCAGTATAAAAGCCCCATAGACAACACATAAGTGAATGAGCATGGCCATTGCATTTGTTTCCCGGAGCTGCCATAACAAAATTATCACAAACTAGGAGGCTTAACACAACAGAGATATATTCCTTCACAGTTCAGGAGTCTAGAAGTCTGAAATCAAGGTGTCATCAGTGTCATGCTCTCTCTGAAGGCCCTAGGGAAGAATCTTTCCTTGCCTCTTCCAGTCCCGGGAATTCCTTGGCCTATGGTAGCATAACGTCTACTTCAGTCTTCACGTGGCCTCCTGACCTCTGTGTCTCTCTGTATGTGTGTCCAAATCTCCCTCTCCTCTGCTTAGAAGCACACCAGTCTTATTTTATTTAGGGCCCATCCTACTAGAATATTACCTCATTTTAACTAATTATATTTGCAAAATCCCTATTTCCAAATAGGGTCACATTCTGAGGTTTTAAGTGGACATGAAGTTTCAGGGGATCTTATTCAACCCAGTACACCTGTTTTCCACTAACACTTCATTTATGAAAAAGGGCAGTGGGCTGGATTTGGTTCTGGGCTCAAGCAATCCTCCCACCTCAACCTTCCAAGTAGCTAGGACCACAGATGTGTGCCACTGCACTCAGTTTGAAGACAAAGAGAAGAAAAAAAAAAAACCCTGGGAATTCACTCTTTGCTCCTGGGGGCCACAGCTTCTCTGATCAGAGATAAGAGTTTCCCTCTCTCATAGGCAGACTGCCCAGCTGCCTCTATTTGCTACTGCTGTACAGCCGTCACCACTGCTACCACAGTATTTGGAAACTGGAGCCAGCAAAAAGGAAAAAAAGAAAAAAACCCCAGGATTTCCCTTACTCTTGCTGACCCATAGGGGTCTCCTTCTACTCTTTGGTCCAAAAAGAGAGTTTTTCATGGAGCTTTCTGTGCACTTCTGAGTTTCAGGCTGCCTTTGACTCCAGGATTGGTAATACCAGAGGGGCGAAACTCCTAATTCTTTCTTAATCCACCTGCCATCATTTATTTTTCAGAATCCTCTGATATCTCCTCTATGAATTCAGGATTTATGGTTTCATATAGTGAGAGAGACAGAATAGAGGTATGCTTACTCTATTTTCTCAGAACCAGAGCCCAAATGCTTATAAGGAGAAAAATCAAACTCCTTCAGCCAATGTCTGGAATTCTACCACTAGGGAACCCCATGATAATGGCAGCCATCTTGCCAGTCTACTTCCGAGGACCACCTCACCTATAAAGTCATCCAACAACCACTCCAAGGCACAAGCTGTCACAAACATACACTGATGCAAACACCCAGGCCTCTCCCCTCCCCGATTCAGCCCCACCCTCATCTTCTTTTGTATTCAGAGGGAAAGTTGCCTTCAGCCTTGAGACAAAAGAGGAGAACTCTTCCCCACTGATGACTTTACATCTCCCTGGTTGAGGGTGGTGGAGCCAGCAGAGCAGGAGTGTTGGGCCTGAGTCAGAACCTTGGGGAGCTCCTGCCACTGTCTTGGGGAGGACTAAGAACAAGAGAGCTAGAAATTTGGCTGAATCTGTGGGCCAAGACTTCCCACCCTGTCATGTTTTGTTGTTGTTTGTTTGTTTGTTTTTTGAGAAAGAGTCTTGCTCTGTTGTCTAGGTTGGAGTGAAGTGGTATGATCTCAGCTTACTGCAACCTCTGCCTCTGGGGTTCAAGAGATTCTCATGCCTCAGCCTCCTGAGTAGCTGAGACTACAGGTGCATGCCACCATGCCCTGCTAATTTTTTTGTATTTTTAGTTGAGAAGGGATTTCACCATGTTGGCCAGGCTGGTCTCGAATTCCTGGCCTCAGGTGATCCACCTGCCTCAGCCTCCCAAAGTGTTGGGATTACAGGCGTGAGCCACTGTGCCTGGCACCACCCTGGCATGTTTTAATTGCCTGTTTACTTCTCTATCTCTGTGGCTGGGGAACTTCTTCAAAGGGACCAGAGCCTTGTTTCCTGAGTATCTCCAGAGCTCAGCCCTGTGGCTGGGATATCAATAAAGGGATGATGAGTGTATGAATGAATGAATGAATGAATGAGCCTCAATTCTTTGCCCTTAGCGCCTCCTCCTCCACTCCTCCTTTCTTGTCCCTCAGAAGCTAAATAAGTTACCATTTATTGGGCATCCTCTATATACCAAATATTTAACACTTAATATTTCGTTTAATCTCCCAACGGCAGAGGTAGCATCATTCCTTTTTAGTGAAAAAACCAAAGTTAAGGAACTTGACTAAATCACATAGTTAGCAAAATGGGAAATCAGGATTTGAACTCCGGACCATTTTTTTCAGTTGTCCATTATTCTTGGATCTCTCCTTATTTCTCCAATCTCAGTGCCACCCTGAGCAGAGACTGTTAATTATCTCCCAAAATCCATTCTCCTCATATTCCCAACTTTAGTGGGCACCTGCGGTCATCTAGAATAAAGACTGCATTTTCCAGCCTCCTTTGCAACTCTGTGTGATGAAGATGTAAGTAGAATCGGCAGATGCAACTTCTGTGGAGTGTCCCTAAAGGGCGGGGCGCTACCTTCCTTTTTCCCTTCTCCTCCCTGTTGGCGGGAAAGTAGATGCGAACCTCCCATCTTTGGGGTTCAAGCAGCCATCTCAGGTCATAAACCAGGAGCCATCTACAGAGGAGGGCCGAGAAGCAAGACAGAAGGGGCCTGAGTAACCTCCCTGGACTGATAACCCCCGAATCCATTTATGTAAGAGAAATAAGTGTTCATCTTGATGAAGCCATTGTTATTTGGGAGTTTTCAGTCAGCCTGAACTTAACCCTGTTTAATACCACCCCTTACCTGGATGACCATAACAGCCTCCAAATGGCCTCCCTGCTTCTTTCATTGCAGCCTAAGCTATCCCAGAAACCACCTCCTCTTTTTTTTTCTTTGAGATGGAGTCTCGCTCTGTCACCCAGGCTGGAGCGCAGAGGTGCAATCTCAGCTCACCGCAACCTCCGCCTCCCGGGTTCAAGCGATTCTCCTGCCTCAGCTTCCCGAGTAGCTGGGACAACAGGCATGCACCACCATGCCCTGCTAACTTTTGTATCTTTAGTAGAGATGGGGTTTCACCATGTTGGCCAGGTTGGTGTCGAACTCCTGACCTCGAGTGATCCGCCTGCCTCAGCCTCCCAGAGTGCTGGGATTACAGGCGTGAGACCCCAAGCCTGGCCCTCCTCTTTAAACACCACTTTTTTTTTTCCCAACTCACAAACCTTAAGTTATTCCCTATTTCCTACTGAAAATCATCCAAATTTATTCGCCGGACACTCAAGGCACCACTATCAGCTGGATGTATCTTTCCTTACATGTTTCCAGACTGGTTTCCCTGATGTCTCCATCACATACTAGAGTAATCAGGGTATGCTGGCTGCTGTAACAAATAACCCCCAGATCTCAGTGGCTTATCACAACCAAGGTTGATTGCCCACTCATGACACAATCCAATGTAGCTGGCAGTGGGGGAGCAGTAGAGTTCTGCTCCACACAGACATTTAGGAACCCAGGCTGCCTCCATCTAGTGAAGGAGACGATGAATAATGATACCATCATCTTCAAATTGCCATCTCCAAGGTTACCATGCAAGAGAAGGAGAGACTGTGGAGGAGAATGCAGAAGGATTTGGAAAGGATGGAAAGCTTAGAAGCAGTGTTCATTCCTTTCCTCCATATTCGATTGTCCAGAGCTCAGTTATGTGGCCCAACTGAACTGCAAGGGAGTCTAGGAAATGAAGTCTTTCTATGTGCTCAAGAGAAAGGATGCAGCTTGTTGAGTACAAAACATTGTCTCTGTCACACATGCCTTGTTCTTAGCTCTGAGCCTCTTCCTATACTCTTTCTCTCACCTTAGAATGCTTCCCTTCAGTTTCTGATAAATCCTCCCCATTCTTGAAGGCCATACTCAATCACAGTCTTTTCTTTGAAGCCCTCTCTGATTGCTCTCTCCCCTGAATGAATAAACCATGAAATTGTCTGAAATGTGCAATTTATCGCAGGGCACAGGATTGCCCTAGCCTTTGTTTGTTTTATGTGTGCAGGTCTGGACGGCAGCTGCAAGACACTCTGAGAAGTCAAAGGCCATGCCTTATAGACCTGTTCCAAAACATGTTGGCTGGAAATGAACATCATCGGAAATGGGACAAATTGAAACCTGGTAAGATACAATAAAAGCATAGTATCCATTCTGTGATATTCTTGCCAAAGATGCATAACTTGAATCTGATCCGGAGAAAACAGACAAATCCAAATTGAGAAACTTACAAAATAATTGTCCTGTAATCTTTAAAGTTGTCAAAGTCAAGGAAAAGATCAAAGAACTGTTTCTGAGTCAAGGAAGCTACAAACATGACAGCTAAATGCAACGTGTGATTCCTGACTGAATCTTTTTGCTACAGAAGGCATTAGACTGTCAAAACATGAATGGGGTCTGAGGATCAGATGGTAGTAACGCAGCAGAATACCCTTGTGTGTGGGAAATATGCAGTGAAGTATTCGCAGGTTATAGGGCATCGGGTCTGCAACTTATTTCAAATGGTTCCGAAAATAAAAGTTCTTTGTACCGTACTTGCAACTCTTCTGTGAGTCTGTCATCTCAAAATTAAAAAAATGAATACAATGCTTGTTGGAGGAAAATATCAATAAATCTCAAAGTACAGATAAAAAGGCACATTTCTCAGTTGCCTCCTGTGGCCCTGCCCTCGTGGTTTGGGCAGTCATTATTGTTACTGTGACAATGGCTGTAGATCGTGGACATGGCAGCCATTTGTCCTTCTCCTTCTCTCAGAGGACCCCAGTTTTGTTGAGGTTCAGCCGTGTACCCAGCCTTGGAGGATGAGTCACTGGTCTGGGCCAAATATGACATTCCTCTCCTCTTTGCCATATACTGGAGTCTAGGTCCCAGGTAACGATGCATTAGCACTTTTCAGATCAACCCTCCTAAAGACCACGAAAAGTGCTGGATAAAATATATGTTAACAAAATAAACTTAAATGCTTCAAAAAGATGAGAAAGCAACAGGGAATACCAAGCTAATTTGGGAATGAAAGCGTCTAACCGGAGAGGTAAGCACCAAAGCTGTTTATCCTGAGGCTATTTGCAGATACTGCTCAACTGAGCTTCGAATCAAGGGAGGCTTGAGATGAGAGGGACAGAAATCAAAGTCCACGAAGGCCTGAAGTTGGGGATCTTCCAGGAGACCCTCTCCACATCAAACTGAGGCTGCCAAAGGGTGCACCCTAAGGTTATGGTGCCAGAGACTGGATTTCCTGAACTCCTTTGCAGGCAGAGGTGGCTGTATGACTCAGTTCTGGCCAATGAGACACAAAAGTCTGCTGGACAGTCTCTGGGAAGGAATTTTCTCCCTGATGAAAGGAGAGAGTGCATGAGGAGAGCTCTCTTTTTCTTTCTTCTTCCTTGCAGCTCAGGATGTTGTCTGTGAGGCTGTGATGAAGTGCTCTGGCCGCCATCTTGTGACCATGAGGCGATGGACACTATGAACACACTGAAGGTTGCAGAGCAGAGGGATCTGTGAGGAGCCTGAGTCATTGACCAGCTCAGGAATCAACCCCTCCAGACTTTTCGCTACTTACGAAAAACCAGGCTGGGCGCAGTGGCTCACACCTGTAATCCCAGCACTTTGGGAGGCTGAGGCGGGCAGATCACCTGAGGTCAGGAGTTCAAGACCAGCCTGACCAACACGGTGAAACCCCATCTCTACTAAAAATACAGAATCAGCTGGGTGTGGTGGTGCATGCCTGTAATCCCAGCTACTCGGGAGGCTGAGGAAGGACAATCACTTGAACCTGGGAGGCGGAGGTTGCGGTGAGCCGAGATCGCGCCATTGCACTCCAGCCTGCTAGGGGACACCCCTTTTGGTCTAATATGCTGTTACTTCAATGGAAGGCATCTCTCAACTGAGAAAACCATGTACACACCACAAATGCATGGCAGGGGGGCTTGCCTGCTTTTACCACTATCACTCATCCACCATGAGAGTCACAGGGTGGCCCCTCTCTGACTCCCCTGGGCCCCCAGGCAGAGCAAGGAAGGTGAAGGAAGAGTAAGAGTCCAGGCTCCTCACCCCCAGGGGTCAGAAAGTTCACAGCTATTTTTACCCCTCCTCCCCCGTCTCCTCTGCCACAGAATTGATGACATTCAGGGTTAAAATGTGTTCCCAAGCCCAGACTCTCTTCTACCTCCCTACAGGACTTGAGCACATCTCTGGGGCTCATTTGTTTGATCTGTGAAGTTGGGGGACTGATCCTACTGTACCTGCATCTCAGGGTCAACATAAGGAACCCCTTTACCCTGTTTAGGCCTCTTACCCCTTGCTGGTGCTTTACAGACTTCATCTCATTTAATTTAATTCACAGGACACCCGCTACCAAGAGATGGTGTTATTAACACTTAGTTTACAGGCAAGAAAATGGAGACTCACTGAGCTTAAATGACTTGCCCAAGTCACACGGCTTGCAGGTTGCTTAATTCAGATCTGTCCAACTCCAAAGCATTGCCTTCCCAATCCCCCACCCTATTCCCAGCTGCCACCCCCAACCCCACAGAAGCTAGTAACACGGGTAGGTAGATGGCAGCTTAGGGCTGTAGGAATACATGAGGGTAAGGGCAATCAGGGAAGACTTCCTGGAAAAGATAGGGAGGGCTGGGTCTTGAAGCCTGGACAGAAATTAGAGAAAGATGGAAAGCCAAATGACCTGGAAGAAACTGAGCCAGACTCAGAGCTTGGGAGGGAGGGAAGGAGGAGATGTCTGGGAGTGGGGACAGGTATTGGGAGGGGCCAGTGGACATAACCATGCGAGAGGGTTTGAGTGTAGTCTGGGGTTAAGCATGCAAACTGAAGAGCCAGGGGACTGAACTGCCTCCCAACTCTGCTATTTATCAGGATTATGACCCAGAATGAATTCGTTAACTTCTCTGGGCCTTAGTTTTTGCATCTGTAAAATGGGGATGCTAATAGTACATCCCTTGCAGGACTGTGCTGACTAAATGTACCTTGGCTACAACAATGCCTGGTACTTCATATATGTCGTGATCACACCCTTCCTTCTTTGTAGCTCTCCTGCTCTCCCTGCAGATTTATTTGACCACTCAGAGATGCCCCAGAGAGCTCCTAGTTTGCCCCACCTCTGGAAGCCTTGATCTTTCTGCTGAAGATGCCCATTGCCCTTAGAACCCCACCAACCTGGGCTCCCTCTAACCCACACCCTCCTTCTCCCTCCCTCCTTCTATGTGGGGGAATGAGAGAGATAAGAACCAGCAGCTTCAATTAAAACTGAGTCGCTTGAACAATAATGGAAAAGTAATTGAGCTAAATTGAAATGTAATTGGAAAAAAAAAAAAACAATCGTGGCTTAACATGGATTTAAAAGCCAGGCTGGGGGCAGGGAACTCTACACTCTACAGCCTCCAAATCTCCTTATCTCTTCGCCATCTCTCAGGGGGCCCCCTCACCACTCAGCCCAGAGTCCCCACAAGCTCCTCCTCATCCTCCTGAGGCTCCTCCCTTTCTCTTCTCTTTCCCAGCCTCACCTCCCCTTATCCTAAACAGGGCTTCTTGATCAGGAGTAACTTTGCACGCTCATGTGCGCACACACACACCATCTAACAGTGTCTGGAGGCAACTTTGGTTGTCATGACTTGGGGACGGGGGTGGATACTACTGGCATCTACTGTGTAGGGCCAGGGGTGCTGCAAAGCATTCTACAGTGCCCAGGACAACCTCCACAATCAAGAATTGCTAAGAGTGCTGAGATCGAGAAACCCTCTCTACTCCATCTTTCCACTCTGCTGAGGCCCCCAACCCTCAACTAAGGGGCCTCTATTATCCTTTTCCCTCTCCAGCATCAGAGAGGCACCCCCTTTGATGTATGTGCCCTATAAACCCAAAGACCTGGACCTTCAGAAGAGAGAAGAATAGATGTCCTTACTTCCTGAGGGCCACATCCTAGCCCCCTACCCTCTGCCAGGGGAACTCAGCCCTCTCTTCCTTCCTCTCCTCCCCATCCCTTTTCTCCCTCCCTCCTTCCTTACTCCTTTCCCTCCTCCCACTCCCTTGCAAAGGCCCATCTGGAGGCCAAGGAGCAGACAGGATGACCTTTAAATCTTCCTGCCCATCCACATTACCCAAAAAGGCCTCAGAGGTCAGTCCTTGGAGGGATGCTACTGGGGGCCAGAATCACCACATCCCAGGATGTGCAAGGCAGAAATGTCCTTGGAGATCATCCCAGTAGGAAGGAGGAAGCTGGCCCAGGAAGGGAGGCCAGGCTCGGGGCTGGCTGGCACAGAGCTGAGGCCACCCAACCTCCAGACTCCCATCCATGAGCTGGCCACTGCCCATGTGAGGATGAGGAGGGAGGAGCATCTCCAGGTCCTCAGATCCTCTTCCCTCTATTCATACTGGAACTTAGCCCTTCTGCCCACAGAAGCCAGGCCTGCCCCTGTCTGCCTGTCCAACTCCTTCCATCTCTTCCCTTCCGCCCCCTCCTCCAGGCTCCTGGTGTGTGACTCCACGCGGGGGTAGGAACTTGGGAAGGCAGGGAGGTGAGCAGGAGGTGTCTGTTTGGGCTCCCGATAAACTCAGGAGTCAGCCGGCGTGAAATGAAGAAATATGGCTCCCGGTAAATATTTATTTTCTATCAGAAATTAGCAAACCAAATGTAATTAAAAACAACTCTGTGTGCCTTCTCCACTCCCACCCCCAACCCCAAGTCTAGAAAATGACATCTCAGAATAGTGAGTCATAAAGACCGTGTCCTAATTAGCAGGCCACCCGCTGCTGCTGAGGCTGCCTTCCTCAGACTCCCCAGGAAGTGACGGGGGCCTGGCGTGGACTCAGGTCATCGAGGTGGCCTCTGAAGATCTCCTCTAGCCTCCATCCGGGTCTAAAGAGTTCGAACCCTGAGCAGGGACCAACAAGGGGAAAGAGAGAATGAAACAGATCTCTCACTTTTGAGTCTGATGGGGGAGGCAGAGCATCTTTCTGGCCCCTGCCCATCTCCAGGCAGGTAGCAGTGGGTGCTGGTTAAGGAAACTGGGTTTGGAAAATCAGCAGAACCTGATTCCCTCACTTTCTAGCTGTGTGGCCTTGGACAACTCCCTTTAATTCTGCCAGCCTCAGTTTTCTTATTTGTAAAATGGGGATCGTGAGGCCTACCTTGCAGAGTCACCAAAAATGTAGTGAACCCCTGCTTTGTGCCGGGTTGTGGGGCTAGAGCAATGACCCAACCAGACATCTCTACTCTCCGGACTTACCTCCTGGTGGTCCTGGTAGTACTCAGTTGTACAGCCTCCATCCACCACCCCAGCCTACCAAGTCCTGGCAGTATTGTCATCCCAGTGGGCTGGGTAATAGTTACCCCTCTTTGTTGAGCACCTACTGTGTGTCTGGTGCTGTGATAGGCTTTGCTCCCACAAGGTGGCTAGACTAGTTGGAGGGCTCGGTTCCAAGTCTAAGTCCCACGCTGCCTTGGGATGGAGCACTGGGTGAACAGAGATCCTGACTTTGGCTGCTTTGCTCCTCCCCTTAGCTTAGGCTGTGGGTTGCTGTGCTCAACAAGTATTCCATATCCATCCTTCCTCCAGAAATGCTGTTTCCTGCTGTCTACACCTCTAGTTAAAAAATCCCCAATGTTCTAGTGCCAGCAGGGTGAAGTTTGGCCCTGCTTACAGGGTCTCCACAGCTCACTTCCCTGACCTGGGTGGCACAGGCTTCTGACTTGGCCACTGAAGCAGTTGTTGTCAGGCCTACCCGGGTCCCTTCACCCTTACTCCCTGCAATGCACCAGCCCAACTTCGGACTACTAGTCCCTGCACCCCTTTGCCCAAGACCTCTCTCTGGAGCAGCCCAAAGCATCCTGCTAGGCTTGCAAATGCCACCTCCTCTAGGAAGCCTACCCTGACTCCTGGAGCCTGCCCAACTCTGCCTCTTGGCTCTAGCTGCCTTCAACTCTGTGTGAACTCTATTTTGGGCACTTGGCACAGACCGCCTGGTATTAGGAGCTCCATTTCACATGTCCAAGGTTTATCTCATCACATAGACCCTTCCTTCCTTCCTCACCAAATCCTGCCACCAAATGTTATGGGTTCAAGTCCTGACTCTCTCACTTAAAAGTTGTGTGAGCTGGCACAAGTTATTTAACTTCCCTAAGCCCCAATCTCCTCATCTGTAAATCATGATTTTTTTTTTAAGAGATGGGGATCTCACTGTGTTTCCCAGGCTGGAGTGTAGTAGTGCAATCCTAGCTCACTGCAGCCTCCAATTCCTGGACTGAAGAGATAGTCCCGTCTCAGCCTCCTGAGTAGCTGGGACAACAGGTCTGCACCACCATGCCTGGCTAATTTTTATATTTTCTTTTTTTTTTTTTTTGAGATGGAGTATCACTCTGTCACCCAGGCTAGAGTTCAGTGGCATGATCTCGGCTCACTGCAATCTCTGCCCCCAACCCCCGGTTCAAGCGATTCTCCTGCCTCAGCCTCCTGAGTGGCTGGGATTACAGGCGCCTACCACCGCGTCTGGCTAATTTTTGTGTTTTGTAGTAGAGACGGGGTTTTGCCATCTTGGCCAGGCTGGTCTGGAACTCCTGACCTCGTGATCCACCCGCCTCAGCCTCCCAAAGTACTGGGATTACAGGCACGAGCCACCACTCCTGGCCAGTTTTTATATTTTCTGTAGAGACAGGGTTTCACCATCTTGCCCAGGCTGGTCTCGAACCCCTGATCTCAAACAACCTGCTCGACTCGGTCTCCGAAGTTATTGTGATTACAGTCTTTTTTTTTAGATTTTAGCGATGGGGGTTTCACTAATGGAAACTTCCCTCATGCTTGTTTCGAGAAATAAAGGAGATGGGGTAAACTACTTGACAAGATGCCAGCCATACAGTGAGGGGAGGAAACAGCTCTGCCCCTGTAGTTGATAACTATGATACAGTCTTCCTAGCCAGGGCCCTGCTTCTGGGATTGGCATTCCTCTTGTTTTGGGGAACTGACCCCACCACCCCAGCTCTGTGGTTCTACTAGAGGGTGTTTATCATGGGTCCCCACCCCTTGGCCATCAGATGAGCAGTTGAAAGCTGAGCCAATGCTCAAAGCTGGGCCGACTGGAATTCTTCCCTGGGATTTCTCAAACTGGAGCTGGGACATGTTCAGCTCTTATCTGAAGGCAAAGCCATGAGACATGAGAAAGTAAGGGGGCTGCGGCTAGCAGCACATCACCTAGCACGTGGGGGAGAGGGTCTGAGGGACTCAGGTCAGTAGGCACAGGAGCAGGTACCAGAGCAAGAATAGAGCGGTGGCAGGGTCCCAGTCCTGGGTTCCAGATGTCTCCAGGGCTCTCCTTCCTGCTGGTGGCTCCCTTCCTTTGACTATGAGAGATCTTCTGAATCCTCATCAAGCCCTTTATTGCCTTCGTTCAATCATTTCAGCTGGGTTTCTTTCATTTGTTTCCCATCAAGTCCTGGCCAACACAGAACTCCCAGAAAACCACCTTTCCTCCATCTGCCCGTGACAAGGCACAAACTTCCAGGGTGGAGAAGGGAAGGTGAGGGGAGCCTCTGAGCCTCTCCTAAAAGTGCTTCCTATTTTCCTTTCTCACAAAAGATATAATAGAAAGAAACTTCAACCCCAAAGCAGGCAATTAGTGATGAGGAAGTACTTTCCAACAGCCAGGAGCGTGAGGCTGAGAAGCTGGAGTTAAGTTGGTGGAGTGCTGCAGGGCAGAGGGGCTGCTCCAGGAGACCTCCAGAGCCCTGGGGTCTCTGTGGGGCTCGATTGCCCCCCTGTCTACCCATTGGCTCACATCCAGGTGGCTGGGGGCTCCCAGGAGGTAAGAAGGCGGACTAGAGCCCCCAGCAGGCCAGCTGAGTTGGGGGCGGATGCTGGCTTCCTGTCTGATCGGCTACTGTTTTACTCCATTCTTCAGACTGCTCAAGGAAAATTGCCTCCCTAATTGGCTCTTCTCTCAAACAAGCTTTAATGAGCCTAAACTTCATTCCAAGGGTGCTTAACCACCCTCGAGCATCACTGAATGCCATCTGCAGCCCCCGCCACAGTCGCTGCCCACGCCACAAGGGGCCCTGGCGGGGAGACAGTGGGGACAGACCCAAGAGTCTTGCCCTGCATGACGCAGACGCCCAAACACTCTGCTCCAAACCTGCAAAGTCAGGGAGGAGGAAGCCTTAATGCAGGGAGCCCCAGTCTGAGGGAGACAGAGCCCCATCCTCAAGGAGCCTCAGTCTGAGGGAGACACAGCCCCATCCTCAGGGAGCCCCAGTCTGAGGGGAGACACAGCCTCTGTACCAGAGAAGCTCCTAGCCTGAGGTAGGAGACATAAGCTTTGTCCTTAGGAATCCCCTAGAATTATGAGGGAACACTATTTCTGCCCTGGTTCACTTACCCATCAAGAAATATTTATTAATCATCTCCTATCTGTCATGCTGTGTTCCAGCACTGGATTGGAGATACAGCTGTGAACAGAAAGAACAAAAGTCCCTGCTCTGTTGGACTCATGCTGTAGCAGGAAGGAAGCACCACCCGCTACCCACTGCCTCCCAGCCCTCAGCCCCAACTCAAGCTTCCAGTCTGGAGAAGAGACATGGGCACTGAAGGCCGCCTTGCAGGAGAGACTGGCTGTACTACTGGGGTAAAACTGAATTCCTGTAATAGAGAATCCAAAACCCAGATACACATGAGAGGTTTATAACCTCCTCCATAGCAGCTTGAGTCTAGGGTAGTGAGCAGCTCTCCTCCAAAGGTGACGTGGAGACCCTGGCTCCCTCCATCTTGTTCCTCCATCATTCCCCTAGGGTGAAGGACAGCCCCACTCTCCTACAGGGTCAGGACTGAAGTGGCCTCCATCACTTCCTTTCACTTGCCATTGGAGCGAGCTTGGCAAGGGAGGCTGGGAAGCACGGTGCATCTGGGCAGCCATGAGCGCCTGGCCTGCAGTTCCATCAGCATGAGGAAGGGAGGATGAATCTGCGTTGTCAACTAGCAATCTACTCCACTGTGAGCCTTGATTCACCAAGCAATCAACTCTTGGAGGACGAGAATCTCATCTACTATGCCCATCCCCACACCTGGCACAACCCTGGGCACACAAAATACCTCTTGGTTCAAAAGCTGTTTGAGAAATAGGAAGTTGATATGATCAGTTATCTATTGATGTGTACTAAGTGAAGTGGCTTAAAACAAGAACCATTTTATTTACTCCCAATTCTGTGGTCAGTGATCTGGACTGGGCTCTTCCTGGGGTCATTCATGTGGCTGCAGCCAGTGGCTTGACTGGGGCAGGATGGTTGATGTGAACTCACTCACATGTCTGGAGGTTGGTGCTGGCTGTTGGCTGGACTTTGATCCAGCAGGATAGCTTGGCCCTTTCACATGGCAGTCTCAGGGCAGCAAGAAAGTGAAAACAGAAGTTGCACAACATCATTGCGGGTGTATTCTCTTGGTCAAAGCCAGCGCAGATTCAAGAGGTAGGGAAATAGACGCCATCTCTTGGTGGGAGAAGCTGCAAAGGATTTGTGGCCATTTGAAATCTACCAGGCTGTTCTGCAGAGCAAACCACTACAAAAACTTAGTGGCTTAAAACAATGGCAACATTTCTTTTGCTCAGGATTCTTCAATTTGGGCAGGATTTGGTGGGGGAAAGATCTCTCTACTCTGCCCAGCATCATCTGGGCTGGCTGAAAGGATGGGGGCTGAAATGATCTCAAACTCGCTATTCACATATCTGGAGGCTGATGCTGGTTATGGGCTGAGACTTTGGGCTTTGTCTAAAACATGTGGTGTCTCCATACAGCCTGTGCTTTCTCCCAGCATGGTGACTGGGCTCTCCTGAAAGACAGACAGACAAACAGACAGACCCAGGCAGAGCTATGTGCCTTTTATGGCCTAGCTTCTAAAGTCGTGCAGTGTCACTTCTGCAAAAGCGTTCTATTGATGGAGGCAGTCACAAATCAGCCCCATTTCAAGAGGAGAGAAAACAGATGTACCTTTTGATGAGGAGTTGCCAGGTCATGGAAGAGCTAACATAGGACCAGAAATATTTCTGAGGTCCATATTGAAAAGTACAATCTACCTACCGTGCATTCATTGATTCTTCATTCATCCATTTATCAGGCTCCCATGGTGCACTCGCTGTGTGCCAGGCACACAGTAGGGACCATTCTCACAGACTCTCTGCTTCCCAAAGACACTGAGCCACCATGCTACCCCAAGGGTGGGAAACTGACAGCCTTTCTTTGGCAGGCAGGACCACTGCTAGGAGGTCCGTGTCTTCTCCACTGCTCCCCACACTGCTAGCATCTGATGAGGCCCCAAGGCAGAGGCCAATACGAATGACCATCATGCCCAAGAACAAAAAGTGAGAGCACATTTCGGCAAGCAGGATTCTAGTCAGGAACCAAGAAGGATTTTCCTAAGCAAACATTTGTTCTGAGGGGCATGCTCTCACTTGCTCTTGTCACTGTCCTCCCTTCCTGGGCTCAGTCAGGGAGAGGGGACATGAGGGGGCAGGTAGTCAAAGTGGACAGTGACTGACCTAAAAACATAATGTCACTGGTGCTTTTTGCATTTCAGTTTGGATGTATGTCTGGGCAGAGCAGGTGCTCACAAAGTTTGTTGGATTCGAATATCTAGACTTTCCTTATCCTCCCCCTAGACCATGAGGAACCTGAAGGCTGGGATCCTGGCATCTAACCCAGTGCTTTCAACATAGTATGTATTCAATATGTTTATTGAATGAATGAATGAATGGTGTGAATGAGAAAAATTAATAAGACTGCCAATTGCCCTCCTCCCCCAACCAATACCTGTTTCTCACCTTCTTTTATAGCAAAACAAAAATAATTTATAGCTGGACAGACAGCACCCTAGAATAGAATATGCATTTCCCAGCCTCCTTTGCAGCTAGGAGTGGCCATATAACTAAGTTTTGGTCAATGAGATGTGGGCGATGTGTGGGATATTTAACTTCCGCATCATATTTTTACAAAAGAACCAGGCCCTCCCTTTACCTTTCCTCCTTCCCTCCAGTTGAAATGTGACATGGTGGTAAAACATCCTGGACCATATGGACAAGAGAACACCCCAGGGATGTTGGGGCAACTAACTAGAAGTGTCCTGGGTCCCTGAGATCTTGGAGCTGACATCCCAGCCCTTGACTACTTACAGCCAGACTGTTACATAAGAGAGAACTACATTTATATTTAATTTAGCCACCGCTCTTTGGAGATCTCTGTTAGAGCATCTGAACCTCTATCCTAATCAGTACAACAAGAAGGTGAATACATGTGTGAGTGAATTCATGAGTAAGTGAATGGCCAATTAAGTGAATGTCTAAATTTTTGCTGTTATAGTGATAGCAAAAGACCACAATACTTCATTTATAAAGCTTTAACTGTATGACATTTGTGTACTCAACAGGAAGTGTGGAGGGGGGTGGTTTCAGGGTTGGTTTGACAGCAAATCACTCATCAAGAACCCCAGGCTCATTCCACCTTTTTGCTTCACCGTCTTCACAGTGTTGATTTTTATTCTGGAGCTTGATGCATCATGGTCACAGGTCGGCTAGCACTGTTCCAGGCATGACAATGTCACACAGTCATGCCCATTGGGCAGGAAGCTGGGGGAGGGCCAGAGGGACAAGATAGGATTATCCTCCCGAGTCTCCTCATTGGTGCAACCAACAGTGGCTGCCACAGTGACTGAGTGAGTGAATGAATGAACAAACCCCATGTAGGAAAAAATGCAACTACGTTCTCCCCAGCCCCGGTAGGAAGGAGAACTCCCAGAATTAGGTTCCAGGAAGGGAAAAGCAGACAGTGGAGAGAAAGGTGGTGCCCCTGGGGTGTAGAGGCAGGAAGGAGGCCAGAGCTTCTGGAGTCAGGATGAGGGACGGATCCAGGGTGCACAGGGCACCTGGGAGAAGGGCTGGGGTAACTCATGGGACAAAATAAGAGACAGAAATCTACCACGGCTTGAGGAAGATGCAGTTTCTGGAAAAAGGAACAGGACTCAGACAAGCCTAAGAACCTGGACAAAGCCTATGGGGACAGACAAAGGTGCTGTGTCCCACATGCAGGCAGCGACCCTGGGATTAAATGTGTGTTGCAGAAATCCATCTTTGCTAACCAAGAGATACAGACAAAACAAAACAAAACAAAACAAAAACAAAAAACAAAAACAAACAAACGAAAACCTGTTTGGGGCTATTGGTTCCTTATGCCTGATCTGATCCTTTACCCTAATAGCAAATAAAACACAGAACACTGGAAGTCAGGACTTTGAAGGCCCTATGGAAATAATTCAATCCTAACTCCTCCCATTTTGCAGGTGGCAAGATTGAGGCCCACAGATGAGAAGAAAATCCACGGCAGAGCTCGGACCAGAACCCAGACCCCAAGATCCCAGTCTCACCTCTCCCACTGGCATTACACCATTTCTCAAGACAGAGTCATAGCTTCATTGAGTGACTCAAGGGCAACACCCTGGGGTTTCTCAGTGCATTCTGGAACATTGAGGGGTGCAGAGCAGAGCTCCTGCCTCTGTTCTTCTGTGGCCTTTCCCCCAACATGGCCCAGGATACAGAGGGCTGGGAGGGGATAGTCCTCACTGCTTACTGGCTGACAGTGAGTAAGCAAGCCTGGCAAAGTGCTGAGCTCCTGGTCACTGGCAGAATTCAAGCAAGGCTGGAAGGGTATTATAAGGAGGAATCCGGCCGGCCATTGGAGGGGGTGACTACAGCTTCCCTCCACTCCTTATTACCTTGGCAGCATCTCGAAACTGATTGGATTCTCACCAGCCAGGAAAGGCCAGACCCTGCTCAGGTCTGAGGGCCACAGACTTCAGTCATCTCTGCCAGCCCTGAAGCCTGTTCCCATGGAGACAGGTGAGTGAGAGAGACAAGAAGAAAGATGTGTGGAAACCTCCAAAGCTGTGGCCCTGTGCCAGACAGGCCCTGGGGGCAAGGTGTGGCCAAGGCTGACAGAAGAGGGGTAACAACTTCCTCAGAGTCGGGCCTGCTCACCAAAGGATGGGGATCTGGACCCCACCTCCCTCCAGTCCAGAGGCCAGAAGTCACCCGGATGCCGCACACTCCCCAACCCCTCCAATGCCACTTCCACTGGAGCCCCCAGGGGAGTCCTGTCCTGAAGGAGGGTAGCGGCAGGGAGAGATTGGCCCATCCAGAACCTTCTCTGCTCTTCAAGTTTTAGACAAAAGCAAACAAACAAAAAACCCTCAAATTCCCACCCTAGGGAGAGTGGAAGTGGGACTTTCCGTCCCCCACCCCCGATCCTGTCCTTATCTCTGGACTCAGGATGAAGGGAGTGAAGGGACAGAATCCGCCCTTTGCCAACCTCCACCCTCACTCCTCCCTCCAGGACAGGGTGTCCAGGGCAAGGCCAGTGACTTCCTGGGAACCTTCTGGATGGACTGCGCCATGCCCACCACCAGGGTAGAGGGTCCTGGCTGGACAGGGCTTTTCTAATGCCTCTGGGGCTTCATGGACGGCAGGAGTCTCCCTCCAAGCCCCAATTCTAGCAGCCCCCAGCCCAGGTCCACCTACAGCCTCCTGCACCTTGCAGCCATCCTCCCTGGGGGCTAGCTCTGTCCTTCCTGACTTTGGCTGGGCTCTACAGTGCTCCTGACACCCAGCCCACCTCGCTAAGACCCCCTGCCTCAGGATGCAGCCAGATCCCGCTCATCTTCCGGCCGACGCCGCTGGTGCGGAGCAGGCTGCCCGCCCCTGGGCGCGGAGCCTGAAGCCCAGAGCCCGCCGCTTGCTCCACCCGCCCCGCTCCGCCGGCTGTGGGCCGCTCGGTGCCCACGCCCTGCCGGGCTCCCGGCCAAGACGCCGGTCTCGGTCTTGCAGCTCCCGCCACCTGCCTGCCTCTTGGCTGGGGTGGGGCCCGGTTCAAGGATTGGGGTGGGAAGCGGAAGAAGATTAAGGAGCTCCCACTTAGGCCTGGGTAATGGGGGTCCCCAGTGTTGGGGCGGGGACAGAGTTAGATGCTCAGGACTACAAACAGAAGCAGGGCTGTGTCCTGTTTTCCATTTACCTTTCTGTGGGGGGCCCCCTTTCTCTGCATTGCTTAGAAACACCCCACTCCCTCATTTCATTGAATCCCAGAGCTGAAGGAACCTTCAGCTTCAAGCCTCCCCAGCCTTCTCCCAATTTACAGGGACATTCGAGTCCAGAGAGAGGGCTGGCTTATTCAACGTCGCAAGCCAGAATGTGGGTCCAGGCACTCCTCCTTAACAGTGTTCTTCTCACTCTCTGGGCTCAGCCTCTGTTTCTCTTCACCTCTTCTCCAACTTCTCTCCCTCTTCCCTCCCTTCTTTCTGCGGAAACAGGACCCAGCCCTCTAGCCCGCATCTTCAGGTAGAGATCAGCAGGCACTTGCAGGGGCCACTAAGCATGCGCACTCCAGAGCCCTTGAGCCTGCTATGCGCAGAGCCCAGTGCTGGGCTCCGCAGGGGACATGGGACCCACACAGGGCAGCGAAGCCTGCAGCCCGCCTCCCCGTGGGCAGGTCAGCCATGGGCGATGCTGGAGGGACAGAGGAGCTTGGTGTGATAGCATCTGGCCAGGTTGCAGCAGGAAAGATCAAGTTGGATTTTAAAAAGAAAAAACCTCCTATGAGGAGTGAGATAATAAAACAAATGAGTGTTGGACCCTGGAAAGTCCTGGAAATCTCATCTCTTGAGAACTTTTAACATCAGGAAAAGCCCTGGACACTTCTAATCAAGGGACTGAGCGTTTCCAAGGGGGCTTTCTGCCTGCTGAGTGGAGGAGGAGTCTAGGAAAGGGGTGGTCCCAATTCTTGCCCCCTCCCCTCCTCCCTGCAGGCCCTCCTCAGGCTGCACAGGCCAGCCCATCCTGCTCCCCTCATTGTGGGGTGAGTTTGCCCACACACTCAGCTTATTTGGAGCGAGGCCTCATGAGATGTCTCACATTCATGAGAGGAAGGGAGATGCCAGTGCTGCCGGGGGCTGCCAATGCCCCAGGTGTCCTAAAGAGGAAGGGGGAGCAAGAGGCCGGTCTGGACCCTTGGTCATCTCCAACGCCCCTGGTTTCCCTCAAAGCCAAGCAGCTGCCTCCCTGCATCTGTGTTCCTGGCCTTTGTCTATCTAACCTTGAAGAGGACCTCCTTCAAGGAGCCTTTGGGGACTGGCCCAGCCATGGGGAAAGGGGAGATTCCTCCCACTCCCAGCCCATGGATACCCAGGTTTCATATCTATGAACATGCTGCAGTGGGCTCTTAGGTGCTTGCTTTTTTTTTTTTTTTTTTTTTTTTTTTTTTTTTTTTTTTTTTTGAGACGGAGTCTTGCTCTGTTGCCCAGGCTGGAGTGCAGTGGCACAATCCCGGCTCACTGCAACCTCCGCCTTCCAGGATCAAGCTATTCTCTTGCCTCAGCCTCCCAAGTAGCTGGGATTACAGGCACCCACTACTTCACCCGGCTAATTTTTATATTTTATATTTTTAGTAGAGACAGGGTTTCACCATGTTGGTCAAGCTGGTCTCGAACTCCTGGCCTCAAGTGATCCACCTGCCTCAGCCTCCCAAAGTGCTGGGATTACAGTCATGAACCACCATGCCCAGCAGGTGCATTAAGTGTTGCCCTTCCAAATAATGATGATGATGATGATGAGTTAACACTTGCTAGTCACCTATTCTGCATCAGCAACTGTGCCAAGTGTTTTAGACAAGTTATTTCGTTTCATCCTTACTCTTATTCTCACATTACAGGTGGAGAAAAACACTCAGGCTCAGAGAGGTTTAGTAACTTGTCCATGGTCACACAGCTAGTAAGTGGAGGAAAGAGCCTGGATTCAAATCCAGGTCTGTGAGGCTCTGAGGCCTGTACTGTTAAGCAGGCTTCTCTTTGCCAACCTCCATCTCTACATGGCCTCTTCAGAACCCACCTGCTGCCTCCAGCACCTCTTTCTGGACTAGCTCCAGGAAAAAGTCAGCCCTGGGTGCTGCCAAGGGGAGCTCCATTCTTTCTGGCAGTCCCCCATCACCCAGCCCCCACTCAGGACCTCCCAAACTTCATCTGAAAGCCTTGTAATTTTCATTTTTCTTCCCTTAGGGTTTTTCCCCCTAATGAACACATGGTGCTTGGGTGATACTACTTTCGAAACATGTTTTTAAGATATAAAGGTAGCTATGGAAAGCTCACCAGGTGGTCGGTTAAGAGACCAGCTCCTGGTCCCAGCTCTAGCCTTTGCAGCTGTGTGACCGTAGGCAGATTCCTCCTCCTCTCTAAGCCTCAGTTTTCCCACCTGTAACGTGGGCATTATTGACATCTTCTCAGGGATAGCATGAGGGTAAAAGGAGAAATCAGTGTAAACTTGGAAGGGCTGTGCACATGGGAGGGATTATTCTTTTATTTTTAAATGTATATTTGGGTTTAGTAACTAGTAGTCCAGTATATTGATCCTCAGATGACTGATTCTTCCCTCTCTCTCCTGCTTTTGGGGGGGTTCCAGGGACCTGGGATTCTTGAGTCAAAAGAAGGAGAGGGTGAAAGGGAGGCCTTAGATAGAGTGATAGAACACAGGAGTTCTGGCTCTCCAGGTCCTCTTTCCCACTCCTTCCCTTGCTCTATGCCTCAGTTTCCCCTCCTGGGCCCTGAGTCTGGGTGAGGACAAGAGAGGCTGAGGAGGAAGGTGAGGAGTTGGGCAGGCAGAGGAGCTGTAGTTTTTATACTTTCTTGGGCCCTTCCCACTCTGACTGCAGCAACCACTGACCCTGGGCATCTCAATTAGCCACTTGCTTCATAATTCATCATATGGTCAAGGCTGCCGCAGGCTTACATGTGTGGGCATGTACATACACTCACATGTGTGCAAGCATACATGCACACTTGTGCACACACAGTCGCACACACTGCATGGGCATCAGATATAACACTAAATGTTAGTGTTTGTTGCTGGAGGTCGTGTTCTTCTCTTTGGAATTTCTGTTATTGAAAGCTTGGCTCGACATCCCCTCTGCCTTGCCCCTGGTAAACTCAACCCAATTCTTCCCCCTCGCCTCCCCCACTGCATGAGCATTTTTATTTGAATAAATCAGCAGGAAAAGATTTCAAGTTCAAAGCCCTTTCCCAGACTCTGTGATGTACAGTTATAAAAATAATGCTAAGAACAGAAAGTGACCTTTATTTCTAATCTATAGTCCTTGATGACTTCTGGCTTTTATTTTCTCGAGAAAATAGATTTTTTCCCCTGGTTATTAAAAAAATTATATGTTCATGAAAAAATATTCAGACAATACAGAAAGCCTAAAGATGTGAGTCAGAAGCATCTGAAATTTCACTGCTGAGATAACTACTATTCACATTCCAGTGAATAGTCTTTCGGACAAAAAAAAAATGCATATGCTCATATATACACAGATGTTATTACATAAAAAAGATAGTAACAGGCATGCGCTTTCTAATCTGCCATTCTCTCTCGACAATATATTATGGACATCTTTAAATGGCAGCACAGACTCCCACTGTGTGGACGTTCGGCACTCTCAGCCTCTCTGACTCATGTTTTACTCTATTTCTCACCGCCTCTCAGATGAGAGTGAACTGGCGGGTGGTTCTGGGGGAACGGCACGGGGGGTGACAGAGAGGGACTCTGCTTATGGAGGGTGGCGTATATAGATGGAATGAGGACTCACAGGGTGCTGAGTCTACTCTGCTGAACTGTGGCTGGCCCCAGGGGACCTGAGAAAAATGGGCAATTCAAAACATCTTTAGAGAAGGCCAAACAGCTAACAAGACAGGGCGATGGATGTGGTGGTGGGATTTGCATTCGGGGGCCCTGCCAAGTGGACCTCAGAACAGGAAACACGCTGGGCACGCACGGCCAGGAAAGATGAATTTGGGAGCGGGGGTTCAAGAAGCAGTATGGAAGGATGCCTCCACCCAGGTTTGGGGTGACTTCAAGGAGGAGAGTTTCGACTTTTTTCTTGTGTTTATTTATACCCAACCCTTTTCTGAAAAGGTGTTACAGTAGCTTTCAATAAAGGACATGCAAAAAGCTAGAAATAGAAAAGCAGGAACAGGGACGGTCTCCATCTGAAGCAGAGGACTGGAGCCCGAGCCTCACAGGGAAAGGCCTTGCTTCTCCCAGCCCCTGGGGAAGAGCTGGTGGGAAAAGCAGAGTGATCTCCAAGGAGAGGAAGAAGAGGAGGGACTCTGGCTGATGTGAACGCACATCGCACCAGAAGTCAAAAACCTAGATCTCCCTCTGGGTTCTTCCTCTCCTGAATTTTCTGAGCTAGGGTAACCACATCACCTTTCTGAGCCTCACTTTGCTCATCTGTGATATGAAAATAAAAATATTAGAGTCCTGGCTGGGTGCGGTGGCCCACGCCTGTAATTGCAACACTTTGGGAGGCTGAGGCGGGTGGATCACTTGAGGCCAGGAGTTTGAGACCAGCCTGGCCAACATGGTGAAGACCCACCTCTACTAAAAATACAGAAATTAGCTGGGTATGGTGGCACATGACTATAATCCCAGCTACTTGGGAGGCTGAGGCATGAGAATCACTTGAACCTGGGAGGTGGGGGTTTCAGTGAGCCAAGATTGTGTCATTGCAATCCAGCCTGGGTGACAGAGTGAGACCTTGTCTTAAAAAATAAATAAAAATAAGCTAAGTAAATTGGCTATGTTCTTTAACAATATATATGTCAAAGTCCTGATAACAGAGGACTCGGTTGCTGTAAGTTACCTGACCTACCTGTACAGTTTGCAATGGGACCTGCCCTTGGACAGGGCCACTTGGAGGACTTTCATGGTACATACACTGCATTACTGTGCCCCTGGGAATGAATGGTCACTAGAGGAGGGGAGAAAGAGGGAAGATGCAAGGAGGTGTGTTTTCGGTGCCTGCCAGCCTCCTGCCCCTCCTAAGTGGGTCCACCCACAAACTGCCTAGAAATGGCAGCCCCCAGGTAGCCTTGTTTCATGTCCATGACCCCTTCCTCCAGCCCAGCTGGTTGGATCAGGGTGGCATCTGACTCAAGGGCAGCCAACCCACAGGTTGCCCAATGATGTATGTGTGGCTAGACCTGAAATGGGGGCCTGTCCAATCAGCCCATTATCCTGAGCGGCTGAGTCAGTGAATGCTGGCAGCTGCTACCGGAAGGCCATGAAGGAGAGTTGAGCTGGAGAGGTCATGATGCCTGGAAAGCTGAAGTTATGAGGAAGCAGACACCATGACTCAGGAGAGGAACTGCATGGACAAAAAGCAGCAGATGCTGGGGAGTGACTGAGTCATGCCAGGGTGGTCATCTATTGCTGTTGTCAAAAACTACTCCCAACCGCAGGGGCTTAAAACAACTATTTTATTATATCCCATGACGATGGGTCAGGAATTTGGACAGAGCTTGGCCGAGCAATTCAGGTGGCAGTTAGGCTGGTCTGGAAGGTCTGAGGCAGCTGCACTCCCATATCTTCTGGTGCTTTGGTGGAGATGGCTGGAAGGCTGGACTCAGCTGGGATGGTCAGCCAGAGCCCCTCCAGCATGACGGTCTCAGAGCAACTCAGAGGACATCCTAGGTGGCAGTTCAGGGCTTCCAGAGAGAACGTTCCAAGAGGCCTGAGCTGAAGCTCCAAGGCATCTTCAACTCAGCATGTCACATTCTATTGCACAAACAAGGCACTAAGAGCAACCCAGATTCAAGAGGAAGGGAATTAGACTCTGCCTCTCTACAGGAAGGATAACATGGGATTTGCAGCCATCTTTATTCTACCACAGGTAGAATACAGAAGCACCAGAAGAATACAGAAGCACCAGAAACTTCTGTAGATGATGATCCTAGAGCTACCTTGAATCCAAAATGCCCATCTGGTTCAGGAAAACCATCCCTGTTGCAACTCCTGTTTGGATTTCTGAGTGCCCATCCCCCTCACTGTGTTTGTCCTCACAATAATGCACCTGTACTTGAGTGAGCTTGAGCGGATTTCTCTTCCTGTGCTCAGGGAGCCAACCTACAGCAGTGGTGAGTCCCTTAGACCCTTCCTCTTCCATTAGAAAAGAAAGGCCAGGTGTGCCAGCAAGAAGTTACCCAACATGAGAGCCAATAAAACTTAGGTGGTAGGGAGAGGGAGCCCTTGGTCTTGTAATCTGAGCTTCAGTTTCCCCATCTGGAACATGGAAGTGAAACTGCCCAATCGACCTACCTGAATCATTGTAACCAAGTAACCTGAAAGACACTTCCTGTCATTTGCCTGATATGATGTAGTCCATATCATGACATCCACACCCTTGATTTGGGGTCACTTTGCAAATGCTCATCACTGCCTATCCCCATGACCTTGGCAAGCCCATCTCACCTACAATATATGAGTAGATGTTTGAAATAAGTGACCTTTAAGGACCTCCTAGCTCTGAAATTCTAGAATTCTGAGAGGTCTGGGGTAAAGGGAAAGGTTGGCATAACTTGATCTTAGGGCAAGGATGCAGCTAGCTGGTGGTGAATAAGGGAGGCAGCCCCAAGTAGGGTGCAGGGTGGGGTCTGTAGGGCCAGAATAGAGATTAAGAGGGAAGGGACTCCAAGCGTGTAGGAGGGATGGTAGGGTTGGGTGCCGAGAAGGGAAAATGGCATTTCAACCACCATACCAACTTTAGTCCTCCTCCTTTGCCCTTACTCCCCTTCCTTGAGCCTTCTAAGTTTTTGGGCCCTGTTGGCCTTTGCATATTCTGTTCCCTCTGCTCAGAAGCCTCTCCCAATCCCAACAGGCTAACTCCAATCATTCTGTCTCTCCTAAATGTCTCTTAGAGAAGTCTTCCCCGAAGCCCCAACCCAAATAAGAACCCTCTTCATACCTTCTTTCATAGCACCAATTTCCCTTCCCAGCCCTCACTGTACACATCATTATATATGTCTTGGTGTCATTATTAGCTTACTGTCCATCTCTCCCATTAAACAGGGGCTTCCACAAAGGCAGTGTTTGGTTGGTATTTGCTGAATGAACAAATGCACACAAGTTCACTGGGAGCAGACCAGGATGCAGGTCCTCACTGTCCAGGCCACAGAGCAGGATCCCTGTCGACAGGTGCCAAAGAGAAGAAAGGCTGCCCCCAGGGAGCTGAGAGGAGCCCTCCAGTGCCCCGGCCCCGACCCTGGCCCACTCTGCCCTGCCAACACACACGGCTGACGCTGAGCGCTAGAACACTGCAGCTTTATTGATAGAACAACCGCGTCCGCAACTAGAGGTTACATTTGGGGGCTTGGAGGTGAAAGAGAGGCAAATGGGGAACAGAGGCTGGGGTGGAGACAGACAGCAAGGCAAAGGGGTGAGGATGGGGCTGTGTGACTAAAAAAACAACCCCAATCATTTCACCCATTAATAAGGGGGTCTCCTGTTGTGCTTTTACCTTGGTGGCGGGGTGGGCTGGGGTGGTCAGACATGTGGGCCTGGGCATGAGGAGTTTTGGCTTTTCTCCCAAGTCTTTGAGGTCTCAGGGCTGGTGCAGCCCCTTCCCTCCCTGACCCTTCTCCTGGGCTGGGGATAAAGGCCTTGGTGAGCTGGCTACTCTAGGGCAGGAAGAATGCATGGAGACCTAGAGGGCCACCAGAGTTGGGCTGAGATGGTGATTATGTGGGTGGCTGGGAGGATGGCGGGAGGGGGCCAGGAAGGAGGGCAGTCCTATCCTAGGAGGGTCCCTGGGAAATGAGTGCAGGCAACAAGAGGGCAAGGGGTGGGGTGGGCAGATGCCATCCCTCTGGACCTCGCCTGTACAATGGGGGCACCAGCTTAGATGCTCCCTAAGGTCCCTTCTAGTTATAAGGGTCAAGGGATCCCCAGGAAAGAGTGGTCCTTCTGCCCCAACACACACACACACACACACAAACACACGCACACTCCACACATCACACACATTCTCAGACACACACGCACAGCACTGACTCGATAGAGAGGCGGGTGCTTCCCGGCCTTTGGAAGCATGGAGGACTCCGCTGAACCCTGAACCCAACCTCAGCCAGTGGCTCTGCAGGGACTCTCCAGAGCAAAGACCCTGGGAATACTCCCCAGCCCCTCAAGCTGCCCAGCGAGAAAAAACACAAGGATTCTGCACGCCCCATCCGTGACCCTCCCGGTCTTTGGGGAAACCAAGAGGATGAGCACATGAGAACATGCTGACCTTCACTCCTAGCCCAAGCTCTTGTGAAGTCACAGGGGAGAGGAGGGGAAACAGGGTCTCTTCTGTCTGGGGGCCTGGGAGAAGGGCAGCAGCTGCAGACACTGTGGTGGGAGGGTGGCCACCTCTGTGTGGCACCCAGGCCTGTCATGGGGCAGAAGGGTCTGCAGCCTGGGATGAGAGGCCAGAATTTGGAGCCGAGGGCAGGATCCCAGCAACATCTATAACATCCCCACCGGCACCCTGGACACAGGACTGTTAGCCAAACTCCCTGCAGTTGTTTGGCAGGAGACCTCAGGGGCAGTGACAAGCGGTGTGACACCCCCAGGGCTGTAGTACTTGGCTCTCCCAAGACTGGCTCTACTCAAACTAGCTGTGTGACCTTGGGCCACTCCCCTTCCCCACTCTGGGCTTCAGCTTCTTCATCTGCACGAGGGGATCAAACTTTTGAGGTCCATCCTCACTCTGACAGCCTGAGCCAGGGGCTTTCCCAGAGCACAGGGAAAAGGAGAATGAATGAGAAAGAGGTGTCAGGCCCATCTCTGAGAGGTAGGGGTGGAAGGAGCATTCCAGGAGGAGGGGGCTTGGTCTTCAGGCTTCACTCAGCACCCTAGGAGCCTGTCTGTGCTCCCAAGGGCAGGATAGCCCAGCTGAGACTTCCATAAGCTGCTATACAGCACCTGGCCCCCGGAGTCCTTTTCACCAACCTGAAGGGGACAAGGGATGGAAGGGCCCCAGCACCCTGAGGGCTGACCCTGAACACCCCGTTTTAAGGCCACAAAATGCCTCAGTCACCCTGACCCAGAGGGCGAGGCTGCCACTGGGGAGATGTGCTGGATCCAGCCAGCCTGGTCTCCCCTGGCGGGGGTCACTCATGGGCCACCCATCAACACACAGACACTGACACACCATGGCGCACAAAGACACAGCATGAGCAACACTGATACAGAGATGCTGGCTCACAGGCACACACAGACACAGACACTGACAAGTCACCAGGTGATACACAAAGACACTCATTCCTGCTGAGGAACACACAAACACACAGAGACCAGCACATGCCTAGACATTTACAGTGCCCACTGGCATACACTGACACCCACATCCCCCACCCACCTGCTGGCACACACAGACATCCACATCAGCCTCACCCATTCACACGTGGGGACCTCAGCATTTCAGCAGACACATTTTGTCAATCCCAGGTCAAGCCATCCTCAAGGCAGGGCTGTCTGCACCCACTGAGACCTCCAGCAGCATCCCCCCATCCCCCCTCCACCTTGTGCCCTTCGTCCATAAAGACCAGGAACCTGGGGGCCACATGTATGCAGTTCAGCTCAGCCAACATGTACTGAGCACCTTTACTGTCCACTCTATGGATCCTGAGGGGAACAAGGGAGACAAGTCTCCCCTGTCGGAGCAGCCAGGGTTGCGGGGCAAATGGATTGGAAGGTCCTCTGAGGGAAGCAGGCACAGGGTGCCTTGGGAACCCCAAAGAGGGAGCACTTGGGGCTATTCATCTCTGGTGCTCCAATGCCTACCCCAGCGAGGGCACAGAGGAAGCACCCAGGTGGTGCCAGGCCAGTGGTTCCTGCTGTCAGGAGAACCCAAGGAGCTTTTCAACATTTCTTGATGTCCGACTGCGCTCCAGTCCAATTAACTCAGAACCTCTGAGGTGGGAACCAAGCAGCAATACTTTTTAAAGGACTCTGGTGGTTCTATTCTGCAGGCAAGGCCAGGAACCACTGATTACAGAATCCATTCCACCGGGCAATGGAGTGGTTTCCACACCAGGCTCACTTGTGCTGGGCACGAGCGGGAGGTGGCGAAGGTGGAGGGGGGACTTGGAAGGCTCAGAGGAGGAGCTCACAGTCTAGTTGGGGCAATGGACTCTGCACAGATGGGACAGTTAAGGAACAATACCCGACAGACGCGATGGAAGTGTATGCTGAGAACCTGGAGCGACTCATTTCAGACAGAGGCCTTGACTGGGTCAGGAAGGCAGCCGTGCTGATTGGGCATCAGAAGGCCCCGCTGCATCCTGGCCCGGCCACCCACCAGCTGTTGGTGATAATGATCACACAGGCCTGGCAGGGGGAGATGGGCAGCCTTTGCCTCGGTTCCCCGCCTGCCTCCTGGCACTGCAGTGCTGCCCGAGTTCCAGGCCTCTTCTCTGCAGCTGTCCCCACCAAATGCTCCAGAAGGAGCCCTGTGATGCTCCTCACCAAAGGTGCTTGCATTCAATAGGGTCATCTGTAAGCTCT